>NC_000017.11:12915353-13218383 GCF_000001405.40 Homo sapiens | reverse complement strand
AAGATATACAGAGTTGCCATAAACCTGGCACTCAGCCTCCTCTGTTATTAATATTTTACAATCTTTTTGTTACATTTGTTACAATGGTACACTTATTACAATGAATGAACCAATACTAGTCATACTTATTCAGATGTCCTTAGCTTCCACCCAATGTCCTTTTTCTGTTCCAGGATCCCATCCAGTGTGCCACTTGCCATGTCTTCTTAGACTCCCTTTGACTGTGACCATTTCTCAAACTTCCTTGTGTTTAATGACCTTGACAGTTTTGAGGAATACTGGTCAGATTTTGTAGGATGTCCTTCTCTTATAAGGTGTCTAATTTTTTTCTCATGTATAGACTGAGGTTATGGGGTTAGGGGAAGAAGATCGCAGAAGTAAAACGTCATTCTCCTCACTTCCTACCAAGGGTAAATACTATCAACAAGACATCACTATGGATGTTGACCTTTATTACCTGGCTAGGGTAAGGTTTGTCAGGCTTTCCTGTGGTAACGTTACTCTTTTTCCCCCTTTTCATACTGTACTACGCACAGCCACATTTAAGGAATGGGGCCTCACGATCCACCTCCACGAAAGTAGAACATCCATGTAAGTTATTTAGACTATGTCTGCCGAGAGATTTGCCTCTTTCCCCCATTAATCAATCATTTCTTTATATCAGTTTGGACTCACTAATATTTATTTTATAATTTGAGTTATAATCCAATATTACATTTTTACTTCGCCCAAATTATTCCAGCTTTGGTCATAGGAGCTCTTTCGGTTGGCTTCTGTGTACCTTTGACATAACCCCATCAATGTGTGTTTGTTGTGTTTTTGTTTCTATTTTTTTGGTTTTTGAGCACCTCATTACTTTCTATCATGACAAGTTACTCCAGGCTCATCTTGTATATTTCCTGACCTGATCCTAAAATCTGCCATTTATCCAAAGAGCCTTGCCTCTTTTATTGAAGATGGTATTTGAAAATAAGATCTGAGGAAGGTGTGTTCCTTACTACTGGGGTACTACTGCTTCCAGGCTCTCTAAGCTGACACAGCAAGGAAATATATGTGTGTATACTATTACATATTTATGCACGCATCTATAAATATTTCTATAGGTAACAATCTGGGTCTATATTAAGCTAAATATGAATTCAGCTATAATTAACTACCATATGGATTATTCTAGCCCCCTCCTTGCTTACCTATAAACTACCATTCCCACAGTAAGAAACCTGTTTCCCACTATCTGCCATCCAGTTGATTGAACTTGATTGTTCAATTCCAGTATACATATACAGAATCAGAATTGTTAACTCTACACCCATGGGAAGCAACTTTATCAACCAAAGTATAGTCCTTTTGTGCAGATCCTTTTACCTTTAGAATTACAGAATCCACCCATTTTCAAAGTTACTTAGGTTGAACTTTTCCTGTCGTAAACATCACTGAGGTTGGATTGGTTTTGTCTAATTTGCACACATCAAAGTTTACTCTACTATGACATTCTATGGTTTTGTCAAATGCATGATGTCTGTATCCACCATTGTATTACCAAACTAAAGGGTTTAATCACCCTAAAAAATTACCTAGGTTTTACCTGTTCAGTCCTTCCCACCTTTCTCCAAACATGTGGCAACCGCTGGTCTTTTCACTAGTTTTGTATTTTCCAGTATGTCATAGAGTTGGAATTATGCAATATGTAGCCTTTTCAGATTGTCTTTTTTCACTTAGCAATATGTGTTTAAGATTCCTCAATGTGTTTTCATGGCTAGATCTTTTCTTTTTAATGTTGAAAATTCCAAATAATATTCTGTTGTATGAATGTACAAACGTTTAGTGATTTACCTATTGAAGGACATCTTGGTTGCCTCCATTTTGTGGTGATGATGAATAAAGCTGCTATAAATATCTATGTACATTGCTGAGTTGTGTGGCAAAACTATATAACTGTAAAAAAAACTACCAATCTGTCTTTCAAAGTGGCTGTATCACTATCTACCCCAGCAATGTTGGTATACATGTTTTCCAGAATTTCGTATTGTCATTTTTTAAAAGTATAGCTGTTTTAATTAGTGAGGAGTAGTATCTCATTATTGTTTTAGTTTGGGGTCTCCTAATGACAAATAATATTGATCATTTTTTTGTAAACTTATATGTCACCATCTTCTTTGGTGAGGTATCTGTTCAGATCTTTTGCATGTTTAGTCATTAGATTTTTTGTTTTCTTATTGTTGAGTTTTATGGGTTCTTTGTATATTGGATACAAGTACTTTATCTGATATGTGTTGTGTAAACATTTTCTCCCATCTGTGGCTTATGTTTTATTCTCTTAACATTGTTTTTTGCAGAATAAAATTTTTTAATTATAATAAACTACAATTTACCATTTTTTCTTTCTTGAATTGTACTTATCTTATTGTATCTAAAAACTCATCAAACTCATCAAAACTCATCAAATCCAAGGAGATATATATATATGTATATATATATATATATATATATCTCCTGTGTTTTCTGCTAGAAGATTTATTGTTTGCATTTTACATTTAGGCTTATGATCCATTTTGAGTTAAATTTCATGAAAGTACTAAGGTCTGTGTTTAGATCCATTTTCTTTCTCTTGCCTCTCTGATATTTTGCATCATTTGTTGGAAAGCCTATTCTTCCTCCATTGAATTATCTTTGTTCCTTTGTCAAAGGTCAGTTGATTATACTTTGTTGGGTCTATTTCTAGGTTGTCTATTGTGTTCCACTGATCTATATAATTATTCTTTCATCAATGTGATGCTTTCTCAATTATTATAGTTTTATAGCAACTCTTAAAATCAGGTAATGTGAGTCCTTCAACTTTGTTCTGCAGTTTTCAGCATTGTGCTGACAATTCTAGGTCTTTTGCCTTTCTGTGTAAGCTCAGAATCAGTTTGTCAGTGTCTACAAAATAACTTGCTCAGATTTTGATTGGGATTCCATTAAAACTGGAAATCAAGCTGGGAAAAGTTGATGTCTTAACAATATTGAGATTTACAAACCATAAACAGATCATCTTTGATTTTTTTTCACATAGTGTTGTGGTTTTCCACGTACAGTTCCTGTAGCTATTTTGTTTAATGTACACCTAAGTATGTCAGTTTTTGGTGTTATTGTAAATGGTATTTTTATTTCAAATTCCAATAATAATTGACTTTCATATATTAACTTTTAATCCTATGACTTTGCTACATTTGTTTATTAATTTCAGAAGGGTTTGGGGGATTGTTTTTGTCAATTTGAAGAGAGTTCATGCATAGAAAATAATATTATCTGTGAACAAAGGCAGTTTTATTTATTCCTTTCTAATCTTTTTTTTTTATTTCCTTTTCTTGTCTTATTGCACTAAGACTACCAGTAATATGTTGAATAGGAGTGCTGTGAAGGAGTATCTTTACTTTGTTCCTGATCTTAGTAAGGAAGCATCTGTTTCTCACCAGGAAGTATGAAGTTAGCTGTTGGATTTTTGTAAGTATTCCTTACAGAGTAGAGGAAGTCCCCTCTATTCCTTGTTTGCTGAGAATTTTATTATGAATGGGTATTGGATTTTGTTAAATGCTTTTTTGTATCAATTGACATGACCAGATGATTTTCTTCTTTATCCTGGTGATGTTGTGAATTACATTAATTCATTTTAAATGTTGAGCCAGCCCTAGAATAAAGTCCAGTTGGTCATGGTGTACAATTCCTATTCTACATTTTCTCTGATCTGGTTTGCTAATATTTTGTTAAACATTTTTGCATCTATGTTGTATTAGTTTCTTTTCCTACTATAAAAAGTTATCACACACTTAATGGCATAAGACAGCAAAAATTTATTACCTTACAGTTCTGGAAGTCAGAAGTGTGAAGTGAGTGTTACAGGCTAACACTGAGACGTTGGCAGAGCTTCATTCCTTCTGGAATTTTCAAGAGATAATCTACTTACAAGCCTTTTCCAGCTTCTAGAGGCCTACTGTATCCCTTGGCTACTGGCCCCGCCCTCCATCTTCAGAGAATGTTACTCCAACACCTGCTTCTGTCATCACATCTCCTCTCTGACTCTGACCCTATCATTTCTTCTTTTAAAGATCCCTATGATTACATTAGTCCTACCCAGTTAATCCAGGATAGTCATTCCATTTCAAAGGCCTTAACAATATCTGCAAAGTACCTTTTGTCATGTAAGGTAACAGATTCCAGGGATTAGAATGTGGATACCATTGGGGGTGAGGGTTGATAGGGGTGTATAATTCTATCTACCACATGTTCATGAGAAATATTGGTCTATGGTTTTTCTTTCTTATAATGAGTTTATCTGGTTTTAGTGTGATGGTAATATGTTGGCCTCATAGGATAAGTTAGGAAGTGTTAAATTTTCTGTTTGCTGGAAGAGATCGTAGAAAATTCATATTATTTCTTCCTTAGTGTTTGCTAGAATTCACCACGAAAACCACCTGAGCCTGGTGCTCTCTTTTCATAAAGTTATTGATTATTGACTTAATTTTAAAATAGATATAGTCCTGTTGAAATTATCTGCCTCTCTTTGTTTGAGTTTTGATAATTTATGTCTTTCAAAGAGTTTGTCCATTTTATCTAAATTATCAAATTTGTGGGCATGCAGTTTTACATACTGTTTCTTTATTATTCTTTTTGATGTTTATGTGATCAGTGGCAATGATCTTTCTTTCATGTCTGCTATTAGTAATTTGTGTTTTTTCTCTTTTTTCTCCTTAGCTATCCTGGCAAGAGTTTTCCCATTTTTATTGGTCTTTCCAAATAACTAGCTTTTGATTTTGTTGATTTTCATTATTATTACTATTATTATTATTATTATTATTATTATTATGTGCTTTTAAATTCATTGACTTCTGCTCTAGTTTTGTTACAAAAGTGAACTCTCTTACGTGAGTTCTCTTGCCCTTCTGCCTTCCACCTTTCTCCAGTGGGTTGATTCACACTGGATGCTGGTACATTGCTCTTGGACTTCCCTGGTTCCAGAACCACACACCAAATAAACTTCTTTTATTTATAAATTATCCAGTCTGTGGTATTCTGTTATAGCAGCAGAAAATGAACTGAGATAAAAATTAATGTTCAAATATTTAAGATATTTCCACTATTTTTCTGTTACTGATTTCTATGTTAAGTCCATAGTGGTCTGAAAAAATACTCTGTATGATTTCTACTACTTTAAATTTGTTAAGCTGTGTTTTGTGGCACAGAATTTTGTGAATATTCCATGTAAGCTTGAGAATTTGTATTCTTCTGCTGTTGCATAGAGCTCTCTATAAATGCCAGTTAGGTCAAGTTTATTGACACAGCTGTTCAGTTCAACCTTATCCTCATTGATTTTCTGCCTCCTTCATCTATCACTATGGAAAAAGGGGTACTGATGTCTCCAACAATAATAGTGGTGTAATGTATTTTTTTCCTTACAGTTCTGTCAATCTTTGCTTCACATATTTTGATGCTCTGCTGTTAGGTTAAGGATTGTTATGTCTTTTGGGAAATTTTACCCTTTTATTATTATGTAATTATCCCCTTTATCCCTGATAATTTTTTCCTGAAATTTGCTGAAATTAATATAGCAATTCCAGCCTTCTTTTGATTAGTGTTACCACAGTATATGTCACTCCTTCTTTTTACTTTTGGTCTATCTTTATATTTAATGTCAGTTTCTTGGAGTAAACATACAGTTAAGCTTTTTTTTAAAATTTACTCTGCAGACCTCTGTCTTTCAATTGGCTTATTCACATCATTCACATTTAAAGTGATTATTGAAATACTTGGGTGAATATCCATCATGCTTGTAACAGTTTTTTATTTATTGTATTTGTTGTTTCTTTTCTTCTTTTTCTCCTCTTACTGTCTTCCCTGGTTTTAATTAAACATTTTGCATAATTCCATTTTAGCTCTTCCTTTAGTCTATCAATTAAATTTCTTTTAACGAAAATGTTGGTTCTTGCCATACAGTTTGCAACACATTTACAACTAGCACAATTTCACCTTTAAATAATATTCTACCACTTTATATGTAGTGCATTTACCTTAACAGACTTTTCTTAATTCTTCTTTCCTGTCCCAGGCGAGATACTGCCATTTATTTTATTTATTCATATGCTATAATTGCCCAATATATTGTCACTATCATTGCTTTAGATAAAGTTATTTTAGGTCAATTTGGAACTTAAGAGGTAAAAGATGCTGTTTTACCTTCATTTATGCATTCTCTGATGCTGTTTCCTTCTTTATGTAGATCCAAGTTGCTAACTTACTACGTTTTTCTCCTTCCTGAATGACTTTGTCCAGCATTTTCTGCAGGGCAGTTCCACTAATGATAAATTCTCAGTTTTTATTTGCCTAAGAAAGTATTTATTTCTTCCTAATTTTCTTTAACTTGTATTTTACATTCAGGGGTACATGTGCAGGTTTGTTATATAAGTAAACTTCTGTCATGAGAGTTTATTATACAAATTATTTCAGCACCCAGCTATTAAGCTTTGTACCCATTATTGTTCTTTTTACTGATCCTCTCCCTCCTCCCACCCTCCACCCTCCAATAGGCCTCAGTGTGTGTTGTTCCCTTCTATGTGTCCGTGAGTTCTCATCATTTAGCTCTCACTTATAAGTGAGAACATGCAGTATTTGGTTTTCTGTTCCTGCATTAGTTTGCTAAGGATAATGTCCCTGCAAAGGACATGATCTTATTCTTTTTTATGGCTGCAAAGTATTCCATGGTGTATATGTACCATATTTTCTTTATCTAGTCTATCATTGATGGGCATTTAGGTTGATTCCATGTCTTTGCTATTTCAAATAGTGGTGCCTGCATGTGTCTTTATTAATAGAATGATTTACATTCCTTTGGGTATATAACTAGTAATCAGATTGCTGGGCCAAATGTTATTTTTGTCTTTAGGTCTTTGAGAAACTGCCACACTGTCTTCCACAATGGTTGAACTAATCTACCTTCCCAACAACAATGTATAAGCACTCATTTTTCTCCTGGCAGAGATACAAAAAAAAAGAAAAGAAAACTTCAGGCCAATATCTTGGATGAACATTGATGCAAAAATCCTCAACAAAATACTGGCAAACTGAATCCAGCAGCATATCAAAAAGCTTATCCAACATGATCAAGAAGCCTTTATCCCTGGGATGCAAGGTTGGTTCAACATATGCAAATCAATACATGTGATTCATCACATAAACAGAACTAAAGACAAAAACCACATGATTATCTCAATAGATGCAGAAAAGACTTTCAATAAAATTCAACATTCTTCATCTTAAAAGCTCTCAATAAACTAGGTATTGAAGGAACATGGCTCAAAATAATAAGAGCCATATATGACAAATCCACAGTCAACATCATACTGAATGGGCAAAAGCTGGAAACATTCACCTTAAAAACCAGCACAGGACAAGGATGCCCTCTCTCACCACTCTTATCCAAAATATTAGTTGTCTCAGACAGGACAACTGAAAGATTAAAAAAAAAAAAAGGCATCCAAATAGGACAAGAGGACATCAAACTACCCCTGCTTGAAGATGACATGATCCTATATCTAGAAAACCCCATAATCTCAGCCCCAAAGCTTCTTAAGCTGACAAACAACTTCAGCAAAGTCTTTGGATACAAAATCAGTGTGCAAAAAATTACTAGCATTTCTATACGCCAACAAGTTCTCAAGCCGAGAGCCAAATCAAGAATGTAATCACATTCACAGTTACCACAAAAGAATAAAATACCAAGGAATACAGCAAAGTAGGGAGATGAAAGTTTTCTACAAGGAGAACTACAAAACACTGCTCAGAGAAATCAGAGATGACACAAACAAATGGAAAAACATCCCATGCTCATGGATAGAAAAAAATCAATATCATTAAAATGGCCATACTGCCCAAAGCAGTTTATAGATTCAATGCTATTCCTGTTAAAGTACCATTGAGATTCTTCACAGAACTAGAAAAAAATATTTTAAAATTCATGTGGAACCAAAAAAGAGCCCAAATAGCCAAGACAATCCTAAGCAAAAAGAATGAAGCTGGAGGCATCACACTACTTGAGTTTAAACTATACTACAGGGCTACAGTAACCAAAAAAGCATGGTACTGGCACAAAAACAGACACATAGACCAATGGAACAGAAGAGAGAATCCAGAAATAAGGCAACATGCCTATAACTATCTGATCTTCAACAAATCTGACAAAAACAAGCAATAGGGAAAGGATTCCCTATTCAATAAATGGTGCTGGGATAACTGGCTAGCAATAGGCAGAAGATTAAAAGTGGACCCCTTCCTTACACCATATATAAACATTAACTCAAGATGGATAGAAGACTTACATGTAAAACCCAAAACTATAAAATTCTGCAAGACAACCTAGGGAATACCATTCAGAACATAGGCATGGGCAAAGATTTTATGATGAAGAAGTCAAAAGCAATTGCAGCAAAAACCAAAATTGACAAATGGAATCTAATTAACTGAAAGAGCTTCTCCACAGCAAAAGAAACTATCAACAAAGAAAACAACATACAGAATGGAAAAAAAAATTTTGCAAACTATGCATCTGACAAAGGTCTAATATACAGCATCTAAAAGGAATTTAAACAAATTTACAAGAAGAAAACAAACAACCCTATTAAAATGTGGGCCAGGGACATAAACAGACACTTTTCAAAAGAAGACATGCATACATGCAGCAAGCAAACATATTTTAGAAAGCTCAACATCACTAATCATTAGAGAAATGCAAATCAAAGACCCAATGAGATACCATCTCACACCAGTCAAAATGGCTATTATTAAAAAGTCAAAAAATAACAGGTGCTGGAAAGGTTGTGGAGAAAAAGGAGCACTTATTTTCTAATTTTAAAAATTAGAAATTTAAAAAAAAAACTCTCTTGTATGGAATTCTAGGTTGGTGAGTTTTGTTCTTTTCCCAACATTTTACATATTTCACTCCATTCTCTTCTAGCTTGTATAACTTATCCTCTGTTGGTAAATTTCCAAATCGCAGCTCTGCTTTTTTCAAGATTTTCTGTCTTTAGTTTTTTTTGGTTCGAATATAATGTACCTAGTAGGCATAGTTTGTGGTATTTATCTTGGCATTCTCTGAACTTCTGGGATCTGTGGTTTTGTATTTGTCATTACTTTTGGAAAATTTTCAGCCACTATTATTTCAAATATTTTTCTACTCTGTTATCTCTTTCTTTTAGTGTTGCAATTGTGTATATTTTATACTTTTGAAATTGTCCCATATTTCTCAGATATTTTTTCGGTATTTAAAAAATTCTTCTCTCTTTGCATTTCAGTTTAGAAAGCTGATATTGACATATCCTCAAGCTCACTGATTCTTTCCTCAGCCACATTCAGTCTACTCATGGAACCATTAAAGATATTCTCCATGCTTGTTACTGTGTTTTGGTTTCTAACATTTTATTTTGATTCTTAGGGTTTTTATCTCTTTGCTTATTTTATTAATCATTCTTGCAGCTCATCATTTTTTTTATTTGAGCCCCTCCCCCATTTATTTTAAATTCCCAGTCTCATAATTCCAAAATATGTGTCTTGTAAGAATCTGGTCCTGATGCTTGCCTTCTGTCTTTGCTCTGTGTTACTTTTTTGCCTTGTAATTTTTTTAATGAAAGCTGGGCATTATGTATTGGTTGTATGAACTGAGGTAAAAGCACTTTAATGTGAGGTTTTATGTTAATCTGGCCAGGTGCTGGGCTGTTTAACGTTTCCTGTAGATGTACGTGACAGAAGCTTCAAATTCTTCTAGTGTCCCTGTTTTTGTCTTCCCTATTGTCTTTGGGATTCCCTAGGAACTCCTTCTTAAATAGGGTCTGCACATTGCTCCTCTTACAACTCTAATATACAGTTTTTATACTGGGGCCCTGTTGATATGGTAGTAAGGTGTAGGATAGTGAAAGCACTCTAAAATCTTATGATTAAATATTTCAGTGGAACTGTGCTCCTGGGTTGTGACTTTCACAAATGTTTCCTAGCATTCCTTCTTTCTGCTTACGTGAGACGGGAAGGATAGAGAGGACCAGAGGTGGGTAAGTGACCTTCTCCTTGGCTCTCATAGGCCCTGGAAAAGTCATGCCCCTTAGAGAGTAGTCCTTTGTTGTAGAGAATACTCTGGGCATTTCCAAAAGATTTCTTTTTTCCTCCCCCTGCTATTATATGTATGTATATATACATATAAAACCAGGAGATCTTTCCTTGTTCTTCACTGCAAGAACCTGGTGGGGTTCCTGGAAGTAAAACCCATGAGTGTGCAGCCCTAGGAGATATTCACTTTCATGTGAATATCTTTAGTGATAAAGATTTAAGTTTAAGGCTTTAGTGACTGTTGCTCTAGGTAGAAATATCTTGGCTGTGACTCTGAATTTGCTAGTCTCTCCAGATTTTATAAGGTGGTTTGCCCTGGGACTTCAATTCTCAATATGGTCCAAGAAAAGTTATTGATTATTAATGTGTTCAGCTTTTTTCTTGTTGTGAGGACAAGAGTGATGACTTCTGAGCTCTTCAGATGCTGGAAGTAAAACTGGAAGCTCAGGTCATTTATTTTAAACCTATATTTCATACAAAAAAATCCATCAAGTTTGAGAGCAAAATAAAGGCATTTTTAGATGTGAATGGACTTAAAAGTGTCCAATAACTGAGAAGTTGTTTAATGAAATGATAAGGAAAATGCAGAAACATTCAAAATATTGGAAGCCATTGGATTCAGGAAATAGTAGGTTCACCCTAGCAAGAGAAAAGAGATCTCAGGATGGTGGTTGAAAAGTCACTGGTTCATAGTGGGGTAGAATGTTCAAGGTCTCCAAGAAATGAAGTCTCAAAAGAAGACATACACACAGCCAAAAAGCATATAAGAAAATGCTCAACACCACTAATAATTAGAGAAATGCAAATCAAAACCACAAGGAGATACCATCTCACACCAGTCGGAATGGCTACTATTAAAAAGTCAAAAAATAAGAAATTACAGAGAAAAGAGAATGCTTATACACTGCTAGTGGGAATGTAAATTAGTTCAGCCCCCGTGGAAAGCAGTTTGGAGATTTCACAAATAAGTTAAAACGGAATTACCTTTCAGCCCAGCAATCTCCTTACTGGGTGTATACCCAAAGGAATATAAATTGTTCTATCATAAAGTCACATGCATGCATATGTTCATTGCAGTCCTATTGACAATAGCAAAGACATGGAATCAACCACAGTGCCCGTCTATGGTGGATTGGATAAAGAAAATGTGGTATACACATATACACCATGGGATACCACACAGCCATAAAAAATATTGAAATCATGTCTTTTGCGGCAAAATGGATGCAACTGGAGGCCATTATTTTAACCGATTAGCACAGGAACAGAAAACCAAATATGGCATGTTCTCACAAGGGGGAGCTAGACATTGACTACACATAGATACAAAGAAGGGAACAAGGAGCCTACTTAAGGGTGTAAAGGTGTATGGTGGGAGAATGGTAAGAACGGAAAAACTACCTGTTAGGTACTGTGCTTATTACCTGGATGATGTTAAAGCAAACTAAATATGACCTGAGAAGGACTCTGTACTTCTATATTTGAGTCCTTGTGGATGGATGAACTGTAACCTACCTTAATAGTCAGACAACATTGAAAACCTAACTTAGGAGTATGTGCCTGTAACAGTAACTGAGCCTTGGCCTGGTCCCAAAGGCCATATTTCAATCACTCATAGACTGCTAAGTGTTCAAACTGTGTTCAAATAAGGCAAACGCCAACCTGTAACCAATCCAGCTGTTTCTGTACCTCACTGCCGATTTCTGTACGTCATTTCCCTTTTTTGGTCTATAAATCTTCCACCACGTGGCTGCGCTGGAGTCTCTGTGAATCTGCTGTGATTCTGGGGGCTCCCCGATTTGTGAATCATTCATTGTTCAATTAAACTCCATTAAATTTAATTCAGCTAAAGTTTTTCTTTTATCGATGACAAAATAATCTGTACAACAAACCCATATGACATGTAATTTACCCACGTAATAAACCTGCACATGTATCCCCTGAACCTAAAATAAAAGTTGAGACAAAAAAAAAAAGGTCTCCAAGAAATGGGTGTGAAGGCAGTAGATTCCTTATAGATATGAAAGATAAGCTAGATAATTGGAGTGTATGGTAAAAGACGCACCATGCTCTTATCAACAGGAGAAAAGAAAGCAATTAGAAATGCTGTGCAGGGCTGGGAAACGTATAAGAAAACCATGGTTGACTTCCAGGTCCAGCAATAATCTGAATAACCCACCAGGAATGAAATATCTAAAAATGATCATTTTACATGTGTGACTGAGCTGGCGAGAAAATGAGGAAAATCCTTAGAGGCCAATTACAGAGCCAATTCATGAATCCAGCAAAGTGAGCTCTGAAGCTGCTGATTACCCTAAGGGCATCTGTATTACTCTGTTACCCAAATCTTCACTTTTAGCAACTGTCCAGAGAAAGAAGTCTAAGTCTAGGAACATGACACCTTCCCAACAAAACTTCCTTTATATACCTGATGAAGTGAAGAGTTGGATACAAAACTTCCTGTGGATCTGGAAAACGCTCTGCAAAATAGAGTATCGGAAGACAAATACGGAAATCTACATTATGAAGAAAGACAGCAAAGACGGTTTCCTACTACTACCTTGTCTTTGGGTAAAGAGAAAAAGTCTCCCTTCATAATTTGCAACTGTGGGCTGGCTTTTACTTGGTTTGGAAATCTAAAAACATATTCTAAAAACAAGCAAAGTAACTAATAAATCGAGATGTTAGTCTAAAGTAATTCCAGGAATTCACAGTGCCTCCAGGCAGGATCAAACATAATCTTTTTCAGGGAATTTGTTCCCACTGCAGACCTCAAAGAATTCCTACTGTAGTACTGAGAAATTTCCAGTGAATACAAGGTCAAAATGAAAACTAAACTAGAAAACAACGACAAAGCATACAACAAAAAAGACACCATGAGTGAGAATAAGCCGATATAATAAAGAACAGTAGAACAGAAAAGACTTCAGAGGTTGTTTTTATCAGACACAAAACATAAGTAAGAATGTTTAAAATTATTTTGGAATAAGTCAGAATAAGAGAGTATGAGTAAGGAAAAAAAGACTGGTTATAATAGGCAGAAAAGATGATAAAAAGAATCAACTAGAACTTACAGAAGTGGGAAAAAAATGCCCTGATTTGTTACCTGACTGTAAACTGAGACAGTTAGCCCACTAAAAGCCTATGAACTTTGTGCTCGGGGCTTTTTGTCGTGAGACATATTAAATCAAGTTTAACAAGAGGGTGTGGTGGTGGCAGTGGAAACAGTGGATGAGATACTCTAGCCAGCACATTTGGAGAGGTAGGGCTTGCCGCAAGCCAAGCCTCTATGATACTTCTAGGGCCATCAGCCTGGCTTTCAGTAATTATAGGGCTTCTTTGGCTGCAGCAAAGGGGCAAATCCCTGACTCCAGCTCCAACATTCCGCTGATTGATGGCACCATCAATTTCTCAACCCCGTCAGTTTCACCATCACCCAGGTTGCTCTCCAGACCCACGTTGCTGACTCAATTACCACACAGACCCTCAAGTTTAATTATACTCACAGATCTTATCTCCTAGTCATGTTTCAAGCCTCAATGACATCAGCTCCTCCAGTGACTCAAGCCAGAAAGTTGCTGGTCTTCCCTGTTTGCTCCCTTTCCACCTTGCATAACCCCTACGAAAAGTCAATTACCGAAATCCTATCAATTATATTCCTCCTTAAAGGAGACATGTAAAAATCAAATATGTATTTCTTCTTCATTCCTAGTAACATGCCTTAGCCCATGGCCCCACTGAGATTACTGTGTTCAAGCAACATCTCCTTGGTCCATTTTCTCTTTGGCTCCTGAGCAGCAGAAGTGCTCTAAAGCCACTAAGACTTGAGTTTCCTGGTCCCTTGCTTGCACTAGCCCCTTCTGAGACTTGCAGAGTCTTCTTAGTATGTTTCTATGGCCACGTGTTTTTTCAAATGTGCCAAGGTAAGATACCTTGATATGCCAAATCAAAGTCTTATGATTCATAATATGTAAAATACTCCTTTAGTGGTTTTCTCAAATTTGGCAGACAAACTGGAAAATCTGTATAACACAACCAAAAAATTGTGAAGGTGAAAAAATTATTCTAAACTATTAACAATTGGCATCCTGGCACACAACTCTAATCCCAGCACTTTGGGAGGCCAAGGCAGGAGGATGGCTTAAGGCCAGAGCTCAAGGCTAGCCTGGGCAACATAGCAAGATATCGTCTCTACAAATAATAAGAAAAATTAGCCAGGCATGGTGACATGTGTCTATAGTCTCAGGTATTTTGGAAGCTGAAGCATGCAGATTGCTTGAGCCCAGGAATTTGAGGCTGCAGTGAGCTATGATTATACCACTGCACTCCAGCCTGGGTGACAGAGCAAGACTCTGTCTCTAAAAAACATAGATAAATAATAAACTGTTAATAATAATCAAATTGCTATTAATCATGATGGAGGAAAAACTACATTATCTTTCTATTCTGTCAATGGGAAGTGATAGAACAAAATCACTGCCCTATGAAGAAGTGAATAAGAGGGTCTGGTATCTACATACATAGGGGAAAAATCTTTTCTTTCGACACGGAGTTTCACTCTTGTTGCCCAGGCTGGAGTGCAGTGGCGTTATTTTGGCCCACTGCAACTTCCATCTTCCGGTTGCAAGCGATTCTCCTGCCTCAGCTTCCCTAGTAGCTGGGATTACAGGCACCCGCCACCACGCCCAGCTAATTTTTGTATTTGTAGTAGAGACAGGGTTTCGCCATGTTGGCCAGGCTGGTCTTGAACTCCTGAACTTGTCATCTGCCTGCCTCGACCTACCAAAGTGCTGGGATTACAGGCGTGAGCCACCGCACACGGCAGGGGAAAATCTTTTATAGACAACAGACGTGTGCTGGCAATAAAGTCATAAAACATATTTATTTTCTGGATTTTCTGATTTGTCTCAGCAGTTTAAAATTTGTAATTTGTTATGTTTTCTTATTCTAAACAAATATTCACTGCGAACTTAATTTGTATTTTTAAATTCATTCTATTTTTTTTCTTAAAGAGAGCTCCCAAATTACACATTATCAGGCCCCACAAAACCTGGGTCTAGCACTGCTGTTATCAGAATGATTATTTCCAAATATATGTTTGGTTAAGTCACCTCATCTTACCTTCACATAAAATCCAAATTCCTTCACATAGTGTATAATGACTGCATGATCGTACTCTGTCAATCATTTCTAGTGTGAACTCTCGCCACTCCCCAAGTTAGACTCAATATTCCAGACACAATAAATTGCTTGGAGTTAGCAAAGTGCAACAAGCCTTCTCAACCCTGTATCTGTTTGCACTCCAGCCACACAGTTGGCTCAGCATTTCTTTGCCTCATCTTTTTCTCCTCATTGAAAATTTTCCTGATTAACTAACCTGTAAGCAGGACATTCCTCATTATTCTTGCCCACCACACATATTCCTTATCTGTCAAAATATTTATCACATTATACTTATTTTCATCCTATACTTATTTTCATTTTTACATTTTCACTATATGCTAAACTCTCTAAGAGCAGAGATCATAACTCTCTTGGTTAGTGTTTATACCTAGCACATAGTATGTGTTCAATAAATATTTATTGAAAGAAAAAAGGTTGCAATTGTGGCTGGGAGGAAGATATTGTACAATGAGCTCAAACCAAATGAGGTTTATTTCAGGAGAAGATTCTGAGCAGTACCAACAAACCAGTTGAAGATAAATTGCCTGAATTACTGGGCAAATAGTTGTGATTTTTGCTACACCCCCCAGTAGCACTGCATTCTTAAAAGAAATGCCTAGAAAACCAACATTTACATTATTGGATAGAAATAGTGATGTATACATTGGTATATATTGAAGCAGGAAGAGCTTAGGCATAAATTTTTTTTGAAGGAACGTTAGGAAGGCTACTATTGACAAGATGAAAGCCTAGGTAACTTCTCAAGCAAAATTATTTATTTCTGAACTATTAATAATGTGAATTTCTGACCACCAGAGCCACCCTTAACACATATACAGAGATACATGTACACGAATATGTGTGACGTATGTAAAACCAAAAAAAGGAGAAAACATAAGACAAATGGGTAAATGTAAGAAGCATACCATTGTCTGTCAAATATAGAAAAGTTCCTGGTTTTATTCTATCCTTTATTCTGGAGCCTTGGGAAAGTCCTAAGGTGGTTATGCCACCCTCAGTCTAAATGTCTGACATGGCCAAAACCTTAAATAGACATGGTCTACATTAATCACTACCCACAGTCAAAGCATTCTCAGAAAAACCTGCCAAATCTCAAAATCTAAAAAGAACAATGAGCTGCTATTCCAGAATCCTTGAGTCTGTCTGCATAAGGAAACATAAGAGGCTAGCAAGTTTATTTCCCTTCCCTCAGAAAGTACAAGATTAAACATTCCTAGATACTTGGAAATTTTATCTTAGCCCTATTGGCTTCCAGAAAAGTTATAGAGTCTTGCTGAGCACTTTAATCAAGGAGAGCCACAGCAATATTTCTCTTTAGGTCCATTCAATCCTTAATATTGCAATTGTTCTTCTGCTTAAAAAAACCAAAAACTCTAAAATGTAGGAATGGCTTTGGAAGCAGGCAGTGGACTTTATGGAGAGTGTTAATGAAAGTACTTGGAAGAAACTATTAATCTTTGGAGATACTACAGTTGAAGGCTTAAAGAAAAATGAAGCAGCCTGACCAAAATGGTGAAACCCCGTCTCTAGTGAAAATACCAAAATTAGCCAGGTGCGGTGGCAGGTACCTGTAATCCCAGCTACTTGGGAAGCTGAGGCAGGAGAATCGCTTGAATCTGGGAGGCAGAGGTTACAGTGAGCCAAGATCGCTCCATTGAACTGTAGTCAGGGTGACAGAGCAAGACTCCATCTCAAAAAAAGAAAAGAAAAGAAAAGAAAGAAAAGAAAAATGAAGAAAATCTCACTGGAAACTGGAGTAAGAAAAATGTTTGCTATGAAGGGGCAGAGAGTATAGCAACACTGTTGTCTGTGGTTATGTAGAGAGAGGACAACATGGTTAATCAACTGGTAATATAGCAAATATGTCTAAGCAAATCGTTGAGGTTGCCGTTTGTTTCACCTTGATGATTATGGTAAAATGTGAGAGAGATAAATTGAGAAGAGGACTCTTAAATAACAAGGAACTAAGGCTTGATGATTTTGAAAAGTCTCACCCCTTCCCAATGGCAAGTGATGGCTTTAAAATTAAGAAATGGCTTCTTCTGGGAAAAGACCAAATCTTTAGGTTCCTAGAATTCTCCTGGCAGGAAGCAGATTGAAAGAGTCTCTCAGCTATAAACATATGCTATCTTTCATGGAAAAGAAATGACTCAGAACAAACACTCCAGAAGGCAGAGCCAAGAGCCACAGAAAATCTCCCACTCCATGAAATTGAATTAAAGTACTTCCAACATTTGCCTGGCTGAGTTTCAGAATTGCTATGGACAAGTAATTGCTATGGACCAGAATTGCTATGGACCAGTAATTCCTTTGTGCCTCCCATTTTCTCCCCTTTTGAATGGGAATGCCTATTGCAATGATTCTATACGTGTACTACCATTGTTTGTTGGGCACAGGGAAGTGAGATAACTTGTCTCTTTAGTTTCTCAGGTCGACTGACCAAGAGTAACTATATTCAAAGAGCAGTACTTAAGATACTACACCCCAGGAGCCTCCTCTTCACCAGAACCTGGTTTAGATGATGATATATTAGACTCTGAGTTCACACTTTTCAAGACGTTGGGAGGAGGTGAATGTATTTTGCATGTGGGAGGAACATAAATTGTTAGATACTAGAGACCTGAGATACGTAGCCTCTAAAATGACTCCCAGTGATCCTTACTTCTTGGTATTCATAGCTTTGTGTAATGCCTTCCCCTTGAGTATGGACTGGATTTATTGATTCACCTCTTTAAGCCAATACATTTTGGGGTAATTTGTAACAGAGCAATAGATAACTAATACAGATATCTAGAACAAAGTGATGACTATCTTTTTGCACACCCAACATTAAACTGTATAGCAGAAAATTGGGATGAGGTGAAGGAGTAAAAGCCTGCTGCATTCTTTCCTCACATGCACATGTGCATACACACACACACACACACACACACACACACCTAGGCACTATATCTATATAAATATAGAGGTAGCAATTGTTCTCCTATATGTATAATCCAAGGGTATGTAGGTTTATTGGAGAGTATGGCTGCGTATATCAGCATAAGCAGGGGACAGTGAGTCAAGGAGCATTTTTCTATGAAGCAAGTGAAGAGGGAATAGCTTGTTTTGTCACTAGTGGAAAGGAGGGCGGAAGGGAGGGAGAAATAAAACAAAAGAAAAGAGAAAGAAAGGAAGAAAGAAAGAAAAGAAAGAGAGAGAGAGAAAAAGAAAGAAAGAGAGAGGGAGGGAGGGAGGGAGAGAGAGAGAGAAAGAAAGAAAGAAAAAAGAAAAGAAAGAGAGAAGAAAGGAAAGAGAGAGAAGGCAGGAAGGCAGGAAGGAAGGGAGGGAGGGAAGGAAGGCAGGAAGGAAAGAGAGAGAGAGGAAGAAAGAAAGAGAGAGGAAAGAAAGAAAAAGAGAGAGAGAGAAAGAAAGGAAGAAAGGGAAGGGGAAGGAGGAGAAAGGGAGGGAGGAGAAAGAAAGAAGGAAAGGAAAAGAGAAAGGAAGGAAGGAAAAAGAAAGAAGAGTGGGAGGGAAGGAAGGGAACAAGGAGGGAAGGAGGAAAGATGGAAAGAGAGAGAGAAAAAAAGAGAGGAAAAAGGAAGAAAACAAGAAAAGTGTGCACTGTTTGACTAGGAAGGCCAAAAAATCCAAGAGCTAAAGTGAAATACATAGATGGAATCTTAAAAAAATTTCCAAAATATTTCATACATCAAATGTATTAAATTGGCTACAAGAATCTTCTAGGGCACTGTTGTATTATGAGATATGCATAGGGTTTCATTCAGGGTCTTGGCTCATAACTCCTATAGCTGTTGTTACGGTCTTTTGTTATAATTCTGGGTGTGTTAGGTCTCAGAAGATAATTTCTCTATCCTTCTCCTGCTTTTCCTTTTCCTGACCCAAGGCAGGACTCCGATCTTTCCCTGCCTTTGTGATTGTGTGTCATATGACCGTCATTCCAGGGTACCGCTCTATATCGTATGGGAAGGAATGCTGACATCATAAAGCCCATAATAACCCAAGAAGACAGAGTTGAGAGAGCTTCCAGATGTCTGAACATGTGAAAGTGGACAGGCAGCTAACAAGACCTCATCCACATGCCAGAATGGTGGCACTCCCCAGCTGTACTGGGACACAAGTTCCTGCACTCAGGACCCTTCCAGATCTCGCCCTATGCATTTCTTCATCTGGCTGTTTATTTGTATCCTTTAAAATATCCTTTGTAATAAACTGGTAAACATAAGTAAGTGTTTCCCCGAGTTCTGTGAGCTGCTCCAGTAAATTAACTGAACCCACAGAGGGGATCATGGGAACCCCAATGTAAAGCCAAATGAAGACATCAAAAGTTTTAGAGACCCAGACTGATGACTGGTGGGAGGGAGGGGTTGGTCTTGGGTATGGAGCCCTCAACCTGTGGGATCCAGGTAGATAACGTCGGGATTGACTTGGAAGACACTCAGCTGGTGTCTGCTGCACAATTGACTGCATGTTTTTTGGTGGGGAGGAAATCTCCACGTTTGGACACAGAAGTCTTCTGTGTTGATCGTTGTTGTGGTGAGAACAGAGGACAACACAGTTTCAGAGTTTTTTTCTGAAACACACCCTATAGCAAAATGGTGGAAAGTGAAGTTCTGAAACCAGTCTAGATGTACTGTTCCTTGAGGCCTATTTCTGCACCAAGAATTCTAATGTATGCAGCTGCCTTTGGGGGATAGCAAAATTTAACAGTTGGGAAGTACCGTAGGAAACATTTGGTCTAATTCCTTTCTCTAGGTGAGTAAAGAACTTGAGGCCCAGAGGAACTGATCTGCCTAAGTCATCACAGCTAATAGGGGCCAGAGCTAACCAGAGACTCCCTAGCTCCTGGGTTGACTTCCTTTCTACAGGATGAAGATCACCCTTGTGTGAGAGAAGGAACTTGTAGCAGAAAAGGAAACACCAGGAGATAAGTTGCTAAAAATAGAGCAAGCAGAGTGATTGCATAGACCAGGAAGAAAAAAAATGTAATTGCCAGAATCGTAAGGGTAGAAATGGAAGATATTAAAATTCAATTTTACTATCTTATTGATTTCAAGAAGAGCAGAGTGGGTTCCCCCAAAGATGCTGGAGTTCAGGCTCTGTGATTATCAATATAAAGTAGCCCGTGAAGAAAATATGTATTTCACACAGATTAGAAGAGATCTAACTTTCACCATAATCTGTTAAAAAAGCAAACAGACTAACCCTCAGCATTAGTTGTCTTAGTTGCAAATATTGGCATTCTAAAAGCTTTGTGCAAATAATTGATACAGCCAAGCTCTAAATCAGAATGTGTTCAGTGTGCTTACTGCATCCTGTGACTTTTCCCATTACTTCAACACAGTGGTCAGCACATTCTAAGCAAATGGCTCATAGAGCAATACATTCAGAATTAGTTTGGGTTTTCTTGCTACTTGTAAATTGCCTAGATGTTGCGAATGCTTGTGTGTTAGCGTGTGTATATGTAGGTGTGTTCACGGAAGATAAGATGGAAATAAAAAGCATGAGAAGATAGTTAAAAACTTTTGATTGTTGTGAGTTGATTTTGTATCCTGAAACTTCACTGAAGTCATTTGGTCTACGAGTACTGGTGGAATATTTAGGGTTTTCTAGGTATAGAATCATATCATCAGTGAAGAGAGATAATTTAACTTCCTATTTTCTTATTTGGATGCCTTTTATTTCTTTCTCTTTCCTGGTTACTCGGGCTAGGACTTCCAGTACTATGTTGAATAATGAGAGTGGTAGACATCCTTGTCTTGTTCTAAATTCTTAGGGGGTATGCCTTCAGATTTTGCCCATTCAATGTGATGTCAGCTGTGGGTTTTTCATAATATGGCTATTATTATTTTGAGGTATGTTCCTTTGATATCTAGTTTGCATTTATTGAATAGAGTGTCCTTTCTCCATTGTTGACTTTGTTGAAGATCAATTGATTGCAGGCATATGGCTTGATTTCTAGGTTTTCTATTCTGTTCCATTGATCTATATGTCTCTTTTTGTATCAATATCATGCTGTTTGGATTGCTATACCATTGTAGTATAGTTTGAAGTCCAATAATGTAATACTTCCAGCTTTGTTCTTTTTGCTTAGGATTATTTTTCCTATTGGGCTCCTTTTTGGTCCCATATGAATTTTAGATACCATTTCACATTAGTCAGAATGGCTACTATTAAAAAGTCTAAAAATAACAAATGTTGATGATGCTATGGAGAAAAAGGAACGCTTACACACTGTTCGTGAGAATGTAAATTAATTCAACCACTGTGGAAAGCAGTCTGAAGATTTCCCAAACAACTCAAAGCTACCATTCGACTCAGCAATCCCATTACTGGGTATATACCCAAAAGAAAGTAAATCACTCTACAAAAAGACACTGGCACTCTTGAGTCTATTGTAGCACTATTCACAGTAGCAAAGATATGGGATCAACTTAGGTACCTATCCTTGGTGAATTAGATAAAGAAAATATGGTACATATAAACCATGGAATACTACGTAGCTATAAAAAGGAACAAAAACATGTTCTTTGCAGCAACATGGATGCAGCTAGAGGCCATTATTCTAAGTGGATTATCACAGAAATGGAAACCCAAATACTGCATGTTCTCACTTATAAGTGGGAGCTAAACATTGAGTACACATGAACATAAAGATGAAAGCAATAGACATTGAGAGCTTCAAATGTCGGGAGGCGGAAAGGAGGGCAAGGGTTGAAAAACTACCTATTGGGTACTATGTTCACTATTTGTGTGATTAAATCATACTCCAAATCTCAGCATCATGCAATATAGCCATGTAATAAATCTACACATGTACCTCCTAAATCTAAAATAAAAAAAAAATAATAAAATTATTGCCAGGTACTCAGATGCATGCATATCTTAATCTTGAGATAATATGGCAGGTCTCTATTTTACAATCTCAAACATAGTAAAATTTGGCAGAAGTTTACCAGTGGCATTGCTAAAACACCAGATTTTGAGCAATGGATAAAAACCCATGTTTTGGGCAGAGTGGGGGTTGTTAATTTTTGTTCATTTTTCAGTCTTCTCAAGATAGTTACAAAATAAACAAAAAAATGGGCAACTCAGAAAAATTTCCTAAGAAGCATCTTTATATCAAAAACCTACCAGTTTCTTAAGTAACTAGGTCTCAACTGGTCCTAGTGTCTTTATTATTAACTCAATGCCACCAGTCAAGACTCTAAGATTATGCTTTTTCATATGCCCGACAGAAGCCCATTTAGTCTGCATATCTGACAGCAAATTTCTGCAAGGATGGGGCAAGAAACCCAAGCCAGCCAACTGGCATATTCTGGAGGCATGTGCTTCCCCCAAAGGGTAGAAAGACACACAAATACTACCAAATTATCTCAACCAGGCTACCACTTTGAACCCCAAAATGTTCACTTACTGTTTGGTGTCTCATTGTTTTCACAATCAAAGCCCTAATACCATGTTGAAAAAGGAAAAACGTTGTACTGGGTAGGATTATAACAATAAAGAAAAATGTAACAGATACATGAAACCTTAAAAGTTCTCTAAACATGCTGGATAGTGAGGTCAGACAAGAATGAGGGAATGAGGGGAATGCAGAAAGCTATCTCAGATGGGAAAAGTCTAGAATATATTTCATTCTCTTGTGACAAATATCAAATGCAGGTTCAAATAAGATTCTAAAGAGGATTCATTTGACAGTTTCTGCAGTAGGCAAAATACCCTCAATTAGTTAGAAAGGAGAAACAGTGTGTGTATGTATACAAAATGCAGATGTGCAGAAATAAATACCATCCTAGGCTGGCTGAGAGCCAGGTAAGCATTTGACCTAAAAACCTTCCTAATTTCAGTGGGCTGAAGTCTGGAAAAGTGATTAACTATCTAAATGCAAGTGTTACTGCTCTGTGCCCCCGGGGAATGTTGGGAGAGAAAGGAAGGCTCTCATATCCTAATTAAAAGTCCAAGTTTTTGCCCCATGGAATGCAAAACGCTTTTGGATACAGGAAACTGTTCTTTATCCAGCTACACTCATAAAGCTGTCAATAAGTTGAGAAAGTGGCCTTGATGGTGTGAAAAAAACCACTTCTTTGAAAGCACTGGCTGCTAATAAAAATCTTTTTTTGTTCAATGAAGTCCAACAAATCATCTAGGATCATATAAATAGCAAATTTAACAGCAAATTAGCAAGGCTTATAAAATATATGACCACTTAGGCAGCAAGGAAAGCCAAAAATCAAGGCTGGAGAATTACTAAATTATGGTTAAAAGATTTTTTTTCTTTTTATGCTTTACATTGGAAGCCTTTAAAAATGTATTTTGAATGACTAAACTGGCTTTAAAACAGGATATAATTAAACTCGCTGCACTTGTGAGGGTCAGGACCACTCACAGTTGATAACCACCAGAAAATGACCAACCATTTGCACACCACAAGGGGTGTGTGCAGAATGTTCACATCTGGCCATGGCTAGCATATCATCTTCTGGTTATTTACTAGTAATTGTTAAACTTGTCCAGAGACAGCCTCTGCAGTTATATATTTTAAAAATCTCCTTATCTCTATATACTTAGAGAAATAAAATAGATATTTCCTTTTATAAAATTGGCAAGCATTTAATGAGTTTTTGATAAAGTCAGGAGCCAGCTTCTTCTTTGAAGAAATCATTAATATCATGACTAGATGATTTCACCTGCCAATTCTCAATTATTTTTTTCTCTGTTATGGAGATTCTCATTCATTGTGCCCTAGGACACAGGTAAGGTTATTACTAAAATAGCACATTCCTGACATTTCATGGAAGGTTATGTGGATTCTTTATTAAAGCCAAATTCTCAGAGCTAGTAACTTTGCAATAAAAGTCCTTTTCACAAAGTCTTGGCATATGCAATCTCGGCTCTGGAACATTTTTCGGAAAACTTAAAAGGGGGAAAATAAGTAACATTTTTGAAGCTTCTATTTTAGATAAGTCTTAGAAGAGTTGACATGTTTAAGATGATTTCTAGACTTTTTTTTTAAGTTCTCGCTATGCGTCTCAAACTTTTGTTTCTAGAGATGGTTTTTCAAGAAAATCTGGAAGGATGACAACTGAAAACAAAGATCTCACTCTTTTCCTTCATCTTCCCTATCTCTTAAAAATTCCATAAAGAAAATAACTATTAGAAACAAAAAAGCAGGCAGGGAAACTGTGCATTCTTTCCTAGCACCCAAACAAGGGGAGAGAACTTTTTGCGTCCTGCAGGCTTTGAGTTATTGCCACCTGGAAATAAAGATAAATGCCCCAGTCGCATGACTGGATAGGAAGCAACTGTTTCAGAGTTTAGATCAGCACTGTCCAGCAGAAATATGATGCACTACAAATATGTAAGCCACATAAGTAATTTTAAATTTTCTAGCAGCCGCATTTTAAAAAAAAAAAAAAGGTAAAAAGAAGCTGGTGAAGTTAATTTTAATAATTGTTTCATTTAACCCAATAGTTCCAAAGTATTATCATCTCAACATGAGAACAGTTCATACAAATCATTAATGAAACATTTTACTTTCTTTTTGTTACTAAATCTTCAACATCCAATGTGCATTTTATACTTACAGTACATCTCAAGTCGGACTAGCCATATTTCAAGCATCCAGTAGCCACACGTGGGTAGTGGCCACCATATTGGAGAGAACAGGTTTACAGGACAAGTACAACTACACCAAACAGAGAACTGTTTGGTTTCAGGGCTCAAGGGTTCTCCCTGAAGGATCTTCTCTTCCAAACACAGCAGTACCTGTTTCTGAACTTCTGGGGCTCTTCATAGTGTTGCAGGAGGCCCCCAAATCTATAGCCTATGCATCAGGACATTGCAGTACATTATTTACTCAGTGGAGGTCAAACAGAATAGAAAATCACATTCTGAAAAATTGTTCCCTCCTATATCTTCCTTTTGGTCAAACACACATAGAAAATGCCCTCATTTTAGTAAACACAAAAAGGAAATTAAATAAAGATTAAATTTTCCCAAGTATTTCTTGAGCAATACACAATTATTTTTGTAAAAGAAAAAGCAAGATAATGACTCAACACAACAATTAAATTCAATACGAGTATGAATGTAAATACTAGGAGTCCCCAGATTGTGCTAGGTGTTAAGGAGAATATGAAAGAAATAAGTGCCCTATAGGAGATCAGCTCCCACGGAGAAGGACACAAAGCACATAAAATAGCTAAATAACAAAGAAAATAGAAACCTAATTAACTACCAAAATAAGGTGCAAAGAGTTATGCCAACTACCAAGTTAGAGAGAAAAGTCCCCACACAGGACTGTCCTCACTTCTAACACCAAATACAGATTTGGAGGCGTATTAGTCAGTTTTCATGCTGCTGATAAAAACATACCCAAGACTGGGAAGAAAAAAAAAGGTTTAATGGACTTACAGTTCCACATGGCTGGGGACACTTCACAATCATGGCAGCAGGTGAAAGGCATGTCTTGCATGGCAGCAGACAAGAGGAGAGAGCTTGTGCAGGGAAACTCCCTCTAATACAATCATCAGATCTCATGAGACTTATTCACTATTATGAAAACAGCACAGGAAAACCCTGCCCCCATAATTCAATCACCTCCCACCAGGTTCCTTCCACAACATGTGAGAATTGTGGGAGTTATAACTGAAGATGAGATTTGGATAGGGACACAGCTAAACCATATAAGGAGGGTTCCCAAAACTTCCCTCTGGCTTGATAATTTACTAAAAGACTGACAGAGCTCATGGAAAGCTGTTTATACTCATGGTTATGATTTATTACATGGAAAGAACACAGATGAAAATCAGCCAAGAGAAGAGACACATTGGGCAGTGCCCAGGAAATATTAATACACAGAGTTCTAGTCCTCCTTTCCCCATGGAGTCATAGACAACATTAACTCCTCCTACTACGTTTGGCCACATGCAGGGAGTATTGTCAGCCAGGGAAGTCCAGGCAGGTCCTTGGTGTCCACAGTTTGTATTGAGGCCCAAGCCCATATTGCCTGCATGGCTGACTGTTATGGTTAATACTGAGTGTCAACTTGATTGGATTAAAGGATGCGAAGTATTGTTCCTGGGCGTGTCTGTGTGGGTGTTGCCAAAGGAGATTACCATTTGAGTCAGTGAACTAGGAAAGGCAGACCTACCTTGTATCTGAATAGGCACAATCTAATCAGCTGCCAGTACGGCCACAATAAAAGCAGGCAGGAAAATGTGGAAAGACTAGACTGGTTTAGTCTTCTGGCTTATATCTTTCTGCCATGTTGGATGCTTGCTGCCCTCGAACATCAGACTCCCAGTTCTTCAGCTTTGGGACTCGGACTGGCTTTGTTGCTCCTCAGCTTTCAGACGGCTTATTGTGGGACCTCACCTTGTGATCATGTGAGTCAATACTTGTTATTAAACTCCCCCTTATATATGCATCTAACCTATTCGTTCTGTCCCTCTAGAGAAACCTGACTAATACACTGAGCTTTGTGTCCAGCCCTCCTGGAAATCAAGTTAATATCTTTAGTCCCTGGTCCTCTAGAAGCCAGAACTGATATCACGTGGCCTAAAGGCTTTAACATTAATCACATTGTTAGATCTGTAGCTAGGCAAACATAAACACTTCTATCTGGCAGGACTTTCTAAGGGCTACAGATCATCTTCAGTAGCAAAGAAGAAAGGCCAGAACTTACTTTAGACAGTGTTGCTTCTTCAGTATACCAAAGGGTATAAAAACTGCCAGAATATGGAAAGGTCAGTGTGGACTAGAAGAATTGGAAAGGACATAGGATTTTCATTCGGCATTTTAAACATTAAAGTAAATAGAATTCTAATGGTAATATAGAAGCTTTGGAGACCTTTGAGCAAGGGAGTAGGAAAACGCCCTAATAAAAGAAAAAAAGATATTTTTGGAAGGTTAATGTGAACCTGAAGCTCTACTTTTCTTCCTTTCTCTTCTCTCTCTGTCTGTCTCTCTACTTCCTCCCTCCACTCTTACTAGGCAATCTTACCCAGTCTAATGTTTTTAATAAGCTGGTAGTGCTCTGATTTATATATTTGGACGTGAATTCTACGTGGAGCTCCAGGCACACATAACCTACAACCTGACATTTCCACTGGAATGTCAAGTGGGCATCTCAACATGTCCAAATAAAACTTTTTATTTTTCCTTACTCCTATCCATCTCTCTCATCTCAGAGAGTGAGTAACCCAGTTGCTCAAAGAAAGACATTAAGCCATCCTTGATCCCTCTTCCTTTCTCAACCAGTATCTAATTTTGCAGGAATAATACCCCAAATCCAAATTATATCTGAAATCCAACCACATTCAGACTCCACTTCCACAATTCTGAGCCAAACCATCACTGTCCCTCCTTTAGATTCCTCTGATAGCCTACTTAGTAGTTGTCATCTTTCCCCCAACAATCCATTCTTCACACAGTAGCCCATGTGCTATGTTCAAAGTCCGTATCATAGCATGTCATGTTACTATCAAGCCCTTCAATGGAGTTCTCGACTCATTTAAAATAATACAACAAATTCATGACCATCTTCGTCAAAACTCTGTATGATCTGATTGCCACTGACTTCATATCACATGCCTCTCTCCCTTTCTCTCCAGCCACACAAGCCTTTCTCCTCCTCCTTGGACCCAACGAGCTCCTTCCCATCTTTGGGCAATGGCAGGCTATTCTCCCTCTTTGTAGTGTTATTATTTCAGATCTTTCCATGACTGGTGTCTTCTTGTCATTTAGGTTTCAGCTAAAAATAAGCTCTGTTGAGAGGCCCTTTCTGACCATCCAGTCCACTTGGTGACCACTTTCTGTGGCTATCATAGCACCTTGTCTTATTTTCTTCATATTAAGTATCATTATCTTCACTTAGTTTGTGTATTTATTTGTTTGTTTACTAATTATGTATTTGTTTATTATCTTTCTTTTACTAGAGTATAAACTTCAAGAAAGTAAAATCTTGTCTGTTTTGCTTACTTCTCTGTTTCCAGTTTCTATAACAGAGCCAGACACATAAGGCACACCTTATCAGATACTTGTTGATTGAATAGAAATAGAATTCAATATTTATTATTAGCATTTAAAGTTGTGTAGAATAAAAAGACTACTCTTCAAGTTTACTCTTTCTTCATCCTCCTTTTTGATAGTGTTCTTTTCTCCAACACTAAATTATAATTACTTTTATCTTCAACCTTATCATAACTAGCTCTTCCAAAAAATCCTAAGAAATCCATTTACTCTAAAATGTAAATGACTGACAAAGTTAATTGTGTTAAGGTTTTTAAAGTTGAAACAAACATCAAGTTGGTGAATTTCCATGGCATTTCCAAACTATGTAAGGTGAAGTTCTGAATTCTTCAATTCACCCTATTTTTATTTTTTTCTTCATGCTAAGCTGTCCAGAGTACATGATCACCTTGTATCGTTTTTAGTTAATGGTGATCACAAGCAACTTCTCAGCTAGATATCAATGGAGTGGGCACTCAGTGATGAATTTCTAGCCAACTGAGCTTGAGAGTTTTGGGTGTAGAAGGCTTCTTCAGTGCCATGAAAATTCCTACCCACTCTACCTAAGTATAGAACCACCCCAGTTAGGGGAATAAGGAGAATGGAAGTACAAAGCATTTAATATTACATGGGGTGGGGGAGTTGTGAGATACGAGACTGAAGTGGAAACAGTGAGAATCAGAGGGAAGAGATTTTTTTTTTTTTTTTTTTTTTTTGAGAAGGAGTTTCACTCTTGTTGCCCAGGCTGGAGTGCAATGGCATGATCTCAGCTCACTGCAACCTCCACCTCCCATGTTCAAGCGATCCTCCTGCCTCAGCCTCCTGAGTAACTGGGATTACAGGCACTCACCACCACGCCTGGCTAATTTTTGTATTTTTAGTAGAGACGGGGTTTCACCATGTTGGCCAAGCTGGCCTCAAACTCCTGACCTCAGGTGATCTGCCTGCCTCTGCCTCCCAAAGTGCTGGGATTCCAGGTGTAAGCCACCACACCCAGCCAAGAAGAGATTTCAAACAAATAAACAGTAGTGGACAGAACTGCTTGGAGATAGGGGACAAGAGAATTTTAAAAAGCAGGTATAATACCAAGATACCAAGTCTTATTACAAAACGAGCAATAGAAATCTTTGATGAAAAGAGAGAAATTAGGATATGTAAGCAATTTTATTGGGGAAGAACATGAAGAACATATTGTATTTGGAGTGATGGTGGGACAGCTATGTATAAATGTTAAATAATCAGTTAGGAATATGAGTATTGAGTTAGATGGTAGGCTGGACTGAAGATCACACATTCGTAGCTCATGGGCACATCTGCACGTGGGAAGCCCCTAAGTAATAAAAATTTCTAGGTCCTGAAACAGGTACACACAAAAGGAAGAACCATAGCTCATGGTACAGGTACAGCAAATGGTAGTTACATAAATACAAACCACCAAGTATTTAACAACTCAGAACTCAGACATTAGTCCTACATGCAATAACTTTTTAAGCAGTAAAATTGCCATGGTAATAAGTTGTTTCTGGGTCCTGGTGTAGCCATTCCAGCAGGGTAAACAATAAAAGTCCTGGAGTCCTCTTGTTCGAGTCTCTACAGATCTGATAACACCAAATAATCACTGACCATCTCCACTACCCTGGCTGTGTTCTAATGAGGCATAGGAGACAACTGAGGACCCTTCCCCACTGAGACATATCCTTTCTCTCTACTGGTTTCATAATATTTTTAACCCTCAGTGAAGTGTATGAGCAAATATGAAAAGTGTCTCTGACTTGCATTTCTAGGCTACTTAATTTTTAAAAATACTTTCTTCCAGTCTTTGCTGTGTACATATACAAATATTTTTATTGCAAAATAAGGATCATACAAGAAAGTTCTTTCATAATCTTTTAGTCTGTGGCTTAGAAATACATTATTTTTGTAATTTATTTTACCCTTATCATAAAATGCTTTTCTACAGTATGCTTTTCATAGCCATGTAGACTTTACCATTTTTGGATCTTACAATGAGGATTTTAATTTTTACATAATCCACCTATCAGTCCTTTTACAACTCAATTTGCCTTTGAAAGTATGCTTAGAAGCTCACTGTGTTTTATTTTAGCATGTTTATAGTGTTCATTAAAGCATAAATCTATCTGGAATTTATTTTAACATATGATTTAACAGTGTGATCTAACCTTGTTTTTTTTTTAATGAGTCACCAGTTGGGAGTCAACAAGGAGTGAGATGACATTAAATGAATAATGTTTTCTCCACTGATTTGACACGTGCTAACTTATTATATGAGACTCACTTCTAGAAATTCTATTTTAGAATTCTATTCTATTCCACTGACCAGTTTGCTTATTCCTTACATTATAAAATAATTGAAACTTTATAAAGTATATTAATATATGTTAGAGCAACACTCTCTTTATGACTTTTTTTTTCCAAATCATCTTACCTATTTTCAGGCATTTAATTTTATCAAATTAAACATTTTAAGTGTTAAAATTTTAATTGAAAACTACTATTTATTTTGCAGAGGTTCATTTGGCAGTAACATGTATCATGGTATCTAAGAACAGGGTTTTCTAGCCATTTATGCAGAAGCCATTCTCTCTCCCATTCTCAAATATTTCCTTTCAGCAATGATCCCCTCTCTACAGCACAATTAATTGACCCCCTCCTGGATTATTTTCATTGGCAAATAGGCATGATCTAGTTTCCATCCTCTTTGGAAAAAAAAAATTTCCAAAACCTCGCATCCTCATAATCTTGCTTTCCCTCCACATCAAAATATCTGGAAGGGCTGTCTGCAATCAATTACCGATCACACATACTCACCTCCCACTCACTATTTAACCTACCTAGATGGGATTCTTCTTGTGGTGTTTCACCACATCACACGATCCTGTGAAGACATCAAATATCTTCCTGCTGAAAAATCCACAACCTTCTCTGGCCTCCACATTTCCAACCTTTCAGCAATAGACTCCCCTCTCTTGAAAACATTTCCTCTCCTGGCCTCTGTGACCGCATGCTGTGGGTTTTCCTTCAACCTCATTGGATCTTCTGTTGGTGATTCTGTCTGCCTCATCCTTGATGTGCTTATTGGCATGAGCCATGAGGTTCTGGGTCCTCTCTCTTCCTTCTCACCCTCTTCATGCTTGTGATGTTTTCCAATCAATTCTCTTCTATGTCACTCAGTTTTCACTCTGTTCAGTATCATCCCATCAGCATACAAACATGCTGTGATTTCTCCCCTCTTGCTTGATGTCCTTCATTCTATAATTCTATTTCTTTACTCCCAGAATCTTCTGAATTTGCTTACTATCTTCAGGTACTTTTCATTTCATTTTGAATTTTTCTGGTATGCTATCCTATTATCAATGGATAAAAACTTCTGTCCTTATTTTCAATAGTTATAACTTCTCCTCATATTGTTTTCTTATTTAATCTAATTGATTAAAAAAACTTTCAGAAAAATATTAAGAAAAATTGCTCCTATCAAAGCATCTTTATCTGGCTTCTGACTTGAAAAGGCATATCACTCTTTCGCCATCATATCATGTATCGCACTTCACCACATACCACACTTCACCATCATATATGACAAAATTTAAGGTAGATGGTTTCTGTGATGTTCGAAAGTTTCTTTAGATTACAAAAAGTTTTATCAGTTGTGGATATTGAATTTTATCTACAATATTTCAATATAATATTGAATTTTATCTATAATATTTTGATATTTATATATAGGATCATAGAATTCTGTGAATTTGCATTGTGAGTAGTTATATTAACAGCTTTTCTATTATATATTTCTATTATATATTTACCTTTATAGTCTCATGACACATCCTGTTTGGTTACGCATAATTGTCTTCCTAATGTACTGCTTTATTTAGATTGTTGTTATTTTTCTTTTCTTTTTTATTTTTTTGAGACGGAGTCTCACTCTGTCACCCAGGCTGGAGTGCAGTGGCATGATCTCAGCTCACTGCAACATCCGCCTCCTGGGTTCAAGCAATTCTCCTGCCTCAGCCTCCTGAGTATCTGGGATTACAGGCGCACGCCAACACACCCGGCTAATTTTTGTATTTTTAGTAGAGACGGGTTTTCACCATGTTGATCAGGCTGGTCTCGAACTCCTGACCTCATGATCCACCTGCCTCGGCCTCCCAAAGTGCTGGGATTACAGGCATGAGCCACCACACCTGGCCTAGACTGTTGTTATTTTTCTACAAGATTTTTACTCTTTCAAACAGCTCATTCCCTATGTTGTATTTTTATTATATATTGTTAGGCTCTAGCATGAGAGATATGAAAGATTTTTACTTTTTTAATAAGATTTAGCCTATTCCAGCACACAAGTAACTGTTTCATAAAAATCAAGAAAAACTGACCGTAAAACTGTGTTTAGCCTCTTTTTTTCATAATTTTTTTTTCTATGGATAACTAGGTTTTATTATTATTAATCTGATTTTTTAATTGGGCAATTTATACTTCCTAGGAAAGTGAACATTTCATCAACATTAAAATTTATTATCATAAAGTGTTATATTGTATTATTTGTGTAGTTTTAATACTTCTTGATATCTGATTTTATATCCCTTCTGCTTCTCAGATTGCCTATTTTTTCTAATTTTTTTATTAAGACTATTCCACCTTAACATTATATATTTTATTATCCCTTTCAAAGGACTAGCATTTGACTAATTTATCAATTTCACTTTTTTCTTTTCTGTTTTATTAATTGCTACTTTCATTTTATTATTCCCTGGCTTCTGCTTCCTCATTTAATTCAGTTCTTATGTTACCATTTTTCTAACAAAAAAGTACAATAGTAGTAATATTTGTAAATTTCTTAACGGGCTTTACTATTTTGCCTAAAAAATAATCTTCACCCCTGTTCCCGTCAGGCATCCCATTTGCCCCGGAAGTAATTAGGAATTGTTGCAAAAGGAATTCAGGTAAGAAGACTGAAACAATGAATGTTCAGCTTCTGGTATTTAAGAGTAGGATTTTGCAGCAAGACATACCTTTGTCTTGAAAAAAAGAGTCTCTAATTCCTCCTTCTCCTACGTAATTAGATTGAATGATACAGGCTTCAGGGGCTAAACTTTGAGTATTTAGTACGAGTGATCCTATCTTGCAGAAGAAAATGAAATACAGCTGAACCTTGAACAATACAGGTTAGCACTGCATAGGTCCACTTATATGTGAATTTTCTTTCTCCTCTGCCACTCCTGAGACAGCAAAACCAACCCCTCCTCTTTCTCCCCCTCCTCAGCCTACTCGACCTGAGGGCAAAGAAGATGAAGACCTTTGTGATGATCCACTTCCACTTAATGAATAGTAAATGTATGTTCTCTTCCTTACGATTTTCTTAAGAAAATTTGCCTTTCTCTAGCTTACTTTATTGTAGAGATACAGCATGTAATACATATAACACACAAAATATGTATTAATAGACTGTTTATATTATCAGTAAGGCTTTTTGTCAACAGGAAGCTATTAGTAGTTTGGAGAGTCCAAAGTTATGCCTGGATTTTTTACTGTACAGGGGATTGGCGCCCCACGCCCCCATGCTGTTCAAGAGTCAACTGCAGATTGTACCTTTCCAGCTACTGGAAGAGCTATAGAAGCAAGAAGGCAGGTGAATGTGTCACTCACTACCCTCCCCCAGGCTCTCATCCAGAGAAAGGGAGATGGATAGATAAATCATTATTTCATAAGTAGGCTATCATTGAAGTTCTCATTCTACAAGTTACTTCAGAAAGTATTTTAAAATCTCTTTGTATTTGATTTGGGTTTTTTTCCCATCTTATCCCTTTTTAGTTAATTTCTAATTTTATTGCAAAGTGATAAGAAATTATGGCTTATACTATTTTTCTTTGGACTTTTTTGAGAATTCCTTTGACGTTTAGAATGTGACAAGATATTTCCAAGTGCTATTTGCTGTTTATGACCTTCATCCAATGTTTATATACTTTATTGCATTTTTAAATTCACAATCACATTTTTTAGTAAAAAAAATTTGATCTCATATTAGTTCACTTTCCCTATTTTGTTCTATTTTTGTATTTTTGTTTTAATTTTTATAAGCTTATTATTAAAGTTATAAAGATAAATTAATGTCTTTGGTGTTTTTCTTTTCCATCAAAAGTCAAATAATGTATTCAAAATGAAAAATATTCTCATATATTTTTATCAAAATTGCTTCATTTGCTCCTCATCATGGTCTTATAAGCTAGATAGGGCAATTTACGTAAGTGATAACTTAGAAATACATTGAGCATCACAGCTTTGACACGAATTAGTAAGATAAAAACTTGGGAAAATGTAAAAGGAAGTAAATTTCTAGAGATGGAAAATTGAAAGTTTAAAAATTAAATTCATAAACCAAATACTGGACTAATTTGCAGTTCAATAAATGTTTATTAAATGAACAAACAAAATTTCCTTAGCTGCAAGTTGAGTTAACAGTGAGAGATAGTTAGGCAAATACATTCAGCAGCTACAATAGGAACTCTTATTTTGGATTAACATTCATGTCATGATCCTCTTGTGAATCGCAGAAATTTGAAAACCCAGATGGATGGACTCAGTAGAAAAAGTAATAATATTTCTTTAAGATTTTTGCAATTTTCTTCCTATTATTGGTCTTATTTCATATCTTACTTTTTCATTTGTCTTCTATCTCATTTCTATAATAAATCAAGTTCCATTTCTGAACAAATTGGACTTCACTGATGTCAATATTGTTTTTCCATCTTTTCATTAACAAGCTTGAAGGCAGCAACAAAAGCTAAGTAACCTTCACCTTTCGACCGAAAAAACTGGGTTGCAATAACCATTCAATTTCAGGTTCATCTTCTCCTGCTATTCAGCAGTCAACCTGGAGAGGTGATCATGGGTCTGCATTAGGGCAGCCCAGAGGGTGGTCCCCATAAGTGAGGTTGAGGTCATTGCAGGGGCAGGGTGAGAGGTCAGGCGTTTCCTGCTGCACCTGGAGGATATAAATGGGGATATTTTAGTCTCTAGCACAGGCCACTCCTTAGCCTGAGAGAGCACAAATATTTACAGAAGGAAAAATAAATAGGAGTGCTGCTGCATTGCCGGACAGTGCTGCTGAACTTAATGAAGGGTTTCTTTCCCCCTATGGATTTCAGAGCAGCCTGAACTAAGATATGCAAACAGCATATCTGAGATTTAATGGAAAGGAAAACATGCATGTAGCATAAAAGCCCCACTATTATTCCTTAGCACTTAATTGTAGGTGAAATGCATAGCAGTGGCTTTCTGATGTGCCACTCTGTCCCCCTGCCTGTGAAGCAGGTCAGCTCTTCAGGTAGTGACATGGTCAGATGGCACCTGTCAGGAGCATTAGCCTCCTGAGGACCAGGAAGCAGTGATGTGCAGCAACATTGGATGGATTTATGATGAGGTGACACCCAGCAGCAGTGCCAGGGACAAACCAGGTGACCCCTGGAAAGCTTTGTGTTCTAACAGGAAGGGAAAAGGGCTGAAGCCAAAGAGAACTCAGTATAAACCCAAGGTCTTGCAGGTGCTCTATAAGCTTGGGACATATACTTTATTCTTTTCTTTTCTCCTTTTGTCTTTTTTTAATTGACATAATTTATAAACAGTAAAATGCATATTATCATTGCACATTGCACACTGGATGTCACAAGATATAAAATACTTTATTTCTACAAAAAAATTCCTTGTGTCCTTTTACCACTCCTCTCCAAGAACAAGCCACTATTCTGATTCTGATTATCATGGATTAGTGGTGTCTCTTCTGATATCACACAGTACCCATGCCTTTGTGGCTGAGCTTTTCTCATTCTACCTAACGACTGAGATTCATTCATGTTGCATGTATCAGCAGTTCATTCTTTTTTACCAGTGAGCAGTATTTATTGCACGAATGCATCACAGTGTATCCATTCTCCTGTTGATATGGACATTTGAGTTCTTGATAGTTTGGGCCATTATAATTGTTAAATAAAATGTATGGGAGGCCATTGGTTTGGACTCAGCTCCTGCCCTAGGCTCCAACATACAAAACCAAAATTAAGTCACTTGTGCTAAAGTTCCATGTCATCAAATCAAAACTAAATTTATCTGACCTTCCAAGAAGTCAGGAGAGATGACAGCCAAATCCCTGAACAGTCCAGCATTTGTCAACACGATAAGGAAGTCTCCTCTGCTCTAACCCTTACAAGGAAAGTAACCTTAAGTAACCTGATATTAACAAATCCACTTTTTGTACTATGTTGTTTTCTTGCTCCTGTTCAAGCTACCTCATCAAAACTGGCTGTTCTGCCATGCACAGCAAAGCACCTCTCTATTTTTAGACGAGATGCTGCCCAACTCATAAATCACAAATAAATGCCAAATAGATCATTAAACTACATTTGCTGAAATTTTGTCTTTTGAAATAAAGCTGCTTTTAACATTTTTTTCTGCAAATGTTTTTTGAGACATATGCACTGATTTTTCTTGGGTACATAGCTAGAAGGAGATTTGATGGATCAGGTAGGGTAGGAATATGTTTAACTTTGAAAAAAATAAAAATAAGACAGCCAAACAGTTTTCTAAAGTGGCTGAACCACTTTACAGTGTCAATAGTCAAGTAGGAGAGTTTCAGTTAACCCACATTGTTGCTAACACTTAATATTGTTAGACTTTTTAATTTTAGCCATTCAGGTGGGGGTGTAGTGGTATCTCATTTGGGTTGTCATTTGCATTTCCTCAATGAATAATGATATTCAGCACCAACCCTTTATATGCTTATTGACAATTTGGATTACCTTCTTTTGGGTAGTACCTGATCAAGTCTTTTGCCCATTTTTACTTGGAAAATTTTGTTGTTGATTTGTAAAATTGAATCATATATTCTGGACATGAGTTCTTTGCTAAATATATGTACACTTTAATATTTCTTTTTTTTTTTTCTTTTTGAGATGGAGTCTTGCTCTGTCATCCAGGCTGGAGTGCAGTGGTGCGATCTCGGCTCACTACAACCTCTGCCTCCCAGGTTCAAGCCATTCTCCTGCCTCAGCCTCCCAAGTAGCTGGGATTACAGGCACCCACCACCATGCCCAGCTAATTTTTTGTATTTTTAGTTGAGACAGGGTTTCACTATGTCGGCCAGGCTGGTCTCAAACTCCTGACCTCGTGATCCGCCCATCTCGACCTCCCAAAGTGCTGGGATTACCGGCATGAGCCACCATGGCCGGCCCAAGACTCAGATTTTTTTAAATGGACATTGAGTCACTGCCTGTTACTTGCTGTACTTGGGTGGGAGTCTGGATAAGCCACAACCATAATAAGCTTTGTGTTGCCTTTTAAAGCTATACTAGGGGAGTGCTGGGCCTCCATCAGCAGCAAACTCAGGTGAAGTGGCACAGCAGAAAATGTATTTGGTGTTTCCTTTACCTTCTTCCTGCTTCTAACGATATGCTATATTAATGCACTACATAACTAGAATTTAAGGCTAGGCACTGCTGGATTCTCATTACTTGAGAAAACTGGCCTCCCACAAAATATATCACACCCCTGCTTACTCACCATACCCCAGATTTTAGCATAACTGTAAGATCTGCATAGCACAAGTCAGGCCAGGTGGTAGGTGTGTAAAAACAGACAGAATGCCAGAGTCCATTCTTGGTAGCCAGATGTTCCCTTCTGTGTCCCCAGGACAGTGACACTGGATGATGTAACAACTATACTTTACATTTGCCTCGGGTATTTATCCCTGGGTGGAAATTCAGGATTCGTTCTGTATAATACAGGTGCATGAGTTCATAATCTTTAACAACTAGGGGTCAAAGATAAAAATTAAGATCCACAAATCTAGCAATTGATGTGTAAGTATATTTAAAAGAATAATAATATACACCATAAAAATAATATGATCAATTAAAATTAAGTGAGATGAGTGGTAAGAAAGTTATTCCTTCCCCATAATACAAAATTTAGAAAAATTATGAAGCATAATAGGATTGCAAAAATTATACTTTTTAAAGTAACCACTAGAACAAGTATTCAAACTTTTCCAATGCCTGATAAAATACACCCACAAAACAAAACACGTAGACTTATAATGGTAACATTTTAAAGTTACAAAACCAGAAAACATAACGTAAAGTAGATAACATAACTTAGACCAAATCTGGGTCATATCATTAAATAAAAATGAACTAAATTCATCAATCAATAGAAAAAAGGCATTTGGATTGAATCACAAAACAAATGTTCTGTATATGGAACCTAACTAAAACATGATTTTGAAAGACTGACTATCGTAGACTGACAAAAGTCAATGAAAGGGAAGGATGGGTGTGGTCTTTAAGAAAAGAAGTTGAATTGTACAAAGAACATTAGAGAAGGACAAAAAGTGCTTTGCGATTAATGAAACAAAGCACTTATGAGTGACTCTTCTTAACATAGCATCAATATTCATAAAGCAAAAACTATTGGAGATATATAAGAGACAGTCATTATGGAGAGGATGTTTTAATTCTTTAATTCAACTATTTCAGACTGTAAGGATAAAAACAGACAATCAGTAAATAAGAAGAGGGAAGAAAAAATAATATAAAAAGGAGTTCATAATACATACCATGGTCTGTATATTATAAAGAAAAAAATTAGATCTTTTTAAGTGAAAACAATATTTTTCAAATTTAACCATCTATTAAGCCATTAGTAAACAGAAAGACTTTTTTTTTTTTTTTTTTTTGAGACGGAGTCTCGCTGTTGCCCAGGCTGGAGTGCAGTGGCACGATCTCGGCTCACTGCAGGCTCTGCCCCCCAGGGTTCGATTTATTCTCCTGCCTCAGCCTCCCGAGTAGCTGGGACTACAGGCTCCCACCACTTCGCCCGGCTAATTTTTTGTATTTTTAGTAGAGACGGGGTTTCACCGTGTTAGCCAGGATGGTCTCGATCTCCTGACCTCGTGATCCGCCCGCCTCGGCCTCCCAAAGTGCTGGGATTACAGGCGTGAGCCACCACCCCCAGCCCAGAAAGACATTTCAAAAAGAAGAAAACTATAAATTAATATCAAGCCAGAAAACAAAAAGCCATTTAGAAATTTTAAAACCCTCTCTACTCAATTATTCGATCAAAGATGCAATGCAACTTAATCTGTAGAATTTCTGAAAATCAACAATAATGAAAATGCTGAGTATTAAATTCTATGAAATATAACTACAGTGGTGCTCAGAGGAAAATGTATAGTCTCCAATAACATTTTTAAATAAAAGATTGATAAATAAATTAGACATTCAAATCAAAAACTTAAAAAATTACAAAAAGCTAAGAAAACCAAATAAATTAGTTTAAAAAGAAAGTAAGGAATTAGAAAACAAAATAGGCTGGGGATGGTGGCCCATGCCTGTAATCCCAGCACTTTGGGAGGCTATAGCAGGAGGATCGCTTAAGGCTAGGAGCTCAAGACCAGCCTGGGCAATATGTGGAAACCCTGTTACTACAAATAATTCAAAACTTAACCAAGTGTGATGGTGCACACCTGTGGTCCCAGCTACTCAGGAGGCTGAAGTGGGAGGATAGCCTAAGCCCAAGAGTTCAAGGCTACAGTGAGCCATCAAAGGACCACTGTGCTCCAGCCTGGATGACAGAGCAAGACCCTGTCTGAGAAAAAAAAAAAAGAAGAAGAAGAAAGAAAAGAAAACATAAAATAGAAGAATTAACAAATAATTTCAAGATCTGGTCCTTTTGGAAATAAAATTAAAATAAATTAACTTTTATCTAACTTAAAGTAAGCTCAAGTATCAAAACAAGAAACAAGAGGAAATAACCACAAATACAATGAGGAATTAAAGAATGACAAGTAACTACTTTGTTCTACTTTGTGAAAATAAATTTGAGAACTCAAAATTTTTTTAAGAAAATAAAATTTATTAAAAAATTGACACCAGAGCATATAAAAATTCTAAACATACCAATTACTGTAGAAGAAATAGAGATAGGTGTCATGAGCTACACTCTGCATAAGTTTCATGGGAAAAAGCTTTCAAATCTTTAAAGGACAGATTAGATAACTGCAATTTTACTTAAACTGTTCCTTAGGAAAGAATAAACCATTTTCAGGAAAAAAAAGGATAAATTGAACTACATATAACCATCAGTTTATGCATGACAAAACTACTATTGGCAAAGGCAAAAAACAAACAACAAATGGAAAAACATATTTGCATCTATTATCACTAATGTTCAAGATTTCCTGCAAACCAATACACCTAAAAAAAAAACCTAACAAAGAAATGAGCAAAGTATATGCATTCAGTTCACAGAAAATATACATGACTCTGAAACATATTCATATATCCTCAAGCTCACTCCTTATACAAATGTATATTAAAACTAGAATCAAGGAACACTATTCATAATTCAATTGGCAACACACAGAAAATTAATAAGCCAATTAGGCTGGCTTCTTGAGTAACAGTGGTTGCCAATTAAAGAAATATTTTTAAAATTTTGAATTAATTCATATATATATATATTTCAGTAGGTAAAATATTCTAATTTTGTAATATACTGCAGAAGGATACACAGTGAGAAATCTTCCTCTTTTATTTTATTTGTTTGTTTGTTTGTTTTGAGATGGAGTTTTGCTCTTGTTGCCCAGGCTGGAGTGCAATGGCGCCATCTCGGCTCACTGCAACCTCCACCTCCCAGGTTCAAGCGATTCTCCTGCCTCAGACTCCCAAGTAGCTGGGATTACAGGCATGCACCACCATGCCCAGCTAATTTTGTATTTTTAGTAGAGACAGGGTTTCTCCATGTTGGTCAGGCTGGTCTCAAACTCCTGACCTCAGGTGATCCGCCCTCTTCAGCCTCCCAAAGTGCTGGGATTACAGGCGTGAGCCACCGCACCCGGCCAATCTTCCTCTTAACATGACCACCCAGTTCTTTTCCCCAAAGGCAACTATGTTATCAGTTTCCTTTGTAGTTTTCCTGAAATGTTAATTATATTTATTATTTCATTCAGTTATTCCTTCAAAACGACATTTGTTGAGCACCCACTGTGACAATTCAGTAATAAACAAAGAAGTTTCCTCAAAATAATTTTGCCATCATAGAATGTTCATTCTAATTAGGGAGGCAGGAATAGAGAGAGGGGGTAAGAAACATAACTGATGACAAGTGTTAGAAAGGGGGAAAAAAAGCAGAAAAGATAGATGTGAAATATTGATGTGGGAGTGGTTGAAATGTTAGAAGTGGAGGTAAAAGTAGACCTCACTGAGAAAATGACTTAAAGATAAGACTTGGAGGCACCGGGGAAGCTATTATGTGGCCACCCTGGGAAGAGCCAGACGTCCAGGAAGGGAACAACAGGATTCTTTCAAAAACAACAAAGCCCCATGAGAACATGCCCAGTGTGCTTGAGTGAGACTGTGAAAACTAGTTTGGCTAGATCAGGGGGAATGGAATGACAGCAATGGGAGAGGAGGTTCCGTAAGCCAACTAAGGATTCTGGCTCTTACTTGGAAGAAAGTAGGAAGACTTCAGAGGGCACAAGAGGGACAGAATCTGATTTTTCTTTTAAGGACATCCTGACTGCGTTGTTGACAACAAACAGTGGAGTGAAAAGGTAGAAGCAGTGACCCTCTGGAGACTATCTCTGTGACCCCGGTAAAAGATGAGGGGGATTTGGACCTGAGTGGCCACAATGAGGGTGGTAAGAATAAGGTGAATTCCAGACAGAGTTTGAAAGTGGCAAATATATATACATTCCCCAGTAATTAAAAAATAAAATAAAAAAGGTTTTATTTTTTTAATTAACACATAATAATTGTACGTATTTATGAGGAATGGAATAACATTTTGATACATATACAATGTATAATGATCAAATCTAAGTAATTAACATATTCATCACCTGAAATATTTATCATTTCTTTGTGTTAGGAATACACAAAATCTGCTCTTCCAGCTATTTTGAAATATACAACACATTCTTGTTAGCCGTAGTGACACTACTGCGCAATAGAATGCCAGAACATATTCTTCCTATCTAGTTGTAACTTTGTACCCATTGACCAGCCTCTCTTCGTTCCTCTGCCCCTACTCTCCCAAGCCCCTGGTAACCACTATTCCACTCTACTTCTATGAGATTGACTTCTTTAGGTTTCACATATAAGTGAGATCACATGGTATTTATCCTTCTGTGCTTGGCTCATTTCACTTAACATAATATCCTCTAGGTTCATTCATGTTGTAACAAATGACAGGATTTCATTCTTTTTACAGCTGAATAGTATTCCTTTGTGTCTATATACCACATTTTTAATCCATTTATCCATTGATGGACATTAAGATTTATTCTATACTGATACAGGATTTTTTGCTCCTTAGGTCAGCTAAAATCTGGGTTCTTGTCTCACGACCAGGAAAAATTAGGCACATGGACACATTAAAAGGTGAGGAGAAGGGAATTTATTAAAAGAAAGCTTTCAGTGAAAAAAAGGGCATCCTGCCAACAGGCTTCCACATCACTGATTCAATACCAGACCACCACACACAAGCTGGAGAGGCCAGGCTCCTCCCCCTTACATAAGATATGAATTCCTTGTGGCTCCAACCCATTCTCCCAGTGCACAGGTGGGTCCTCAGTCTGAGCCACTCCACATTAACTTATTTCCCTTCCTGCACATGTGTTAAGGGATGGAATTTTCACTTTGGACATGTTTGGGCAAGCCCCCTGTGCACAATGACTGGTTGGCATTTGGCTGTCTCTCGTATCTATCATTCCCTGCTCTAATGGCTGCATAGTATTCCATGGTGTATATGTGCCACATTTTCTTAATCCAGTCTATCATTGTTGGACATTTCACTTGGTTCCAAGTCTGTGCTATTGTGAATAGTGCCACAATAAACATACATGTGCACGTGTCTTTATAGCAGTATGATTTATAATCCTTTGGGTATATACCCAGTAATGGGATGGCTGGGTCAAATGGTATTTCTAGTTCTAGATCCCTGAGGAATCGCCACACTGACTTCCACAATGGATGAACTAGTTTACAGTCCCACCAACAGTGTAAAAGTGTTCCTATTTCTCCACATCCTCTCCAGCACCTGTTGTTTCCTGACTTTTTAATGATTGCCATTCTAACTGGTGTGAGATGGTATCTCATTGTGGTTTTGATTTACATTTCTCTGAGGGCCAGTGATGATGACCATTTTTTCATGTGTCTTTTGGCTCCATAAATGTCTTCTTTTGAGAAGTGTCTATTCATATCCTTTGCCCACTTGTTGATGGGGTTGTTTGTTTTTTTCTTGTAAATTTGTTTGAGTTCATTGTAGATTCTGGATATTAGCCCTTTATCAGATGAGTAGATTGCAAAAATTTTTTCCCATTCTGTAGGTTGCCTGTTCACTCTGATGGTAGTTTCCTTTGCTGTGCAGAAGCTCTTGAGTTTAATTAGATCCCATTTGTCAATTTTGGCTTTTGTTGCCATTGCTTTTGGTGTTTTAGACATGAAGTCCTTGCCCATGCCTATGCAGCCATAAAAAATGATGAGTTCATGTCCTTTGTAGGGACATGGATGAAGCTGGAAACCATCATTCTCAGCAAACTATCGCAAAGACAAAAGACCAAACACCACACGTTCTCACTCATAGGTAGGAATTGAACAATAAGAACACATGGACACAGGAAGGGGAACATCACAAACTGGGGCCTGTTGTGGGGTAGGGGGAGGGGGGAGGGATAGCATTAGGAGATATACCTAATGTTAAATGACAAGTTAATGGGTGCAGCACACCAACATGGTACATGTATATATATGTAACAAACCTGCATGTTGTGCCCATGTACCCTAAAACTTAAAGTATAATAAAAAGAAAAAAAAAAAGAAGTGCATCTAACTGCCATTAGAATAAGGATAAGGATGAAGACCGATCTTAACTGCTTCCTACTAGCAGATGGTGCTGTTTTGGGAAAACAGCAGTCAGATCTCCCTCAGAGGACTATTTAAGAGTCCCCGGCAAAAGAGGCCATCATCCGAAGCTCCGGTTGCATGACAGTTTAGAGTTTGATGGACTGAAGGCGAGAAGAAACCAACCAGGTTATTAGAAAACATGTATCAAAATGAAACAAGGGTGGAGTAAGGACAGCTGAAAAATCCCAAGACCTTTTACCAACTGGCACAGGGAGAGGGAGGCCAAAAGCCTGACAGGAAAAAAAAAAATCTGGTTTCCCTTAGGAACCCAATCCTAAACCAACCAGTTTAAGGTTTGGGAAATTAACTTTCCCCAGTTTGGAGAATGCATCTGAGGGGAGTGTCCTATAGTATGGAGACACAATTACCTATCAGTGAAGACAAGACAGAGGAGGAAAAAGAAAAAAAAGAAGGCATTTTTTCAAAGGAGTCCCAGGGGTTCCAGATGCATTTGAAAGGAGTACAGACTGAAGATGAATGGCTACTCATCTAGAAAGAGGGGATCAGGCATCCCTGTTTCCTTTTTCTTCCTAGCAAATACCTGAGATACATGAGGGAGAGAAAGTGAGGGGTCCCTCTTTCTTTCTTCTGCCCTTATATCCCTGAGTCCCAGCAAGCATGACAGGGTGCCATCCATGGGTGTCAAAGCGGGTTTCACCCATGTTAACAGGGGGGCTTAGAGGGTGTAGAGGGTGGGACTGTCCATCTTACCCATGTATGTCCTATCTCCCCTGCTGTCAGTAACCTTCGAGTTCCCTAGACCTAATTTATTCCATGGATATTAGCATGATCTTTATCAATGAAATGGGAGGCTTGGCTTAATCAGCAGGAATTAGTCATGCTCACCTGTACTGTGCCTTTTAACTTCTGTTATTGTCTGCCTCTGGATCCCTCACCTCCAGTTTTCTTTCCCACAGCTTCCACCCAAAGCTTGAAATTGGGACAAAAATGTGTCTTGGGGAGGTTACATAGACTTCTTATCATAGGCCAAATGCTAAGATGAAGTTGTGGAATTCAGTCTGCCTCCAAAAAGGGAGAGAACAGGATGTCCCGTGACATGCCCAGATAACTGGTGGCTGTAGTTACACTTGCTAAGATGTGGATGCATGAGGCTTGACTTCAGTTAGTTCCCTTGGTCTTAGTTTCCCAAAAAAAAAAAAAAAATCTCTGGGTGATCGACATCTATTTATTTCCTTCATCCAGCAGGATTTTAGGATAATTGCTCAGAACTAGAATATTAATCAAGATTTTTAAATTACCCATCCCTTTTGTTCCTCCTGAGCTGCAGTCAGAGATCACTGGTTGATTCACATGAATATTCAGGGTTAGTCTAAAATGTAGGCAAAAAACTTAAAAACTAATGAGTTTAGGATTTAATGGCAAACATTTAAGTTTTGAAACATAATTTCTTTCTCTTCAGCCCTCATTTTTGTTAAAAACAAATCGTGATAGGACTGAGTTGTTTGCAAAATAGCCTTCAGTCTTATACTTGACCTGATTATATGCATAAAGTGCAGAAAGAATAATTATTTTTACATAGGCATTTTAGATTGGCTTTGATGGAACTCTGTTCCACAAGGAATCTCAGATAGGACTTTCTAAAGCTGAGCCCAGCCATGGGTTTGTATCCTCAAATACCTGTGAGATGGGTAAACTCCTCTCTTCTTGAGGTCCCAAGAGCAAGGGGTTCCTGGGCCTGTTAGAAAGTGAGATTCTTTATTCACCACAGGTTAGGAACCCTGTACAGAGACTGTGTAGACAAGGTATGAGGCCAGTTTTCCCAAATGGCTTTTATTGGCTCTGCAAGTCAAGTTTAACTCCTTAAAGGGAAGCATACCTTTCCAGTCAAAGCCTTGGGAGAACAACCAGTTTCTCTAATTGCATCCTGTTGCAAAAGAAAATAGATTCTTATTGCACTAATGCAAACAACTATATTGCCATAAGTTAAGAACGCTCATAACTAGTTACCAAATTCTGGAGAAGCCAAGGGCCCTCTGTAGCATCCAAAAGGTAGGAATCAAAAAAGGCAATTTTTGAAACTGAAGTTTGATTTGGGGAAGTCTGTTAAGTATGTAAGAGGTTTAAAACACTTGATGCTATGAAATAGAATTCCAGATTACCATAAATTATTCATTTTGCCAAAATGATGACTCAGAAATTTTAAAAAAGCAAAAACCTTTTATTACTCTTTACACATTTTGCTAAACAGCAGATTGGTGCCTTAGAAGAACCTTGTTGTGCTTTTATTTCAATGCTCAATTTATGGAAAAGCTATATAATACCTTTTTGAATTTTGTCAGTATGTTCACACATGGAATTTCTTTTGCAAGATTAATTTTTACAATCCATCCACAACTTGTTTAAACTTTTAGCTTTATCTCATCTAATTCAAAGCAATCCTTTAACCCTAGGCACAAATTTGCATTTTGATGACATCTGCATTTTACCAATAATCTTTAAGGCTGTTTTTATTTATCAAATATTAAAGTCATATGAACCAAAAGGTACCACAGCTTTTATCTTCCTTTAAAAAAATATTTGATCCAAACATTTATCCTTCTTTAAGTCAATTAATTAGAGGTCTTTTTTTATTAATGTCACACATGCAACACATATATAACTACATAGGCAGAAGATTCAGCAACTATAAGATTTTTCATTTGCCAGTCTCCTAATTGGACTATTAGGACCAATTAGCACGTCTGGGTTCAGCCCTTTAAGAGCAAGGCTAAGAAAACATGCAGTTTCTAGGGCCTAATAAACAGGTATAGCTGGAAGACAAAAACATTTTGAGAGCATGGACCACCTTTAATTCCAGGAGGTCCATGAGGAAAACAGAGATCTCTTCCAAAATGGAATCCATGGCATCTTTTCTGTTTTTCCCAAGCAGTCCCAGGCCATCAGAAATTATCTTAGGGTCCCTTATGCATGCATTAAGAGTAGAAAGACAAAATGGAGAAAGAGTTCAGTCAACTGAGAAAAAACATTTTTCCAGCAAAACAAGATCCAAGAAGAGAAAAACATAAAGGCCTTTTAAATATACCTATAGGTTGGATATCCACTTTTAATTAAGCTGAGCACTCTTTAAGAAAATCCTTTTAAATCCCTTATTACCCAACTTTAGCTGCACCAAGTAGCCAATATTTCCATCTTTCAAATTTTACAAAGGTAAGCTTCCAGGTGCTCAGAGAAAGAAAAGTTCAAGGCAGTTCATGGAGGGGAAGAGAATCAAGAAATGGCAAAGGTCACAAAGATATCTAACTAGAAAGAACTCATTCCCTAAGCCAAGATTGAACCCAGGCTGCCTTTGTAAAATGGTGGAGGCTAAAACAAAGCACTGCCACGTGGTTCTCCCAAGGACATAAAACAAGATAGAGGGCTGCAGCAAAATTTGCTACTGATCAGTCTGCCAGGCTGGCTTAAACAGTAGGAACATGGAGTCCTAGGCTGGCGCCCCAACCTAAGGTACCCCTCTTTCTGGCAGAACCATACAGAAAGACATGCAAAGCACACCAGATTGGCTACAGCTTAAGACTAACCTCATAAATCCCTTTTCATAATCAAAACTTTACAGAGAATATAAACAGTGATACAGAGAATATGAACAGTGATAACTGGGGTCCTGGCATAGTAGAACATCTTTTGTGCTCAATGACCTGGGTGGCATTTGGCTGTCTCCTGTCTCTATCAATATCTTGGCTATTGTGAATAATTATGCAATAAACATGGAGATACAGATATCTCTCTGACATGTTGATTTCACTTCCTTGGACATATACTCAGTAGTGGAATTTTTGGATCATATGGCAGTTCTAGTTTTAATTTTTTGAGGGACCTTCATACTGTTGTCAATGTGGCAATTCTAGTTTACTTTCCCACCTACAGTGTGTAAGAGTTCCCCTCTCTCCACATCTTTACCATCATTTGTCTTGTTTTGTTTGTTTTGTTTTGTTTTGTTTTTTTGATAATAGCCACCCTAACTGGGGTGAGGTGACATTTTATTGTGGTTTTGATTTTCATTTCTCTGATAATTAGTGATGCTGAACTTTTTTCATCTACGTGTTATCCATTTGTATATCATCTTTTGAGAAATATCTATTCAGATCTTTTGCCCATTTTTAAATTGGATTATTTGACTGTTGCTATTCAGTTGAGTTCCTTATATATTGTCAAATGCATAGTTTATGGATATTTTCTCCCATTTTATAGATTGTCTTCTCTAAACCCTTTTAAATTCATAGATGCTAGCACACTATGCATACTGTTCAAAAACTACCTATTGGGTTTTACAAGGTATCTTGGCAATTTCTCCACTTAGGTAATTGGAGAGCTTTCTCATGATTCTTGTGATTCTAATTTATTACACTGTATGAGTGTTGCCATAATTTATTTAACTCTTGTCATATTGACAGATATTTAGTCTGTTTTCTGTACTTTTGCTGTTACACAGGAATCTTTTCTGCTTCCACCTCAACAGCACTTTACCAAAGATTGTCTGTCTTTTTGTTCCACATTTAAAGGAAACCTAGTCTCTGCATTACTATGGGGGATTTACTTGGATACACTCAGGAATAGAAAGATGGTTTAATATTTTTGAAAGGCATTAATGTAACTTGTTGAAACAAACGTTTAACATTTGATAAAATCCAATATTGATTCCTGATTTAAAATAAATCTTCACTTAGAGTCGATGGGCATTTCTTCTACTTGAAAAGGAGTATCTTCTTTAAACCAAAGTATGTACAACAGTTTTTGTTTGTTTGTTTATTTTTGTTTTTTCCTGAGATGGAGTCTTGCTCTGTTGCCCAGTATGGAGTGCAGTGGCGCGATCTCGGCTCACTGCAAACTCCGCCTCCTGGGTTCATGCCAATCTCCTGCCTCAGCCTCCCAAGCAGCTGGGACTACAGGCACCCACCACCACGACCGGCTATTTTTGTGTGTGTGTGTGTGTGTGTGTGTGTGTGTATTTTTTTAGTAGAGACGGGGTTTCACCGTGTTAGCCAGGATGGTCTCGATCTCCTGACCTCGTGATCTGCCCACCTTGGCCTCCCAAAGTGCTGGGATTACAGTCTTGAGCCACTGTGCCCGGCCTGTACAACAGTTTTAATGGAGAAATATTAGAAGCATTCCAGCTGAAGTTAGAAACAGGGCAATCCTCTATCACTTCTCTTATTCAACTTTGTTCAGAAGGTCCACGTGGATGCTAAAGACCAATACAGACAGAAAAATAAGAGGCACAGATTTTGTTATTTATAAATGACACAATGAACTGCCTGGAAAACCAGGAATCAACGTAAACCTTTTGGAATTTTCTTTTGTTAAAAAATAAAGTGTCTGACATTATTGTGAATTACATTGTAAATTGTATTTAAAAATTAAAATTTTAATGTAAAATAATTTAGCTTACATTGATTATAGGTATATAAGTTGTGATGGAACATAGTACCATGAAAAAATAATGTTTCTCTACTAAATTAATAATCTAGAAGCAGAAATGTACTTAAAAATATCTTTGGTGAACACATCATTTAAAATTGAGTTCAAATAAGCTCTGATATTATGTTAACTGAAATGAAGGCAATAATTGCCAAAGTTTACCAATTTTGAAGGTAATTGAAAGAAATTTATTCAAAGAGTCACATTTAAAAATACATTCTTTAGAAAATACCAGTGACAAGATATTAAAGAGATGGCAAAGAAATTTATTTTTTAAATATTTATTTATTTATTTATTTATTTTGAGACAGAGGCTCACTCTGATGCCATCAGAGTGCAGTGGTGTGATCTCGGCTCACTGCAATCTCTGCCTCCTGGGTTCAAGCAATTCTCGTGCCTCGGCCTCCTAAGTAGCAAGGAATACAGATGTGCAACACCACACCCAGCTGATTTTTGTATTTTTAGTAGAGATGGGGTTTTACCATGGTGGCCAGGCTGGTCTCAAACTCCTGACCTCAGGTGATCTGACTGCCTCAGTCTTCCAAATTGCTGGGATTATAGGCGTGAGCCACCACACCTGGATGAAATTGATTGTATAAATATGTACCAAGATATTTATTCTGTTTATTTTAATTTTTAAATAATCTATATTTATCCTGACTACAGAAGGCTCCTCCCAGCTATCTTATTTCTATAAACTAGCTGGCCTACAGTTCAGGACATACCTTCATTACATTTATGAATCTCCTCTCAATTCCCTTCACTACAACCTACACCATTTTTTATTTGTTTTGTTTTATTTTATTTTTTGTAGACACAAGTTCTCACTATATTGCCTAGGCTGGTATTGAACTCCTGGGCTTAGGTGATCCTCCCACATTGTCCTCCCAAGATAGTTTCACCATTTTTGAGAGTGCCTTTATGTTTAAATTTCTTGTATGCATGAAAAAGTGGGCAAAGTATATGAAGAGATATTTATATATGATATGATATGATATGATATATTTCTTCAAAGAAGACATGCAAATGGCCAGCAAACGTGGAAAAATGCTCAACATCTTTAGCCATCAGGGGAATGCAAAATCAAAACCACAATGAGATACCACTTTACACCCACTAGATTAAGTAAAATTTACATGTCAAATAACAAGTGTTGGCAAGGATATGGAGTAATCAGAACCTCATACACTTCTAGTGGAAATATAGAAAAGTCCAGTTTATTTGGAAAACAGTGTGGGAGTTCCTCAAATGATTAAACATATTGTTCCATAAAACACAGAAATTCTACCCTTAAGTATAAACCCCAAAATATACATCTACACAGAAAGTTATGCAAATGTTTATACCAGCATTGTTTACAAGAGCAAAAAGGTGAAAAGAATTCAAATGTCCATCAGTGGATGAATGAATAGACAAAGTGTGGTAAAACCATACAATGAAATATTATTCATCCAAAAAAGGAATGAAGTACTAATACATGCTACAACTTGGATGAACCTTGAAAACCATATGCTAAGTGAAAGAAGCCAATTACAAAAGGCCCCATGTTATGTGACTCAATCCATAAGAAGGTTCAAAATAAAGAAATCTGTAAAGATTAAAAAGTAGATTAGTGGTTGCTTAGAGCTAAGGGAAGGGCAAAATAAAGAAGTGGTACACAAATATGACAGGGTTTCTTCTTTTTAATTAGCCCAACAACACAGGCATGAGGTCGTTTCTTGAGGTGATGAAAATATCCTAAAATTATCTTTAATGTTGATTGTACAATTCTGTGAATATATTGTAAACCATTGAATTGTACATTTAAAATAGTTTATTTGTATGGCATGTTAATTGTATTTCAATAAAGCTGCTTACAAAAAATCACAGAGCAGAAATAATAGCAACCCAATAGCTACAAGCACACCCTAAAACCAGAATTTGCTTTCTAAATAGCATTCTTCAAAAAAAGGGAACAAAGATTTCTTGAAGAAATTGTTTCTAGGACTGGGGCAGCGAAACGAGAAGACAAGCCTGGAGGATCAGTAGTAATATGAAATAAGGAAGTACTCAAGAGAATAAAAGAATGGGGGAATGTCAAGGAGACACAGGAACCAACGTGAAAGATCTCCCAATAGCCTAAAGTGGAACAATGGGAGAAACAAAATAAAGTATATTGGATTATAACCCGAAGTGTAAATAAATATACAGGAGTCTGTACTGATACAGACAAATGATTGAATAAATCAATAAACAAAGAAATGGAAGAGAATAGACAAATTTATTTTCAGAAGAATTTCAAATAATATATGTAGATACTGCCCCCTCTTCAGGATGCCAAACTTAATTCCCCTGCCCACCAAGCATGGGCCGAACTTAGTGATTTGGTTCAAAAAAAATAGTATATGAAAGAGAAAAATAGTGACTTTACAGTAGAAAGCCCTTAGCCAAGGCATGCAGTTAACATTACCAGTGATATCACATGGATACCACCTTTCGCCTTGAGATGATGTTATGTGAAGTATGCTTCATCTCCGTGGCATGCTTTTCAAAAACCCATAACACCAGTCTAATCAAGCGAAAAACATCAGACAAGCCCATACTGGGGGACATTCTACAAAATACCTCATCAGTGCTACTCAAAACTGTCGAGGTCTTGGAAAACAAAGAAAGACTGAGGAACTTGCACAGACCACAGGGGACTAAAGAGACATGATAATTAAATGCAATGTGTTATTCTGAATTAGACCATGAAAGAGAAAAAGAACCCAAAATAAAAACTGGGAAATTCTACATATCATAGGAAATTCAGTTGATAATAATATGCCAATGTCAATTCCTTAGTTTTAGCAAATGTAATATTATTATATGAGATGTTAAGATGTTATATGAGATGGAGAAATTGAGTGAAGGATATATGGGAACTGTCTGTAATATCTTTGTAATTTTTCCATAAATCAAAAATAAGCTCAAAATAGAAGCTTATTAACAAAAAATCTTACTGGAAAACCACAGACAAATTTTTTCCAAACCTATTTTAAAAATTCCCTATTTAAAAGGAAATTTCTAGAGAATAAAGAGGGTATAGCCCCAGCTCATTTTATGAGATTATCATTATCTTGATACCAAAACCTGATTTAGACAACAAAAGAAGATTAAAGGTCAATCTTATTTATGATCATAGGGTTAAAAATTATAAATTGATTCAATTATAAAACAGACCACATCTATACATGTATAAAAAACATCAAGACCAAGCTGGATATATGCCAGAAACACAAGTATTTTTAACCTTAATTAATATAAAATCTATTCATGTATTCCACCAATTAATAGGTTTGGAAAATTGGTCATCTCAATAAGTAAAGAAAAAGAAGCCAATAAAATTTACCATTCATTTATCATTTATGTAGGAGACCTAGCAAACTGAAGTTATGAGGGAATTTTATTTTATTTTATTTTTGTGGGTACATAGTAGGTGTATGTGTTTACTGAGTAAATGTTTTTATACAGACATGCAATGCATAACAGTCACATCATGTAAAATGGGGTATTCATCCCCTCAAGCATTTATCCTTTGTGTTACAAGCAATCTAATTATACTTGTTTAGTTGTTTTTAAATGTACAATTAAATTACGTTGATTATAGTCAGCCTGTTGTGCTACCAAATACTAGGTCTTATTTATTCTTTCTATTTTTTGTACCCATTAACCATCTCCATCTCCCCCTCCCCCTCCCACTACATTCTCAGCCTCTGGTAACCATCCTTCTACTCTCTATCTCCATGAGTTCAATTGTTTTGAGTTTAAGGTCTCACATATAAGTGAAAACATGTAATGTTTGTCTTTCTGTGCCTGGCTTATTTCACTTAGCATAATGACTTCCAGTTCCATTCATGTTGTTGCAGATGAAAGGATCTCATTCTTTTGTATGGCTGAATAGTGCTCCATTGCGTATATGTACCACATTTTCTTTATCTATTCATCTGTTGATGGACACTTAGGTTGCTTCCAAATTTGGTCTATTGTGGGAATTTTATTAACCCGGTAAAAAGTATCAAACAAAATCAGCAAAAAGTGTCATACCTAAAAATGAAATATTAGAACCATTTTCTTACAATCAGAAATAAGAAAAGGATGGCAGCTAGTACCCCTGTAATACAAAAATATAAGTGTTATCAATATGGGAATGGATCAATAAAGACAATTAAAACCATACTAGATGTGTTATTTATCAATTGTTATGTAACAAACTATCCCAAAAGTTAATGACATAAAACAGCAAATATTTATTATAGTATAGTTTTATGGGTGAGGAATTTGTGAATGGCTAAGCTGGGTAGTTGGGTGGTTTTGGCTCATGGTCTCATGAGTTTGTAGTAAAGATGTTGGCTAGGGCTGCAGTTGGCTGAAGGCTTGACTGGGACTGAAGTCTTCTTCACTTACATGGCTGTTGGAGGGAGGCCTCCGTTCCTCTTCAAGTGGGCACCTCCATAGAGCTGTTGAACGTTCATAACAGCTGGCTTCTCCCAGGGAAGTAGATTCAAGAAAGAAGAGCAAAGAAGAAATCCCAATGCCTTTCTTTTACCATCTAGTCTTTGAAGTTACATGCTATTATTCTACTTTGTTCTATTCATTAGAAGACAGTGATTAAGTTCAACTGACAATAAACAAGAGAGGAATTATGCTCCACCTCTTGCAAAAGGAAGTATAGAAGAATTTGTGGACAAATTTTAAAACCACCACATTAGGTAATACTATGTAGCTGTTAAAAATATATAATCAAGATTCATACGTATGGATATGAGAAGACATACAAGACATTTAGTTTTTTAAAAAGCAAGATACTGCAACGGTACTTACTACATGACATCATTTCTATTAAATGCTTGCATGCAAACATCTGAAAATGGAGTTACAAATTTCTTTAGACACGTATTTTATAAATACATAAATAAAAACCTACAAGAGTATCCAAAGAGTTATGACTCATTATCTCTGGTTACTGGGAATCGAGGGTAGGATAATCAATGACGTTCTTAATTTTATCTGCACTACTGATTTTTTTTTACAACGAGAAAGCTATTCATGTATTACTTATTGAGGATGGTTTGGATCTGTGTCCCCACCAAATCTCAGGTCAAGTCAATCCCCAGTGTTGGAGGTGTCTCATAAATGGTTTAGCATCATCTCCCTCTTGGTACTGTATAGTGTGATAGAGTTCTCACAAGATCTGGTTGCTTAAAAGTATGTAGCACCTCCCCCATCTCTTGCTCCTGCTCCAGCCTTCTAAGATGAGCCTGCTTCCCCTTTGCCTTCCACCATGATTGTAAGTTTCCCGAGGCCTCTCCAAAAGCAGAAGCCACTGTGCTTCCTTTACAGCCTGCAGAACCGTGAGCCAATTAAATCTCTTTTCTTTATAAACTACCCAGTCTCAGGTATTTCTTTGCAAGAATGGCATAATACTCCCATATAATTAAAAACATATATATGTATTAACTCACATATGTGAACACAAAATGGAGGACAGAATATTCAGTGGAAAAGAATGGTAAATATGCATATGTGAAAATTGAGTAAATGTGATCATACCATGAGACATAGGTATAATCACAAAACTTGAAGGCCACTCTCAGGACCATCATGAATTCACATATTTCTTCCCAGGTGCATTTTTCCCTTTTTGTCACCTTCTTTAAACTGCTGGTTATCTAAAATGCTAGTTGGATAATGAGAGTAGATTTCATAAGCAGAGTTCTCTGGCAAAGCTTCCTCTACTAGCTTCAGTATGGACAGTTTGCCTTTAACTACAAGTAGGCTACCCTAAGACTATATGTTGTGAGCAACCAACCAGCACCTTGAAGATGAGAGGTCAGTAAATCCAGGTACCAAACCCAACAGTAAGCTTATTGTCAGTCTAAGTCAGAAGGAAACATTTCCATCCTCAGGTTTCTCATCTTCTAAGCCTGGAGATTGTGATGTAGTTAGGAATTTTCCTGTTTAGAAAAAAGGACTGAATTCTTCTAGAAAAGCAACTCTATCAATAGGGAATGCTTTGAACTACAAGGACCAGAACACCTGGCAAACACTGGCTTGAAAGATAAGGATTTCTTTTTCTCAAATGATAAGTTGGGAATCCACAGCCTACGTGTCACTGGCCAGAACTGAGTTGCACAGTAACCCCTATTGCATAGATGGCTGGGAAAGCTAGTTTCTGGCTGTTCCAGCTGCCCTAGTGAAGTCAGGTGGCAGGGAGAGGGGGTTTTAGGTTAGCAGCTAACATTGTCTGCTACAAAACCCACTTCATTCATTTTCTCTTTACCTGGAAGTCAAGTCTTTCTCACATTTCTCCCAAGCCTTTCAACAAGAAGTTCTCCAGAAGATGCATCATCGTCTCACTCCTGGCTGGAATCATACTTCCAGATGTCTACAATCACCTGATTTGCTTTAATACCCTTTTGTGATATCTAGTCTCTGTTATAATACATTCTGCATTCCAAAAAAAAATCAGGTGATTTCTGTACATTCTGTACATTATGTAAATTTGTTCACTTGTATTTTAATGTCCTCTACATGGAAAAAGAGGACAATAGTGGTTTGAACAGTGGCCTCTCAAAAAATGTCCACCTCCTCATCCCTAGAACCTGTGAATGTGACCTTATTTAGAAAAAAGAGTCTTTGCTGATGTAATTATTTCAAGGATCTTGATATTTCAATCACACGAGATTATCCAAATGAGACCAAAATCTAATAACAAGTGAGATTTGTCAAATGTCCTTATAAGAGACAGGCAGAAGAGAAGACTGGCACAGAGAAGATAGTCTTATTAAGATGGAGGCAAAGATTGGAGTTAGGTGGCCACAAGCCAAAGAATATCTGGGGCCACCAGAAGCTGAAAGATACAAAGAAAGATCCTCTCCTAGAGCCTTCAGAGGTAGTGCAGCCCTCCCACAGCTTGATTTTGGACTCTGGCCTCCAGAACTTTGAGAGAATACACTTCTGTCATTTGAAGTCACCAAATTTGTGATAATTTTTTATTCCAGTTCTAGGAACTCATAAAATGGCCATTCCATTTTTGTTGTTATTGTATATGAAATTAACAAATTCCCAAAATTTTTTTATATAGAACTCAGAGAACAATTAAAACAAGGTAGAGTTGTCCATCTGTAGGTTTAGAGCCCAAATCAGACAGTTTTTGCATCAAAACGAAGCCTGACTCTTGTTTTAAGTCCATGATACACTCCAACTTATCAAAAAACAAAATAGCTTTCCCTCACTAATTGCCCAAACTGTGGATTCAGTCCAGCTAATTTCCCACTTATTGATCCAGGACAACTTTATCAGGCTGAGTTCCAAATTCAGACCAATTCCTCTTTTCACTGTGCCTTTCTTAATAAATTTTAATGACAGCAATCCCAGCTCCCCCTGAAAATTTAACTCCATACCAAGTATGGTAACCCAAAAAGATTTGAACAATTAAATGTCCCATTTCCAGCCTTTGTCTATCCAAATCCAGTGTCTCATGACCAGTTCTTTTTGCAGATTGGAAATCTAATAATCATCTGTTTTTTAACACAAATTTAAAGTTATTCCCATGATATCATAGTCACATTCTGATATGCATTATTGCGTGAGAAAGAGGGAGAGTCTCAGATGACACCTTCAATGATTTATAGTCACATAGAAGTATGTCAGAGGTGTGATTATCTGTCACACATATCACAGAAGAAAAAGGGGCAGAGCAATACAGAAAACTACTGTATTTGAATGAAAAGAAAATGCATGGATTTGGGAGTCGTCTAGGTCTGGGCTTAAATTCTGGTTTCTCTATTATTTGTGTTACCTCCTTTAGGAGTTTCCTTAATTTTGCTGAGACCTAGTTTCTTCATCTATAAAATGGAGTTGATATATCTACCTTGTAGGGTTGAAGAGGATTAAATGGGATGGTTCATGTAAGTAACCAGATACAGTGACTGGCACACAATAAGCTTCAACAGTTACTAGTTTCCTTCTCTGAATCTCATCCCCTCTCTGTTTTTCTCTTTCTGTAGCCTTCCCCAGCCCCGTAATCTTAAAAGTATGTGACTCCATTAGTGGACTTGAGCTTCCTGTAATTCCTGATTTAAGACCAGCAACATTGGGACGTATGTAATACCCACATCAAAGCTCTCTCATGAATCTCATGGCTTAAAAACCATGGTCCACCCAGAGCCAGGTCCCATGGCTGCAATTCTTCTGGACTGCCAAGTTGATCCAGAATCTGATAGCTGTGGAGCATTCGCTATCCCCATAAGGTTGCTTACCCACAGGAGTTCTCTTGCCACTTTCCCTTCAAAGCATTCCAAGCCTCACTCTTCCCCAAACTCTAGAACTGGTAGGGACTTGACTTAATTACTGCCAGCCCTCTTCCTGAGGCTAGGAGCAAGAACCCATTGACTAATTCTCCTGATAATCATTTTCTTCCTATCCATCCCCCAGTTATTGGTCACCACCTAGATTACCTCATTTGCCCCCTTCTCTTATCTGAGTGAATACTAGTACTGAGAATTGATCGATCCAATTATTAGACAAATTGAATAGTACTAGACATGGTTTTAGGAGCTGGGGACACTGCTGTAAACAAACCAAAAGAGCTTGTGCTCTCATGTTGATATTACACTACTGGGAAAGATGGAAGATAGATAAAGAGTCAAAACAATAAGTAAGATAGATGAAAGGTTCCTTGAGGAAAATAAATGGGGTAATGCAATGGATAGGGGAGGTAGTGTTTGAAGCAAGACCTGAGTGAAGGGAAGAAGCTGGCTTTGCAAAAGTCTGATGTCTGAGCCTTCCTTACAGAAGTTAGAGTTCCCCAGGCTTGCAGGTCTAGGTCTGGCTACCTAGCCAGGTAATTTTTCCAGAACTTTTGTTTACCTCTGGTGAGCCGTTCTTTGTGTGGCCAAGGCTCTCAATATCCCCTCCCACTTCCAAGTCTCAGAGGTTATAGCATATTTTCAGCACTTCTTATACTTAGAACAGATCTACAAAAACCTAGATCCTCAAGATTCTTCATTCATTAATCCATTCATTAAAACAGTGATTGAATATCCACAGTATTATAAGCAACATAATGGGTGGTGTGGGATACAAAGTTAAGTAAGAAATGAACCTTGCCTTCAAGGAAATGGCACTGAAAGTTGACTGCCATTGCAAGTTGCATTGGAAAATGGGGCAGAGATAATGTTGGAAAGGTTAGCAGTGGCTAAAGTGTGTATGTGAGCTTAGGGGGTAGGGACTTCCAACCAAGCTAAGGAAATTGAAATGGGATCTACTGAGGGTCTTAATTCACAATAAATGATGGTCAGATAGGACAATAGTAAAACAGAACAGGGAGAGTTAGCGAGGGTCTGAACTAAGTCAGAGGCAGTGGAGATGGCAAAGAAGGGACAGATACGAAAGTTTTAAAGAAGTAGAATACATGGATATTCTTAAATATCTGACACTCTAATGAGGAATATATTGCTGTACGTTTTTACTCACCCTTGACTGAACATAGTTTGAAGTTGCTGGAGCAAACAGTTTGATAATACAGTGAGACACAGAGATGGAATGATAGATGAGAAGATGAGACTGGGTCGTGTTGGGCAGGGATAAGAAATGCTTGGCCTTGGGCTTTTGCTCTCAGATACCAAAGTCATGGCAGCAATCCCCAATCAATCACAACACATCTTCTCATTGAATTCAGATGTAGCTTTAGATCCTTTTTCAACACAAAGCTCCAGGCAGAAAGGACAAAAATCCATCAGGGCTGGTGCACTAATTAAAACCTACTTGCCAGTTTTGGTGCTAGGCTTTGAATGCCCTAAGACAGAGTTTGATCATTATTCAACAGGAAGCCACTGATGGCTTTTGAGGGGGAAGACTGAAGAATAGAGGACATTATATTTGGTAGAAATGTGAAAATGAGGCTGAAGGAGCAAGCAACTGGAGGCAGGCAGATGAGTCAGAGCATTACTTCATGGCTGAAAACATTAGCAAAGCAGACTAGAATATGATTGCAGTTGTGTTATAGTTTGAATGTGTCTCCTTCAAAATTTAGGTGTTGCCAAGTTGATGGTATTCAGAGGTGGGGTCCTTAAGAGGTGATTAGGCCAGGAGGGCTCCTCCCTCATTTATGGGATTAAGGCCCTTATACTAGCATTATATTAGCTTGCCCTTTTGCCTTCTGTCATGTGAGGACACAGAAAGAAGACCCTCACCAGACACCAAATGCTGGCACCTAGATCTTGTGCTTCCAAGCCTCCAGACCTATATGAAATAAATGTGTTCTCTATAACCTACCCAGTCTGTAGTATTCAGTTATAGCAGCAATAACAGACTTAGACAAGGTGGCTCTGGATTTTCCTCCCAATGAGCATGTCTAACTCAACCTGCCTGCAGTTCAGAATCAGAAGGCTTCAGTGTTTTTGTGTGTTTGTTTTTGTTTTAATTTTATTTATTTTTAGCCATGAAGTCTCACTCTGTTGCCCAGGCTAGAATACAATGGTGTAATCACAGCTCATTGGAGCCTCCAATCCTGGGCTCAAGCAATCCTCCTGCCTCAGCCTCCTGAGTAGCCAGGACTACAGGCATAGCTACTCAGGGTAGCACCACCAAGCCTGGCTAATTTTTTTGTTCTTATTTTTTTTGTAGAGATGAGGTCGTACTATGTTGCCCAAGCTGGTCTCGAACTCCTGGCCTCAAGTGATCCTCCCACTGCAGTCTCTCAGCTGCGATTACAAGCCTGAGTCACTGCGCCCAGCAAGATAACCTTGTTTAAGAGGACACCCATGGCAGAGAGGTCATCCCTAGGAGTATAATGGGTTCTATACCAGAAATCTGGAGGCATTTACTCCAGTTGTGAGTCAAGGATGAATTATTCACCTTATTCGTGCCTGTTTCCTAATTTGGAAAATAGGAGTGTTGAAATAGATATTCTCTAAATGCCCCATTTGATTCTAATTGTCTCTGATTCTTTAAGTATCACTGAAACACTGCAGTGTGAGCGGCCATTGGCCATAATTAAGAGAAGTAAGCACCTTTAGTGATGAAGTAAGATCCCTAAAGATGAATAGAACCTGAAGGTTCTGATAATCATTTTACATTTAACAATTCCAATTTAGCTCAAAACATCTGGCCATGAACTGAGAATTTTGCTAAGATCCCAAAATATCTGGGGTTATTCCAGGGCATTGAAATAATAATTTATATTCTTCATAAACAGCCTGTCCTTAGAGTGTACCATGCATCTCCTTACTTCACTGAAGTCAGGAAGTGTTTGCCATAGGGACTTCCAACCTGATAAATGATGAGGCCTTAAACAATTTTCCAACTCTTTGGGAGCTTGCAAAGCAGCCTGTGTTTCATCCTTGCTCCACCACGACAACCAAATCAGCACCATATGGTGGATGAGATCCAGATTATAGAACAGAGGGTCTGCCTTCAAGGACATCTGGAAGTCCTTTAACACATGGACCCTAAGTGACTTGAATGGATCGTTTATAGTTGGTCTTGGGCTGTGTGCTGAAGATACCATTGCTGTACTTTGTCCGGTATGCAACAGGCCTATTTAGTTAATAAGAGGCCTTTCATGCCCAAATAACACTTTTATTTTATTATCATTTCTATTTCTTGGAGAGTTTGGCTTTCTCTAGAATGCATGATCTTTATGGGGTAAATGGCTCTGAACCCCAAAAACTCAGGACCAAATGGTGCTAAGTATTATGGTTGCAATAGCCCAGCAAAGAAATGGGCGTTGGTTCCATGGTATCTAGAATCATTGATAATTATTGGGGTTTACTACCTTAAGGAGGGAGTGAATTAGGGAGTACCTAAAAAGGGCCTGGGCACCAGGAAATATAATTTAGTGTTCAAGGTTTTGTGAAAATCAGAACCCGGTACATTGACTTGATGAGCATTATCTTTCTTTGGTATGGCCCACTTTACTTTGCTTTCCAAAATTTTAAAGAGCACCTGATATTTTAGTGATACATTGCCCAATGCATCATTAAATATCCATAAGGATATCTTTCATACATGTGTGCACACACACACAGAGAGACCAAAATTCATAACTTTTATAAAAATAAAGACCATAAAACGGTGAAACCCCGTCTCTACTAAAAATACAAAAAATTAGCCGGGCGTGGTGGCGGCGCCTGTAGTCCCAGCTACTTGGGAGGCTGAGGCAGGAGAATGGCGTGAACCCGGGAGGCGGAGCTTGCAGTGAGCCGAGATCCCGCCACTGCACTCCAGCCTGGGCGACAGAGCGAGACTCCGTCTCAAAAAAAAAATAAAAAAAAAAAAATTTAAAAAAAAAAATAAAGACCAAAAAGCTACATTTGTCCAGAACACAAGAAAACTCACCACTACCAGAACTTAAAAAATTAATGTAACTGTTAGTTATCTTCTTTCAGTGTATATCATTTCTGTGCTGAAGACACAGCAGAAAATAAAGCAGATGAAAAATATTTATTAATTACAGCAGTATGGTGAATAACGGCCTCCAAGGCATCAGGTCCTAATCAACTGGAGCCTATAAATGTTACCTTTTACGGAAAAAGGGTCTTTGCAGATGTGATTATGTTGAGGATCTTGAGATTCGAAGATCATCCTGGATTATCTGGATGTAGTCACAGGTGTTTTTATACAGGGGGAAGCCAGATGGGGATCTGCCACAGAAGAATAAAAGAAAATACTGTGACCACAGAGGCAGGGATTGGAGAGTGACGCAGCCATACACCAAGAAGGGCTGGCGGCCACCAAAAGCTGAAAAGGCAAGGAATGGATTGTACTCTGGAGCCTCCCTGGGGAGCACCCCCCTACTTGATATCACCTTGATTTTATCCCTGTGAAATGGATTTCAGACTTCTGGCCTCCAGAAATGTGAGAGAATAAATTTCTGTCGTTTTAAGTCACTGAGTTTGTGGAAATTTGTGATAACAGCCCTAGGAAACCAACATAGGTAAAGAAGAAGGTTGGTATCTAATGAGAAGTTGTTTTAAGCTGAGGCATTTTTCCTCTGGGGGCATGCAAACACTTCCCAAGAGGTATGTAGCCAAGGAGAATTTAAGTGACGCAAACTGCATATTCCCAATGTCCTTGGACTCCTTCCTGAAATGAAGCTGCCTAAAAATGTACCGTGTCGGGTGGTTTCTTTTATCACTGCTCCTTTTAGTGTCACTTTCTCCCATTTTATAAAAGAAAGATATGTCTCTCATTCATCCCAAATCTTACTGTGATGCAGTACCCCAGGGTGTAAAATGTCTCGAGGGCAGATCATTCAAAAGGTTGGTGTCTGCAAAACTTCTTTTAATCAAGGCCCCAGAAACTCATGCAGGGTTTCGAGTCATTCTCATGCTATAATATTTCTATTAAAGTCAAAGCACGGTATTGTGAACTATGTTGAGATATCTGAATTCAGACATACTATAGATTGGGGCAGCAGGAGACATGGCGATTGTTGTTTAATGACTTCACCTCTTCTATCCTCTGACAAGTTCAATGCATACATCACTCCTTAGGGAATCTGGTGAAAGCAAAGAAAAGAAATTGTCAGGATGACATACTAAAGGCAGTGGAATCTTAGTTTTAACAAAGCCACAAACTCAGGGCAGGGATCCATGTCTTACCTCTGTCTATCTGTCATAATATTAGGGTAGTCAGAATTTGCACACGCACACATGCCCACATCAGGGAGAACACCAACCTGGCACAAGCACATCCCCTCTGCGTGGCTACCATTCTCAGGAAAAACAAAGAGCTTAGTGAGGGCACATTTTGTGTCACTTCAAGGAAAAGGAAGTGAAAACATTCAAGATTTCTTTCAAAGGATCAATGTTACAACTTTGAGTGTAAGAGTAGATTAGAAGTAAGATACAATTTTATATTTTCTTGATTATTGAGTAAATCCTTGTGTAAATACTCAGGCTCCACAAGAGAAATAACTGCATTCACTTCAGATAGTAGGTCATGAGCTACTGTAAATCTATATTTACTTTTTACTTGGTGAAGAGTCTCCTGCTGACTGCTTTTCACCATCTGCTTATTCATCCACTTTGACCACGTACTTCTCAGATTTGTATTTGTTTCTTTGGTATGTTACATAGCACTTTACAGCAACCACGAATATGTCAGTTGTAAGCTCCTCATTCACTAGCTTACTAGTGACCCCAAATCTTCCCTTCTTTATCTGCATATTATTTCCACAAGCACAGTAAACTCCCACTTGAAAAAGAGACTATCCATTAATGTATATATATAAAGACAAAATATTCCAGTATGCAATGTAAATGATACATCTAGTGATGTCCTAACGTTTAGAAAATGCCTTTATTTAATTTGAATTACTTGCTCCTTCTCAAATTTTAAATATTATTCTAATTCTATGAAATTGTTTTCAAGCATAACATAAAATTATGTGTGTATATATATAAATGTATATGTACATACATCATATATTATATAATATATAAAATTTGTATACATGTTATATATAATTTTTATGTGTATTATATATATAAATTCTCAAGTATCTGGCTATTATTTGTAAAGGCATTTTGAGATGATAGAGAGAATTAAACTTTGAGATGAATAAATAAGTAGTTGTTCACTTATTTATTTAGCTTCTTGAGGAAATACTAAAAGGCATGATTTCAATTTTTGTAGGGATGTTCAAACTGAGCTCCATCTAATTTTAACTTTTTTAAAAAGTGCCTATAAATGAAAAGCAAGTAAAATTAGTATCATTTCAATAGCCTCAGTAAAGATTTCTTGGTGTACCTCCCTGAAAATAAGAAGATGAATGGCAAAGACTGGGTTAACAAATTGTTTTAAATCAGAAAATTTTATTTTTCATGGTTAACAATTATTTACCAAATTTGCAGCATGTTTATATTGTTTAATTAATTACTTTCTGACTATGATGATAACGTAATATTTGAAGCCTTGTAGTCAAAGGAAAACAAATAATTTAAATATATGTTCTATAGAGAGGTATGACAAGACAACTGATAAAATCTTCATTTATAAATATATATAATACTACTCTGACTCCCAGTTTCCAATTGGGATGCAAGGAGCATGGAAATTGTCACTTTATTCTAAAAATAAGTAAAAACTGAGCAAACAGAAAAATTGACAACTTTTCTTAGATTCATCAGAGTGAGATCACAGGGCATGCCCCAAAGTTGGAAAGAGACAGGAGGATGCAGAGAATCACAGCTCACCAGAGGAGAAACTCACAAGCAGAAATCTGCTCCAGAAACAGTGCCTAGATAGGAAAACTTATACTGTAACTGAAGAACCTCTGAAGGCTCAGTATGGACATGTCTGAGAGTTTAGGAATCCAGAGGACCCAGTCATCAAGAAGCCCACAAACTTTCGTGATTATTACCTACAAGAATTCACTGAATTGAATTGAATTCACTGAATTCAATGAACTGATTCAATTCACTGATGTAAACAATCACAAAAAATCCCTTGGTGCTTCAATCAGGGGGAGGGTAAAAGAAGCCATTTTGAAATGTGCCAGAGCATTCAGTTCTTAACAATGTCTGCCCCTAGGAGAAACTAGCCAGAGCCTAACCTTCTGGGTTTTATCAGAGGCTAGCTGACCTAGAGGAGGGGAAATACCCAATGTCAGCCCACTCTAGCCATTCTGTCCCATGTGGGAGGGAAGGGAAGACGAGAAGCACTTGTGAAGTTCACAATCCAGAGGCACAAGCTTACTCAACACTGAGACCTAACCATGGGAATACAGAACGCTCTCCCTCCCTCACACAGTATATCATCTTCGACCATCAAAACAAATGACAAGGCATACTAAAAGGCAAAAACAAACAAACAAACAAAAACAAAAAACAAACCACACACACACAGTTTGAAGACACAGAGCAAGCATCAAAATCAGACACAGATACGTCAGGGATGTTGGAATTATCAAACCTGGAACTTAAAACAACTATGATTCATATGTTAAGCATTATATTGGAGAAAGCAGGCAGCATTCAAGAAAAAAATGAACAAAATTGCATCACCATTTGCATTAACAGCACTGAAAATTCAATATGTAATGAACATTTTAAAATTTAAAATGAAATATAAATCTAACAAAATATAATCAGAATCTATAGGAGGGAAACTATAAAATTCTGATGAAAGAAATCAAAGAACTAAATAAATGGAGATATAGTCTGCGTTCACATATCTCAATATTATCAAAATGTCACTTCTTCCCAATTTGGTCTACAGATTCAATTTAATCCCAATCAAAATTCTAGCAAGTTATTTTATGGGAATTAACAATCTGATTCTAAAATTTATATTATGGGCAAAAGATCCAGAATAAATGCAGTACTGGAAGAGAAGAAAACAAAGTTGGAGGACTGACCCTATCAGCCTTCAAGACTTACTATAAAGCTACAGTAATCAAAATAATGTGATATTGGTGAAAGAGTAGACAAATATAGAGCCCAGAAATAGACCCACATAAATATAGTCAGCTGACCTTTGACAAAAGAGTAAAGGTAATCAATGAAACAAAGACAGACTTTTCAGCAAATGGTGCAGGAATAACTGGACATCTACATGCAAAAAAAAAATGAATCCAAACACAGGCCTTATAACCTTAACAAAAATTAGCTTAGAAAGACATCATAGACCTAAATGTAAAATGAAACACTGTAAAACTAGAAGATAACATAGGAGAAATCTAGGTAACATGGGTTTGGTAATGACTTTCTAGATAAAACACCAATGGCACAATCCATGAAAGAAATAATAAACTAGACTTCATTAAAATTAAAAACTTTTGTTCTGCAAAAAGCATTATTAATAGAATTGAAAGCCAAGCCACAAACTGTGATAAAAATATTTGCAAACGACATACCTCATAAAGGACTGTTATCCAAAATATACAAATAACTCTTAAAAGTCAGTAATAAGAAAAATAAGCAATATAAATTTTAAAATGAATGAAAGATCTGAACAGACACATCACTAAAGAAGACATACAGATGCCAAATAGATTTAAAAACAAAATGCTCAACACCGTGTGTCACCAGGGAATTGCAAATTAAGACAACAATGAGATATCACCACACACCAGTTAGAATGGCCAAAATCCAAAACACAGAAAACATTAAATGTTTATGAAGATGTGGGAAACCAGAAACTCTCATTCATTGCTTATGGAAATGCAAAACTGTGCAGTCACTTTGGAAGACAGCTTGATAGTTTTGTACAAAATAAAACATACATTTATCATATGATTTCACAATCTTGTTCCTTAGCATTTACCCAAATGGGTTGAAAATTACGTCCCCACAAAAACCTGCACATGGATGTTTACAGAAACTTTCTTCATAATTTCTGAAACTTGGCAGCAACAAAATGTCCTTAAGTGGGCCGGGCACAGTGGCTCACGCCTGTAATCCCAGAACTTTGGGAAGCCGAGGCTGGCGGATCACAAAGTCAGGAGCTCGAGACCAGCCTGGCCAACATAGTGAAACCCCATCTCTACTAAAAATACAAAAAATTAGCCAGGCTTGGTGGCAGGTGCCTGTAATCCCAGCTACTTGGGGGGCTGAGGCAGGAGAATCGCTTGAACCTGGGAGGCAGAGGTTGTAGTGAGCCGAGATGGCACCACCGCACTCCAGCCTGGATGACAGTGCGAGATTCCGTCTCAAAAAATAAATAAATAAATAAATAAATAAATAAATAAATAAATAAATAAATAAAAAGTCCTTAAGTGAATGGATAAACTGGTACATCCAGACAATGAAATATTATTCAGCACTAAAAATAAGTGAGCTACCAAGCCATGAAAAGACATGGAAGAGCCTTAGAGGCATGTTACTAAGTGAAAGAAGCCAACCCGAAGTCTAAGTGCTGTACAATTTCAACTATATGACATTCTGGTAAGAGCGAAACCATGAAGACGGTAAAAAATTAGTGGTTTCCAGAGAGTAGGAGGAGGGAGGTATGAATAGGAAGGGCACAAAGGATTTTTGAGACAGTGAAACTATTCTGCATGGTCTATAATGGTGGATGTATGTCATCATACGTTTTTCAAAATCCATAGGATATACAACACCAAGAGTGAACCCTAATGTAAGCTATGGACTTTGGATGATGAAATATCAATGTAGGTTCATCAATTGTAACAGCTGTTCCACTCTGGTGTTTATGTTGGTAGTGGTGTAGGCTATGCCTGTGTTGGGGCAGGAAGTATAATGTGTTTCTGCTCAGTTTTCCTGTGCACCTAAAACTGCTCTAAAAAATAGTCTATTAAAAAATTAACCCAAAATAACAACAAAAAGCCTGCTAGGATATTAAACATGGTACATCTAATCATTTTTTTAGGCCTTTTATTTTCCTTTACAATGTTATATACATTCTAATATATAAGGTCATGAACATCATTGATTTAGTTGGCTCCTAAATATTTTATCTTTGGATGCTACTGTAGTGAAATTTTGTTTCAATTTCTAATAGTTAATTGCTAGTATAGAGATATACAGTTGATTCTTGTATTTTTGACTTGGTGTAACTGTGCTAAACTTCTTATTAATTCTGGTAACTTTTTGTTCATTTGTGGATTTTTATATATACCAACAAGGCATTTACAAATAAAGACAGCTTTACTTCCTTCCACTCTGAATGCCATTTATTTATTTCTTCTTGCCTTATTGCATTGAATAGAACTTCACAATTTTGAATAGGTGTGGGGAGAGGAGACATCCCTGCCTTGCTCCTGTAGAAAGCATTGAGCTTTCATCACTGAGTATCATCTTAGTTTCTCGGGTTGAGAAAGCTTTCTCTCTTAATAATTTACTGATGGCTTTCATTAAAAATAAACGTTGAATTTTGTCAAATATTTTTTCTGCATCTATTGACATAATCATGTGGCTTATTTTGCTTGTTTACTATGTTGAAATATATTGATTGACTTTCAGATGTTAAATCAACCCTTTATTACCAGGATAAACACATCTTGGTCATGATGTACTTTTTTTTTATATTGTTGAACTTGATTTGCTGAAACTTTGGTAAGAATTTTTAATCTAATTTTATAAAAGATATAGGTCTGTAGTTTTATTTCATTGTAATCCTATTCTGATTTGTATGTCAGAGTAGTATAGGCCTTATAGAATTAGTTAGGAATTTTTCTGTATTTTCTGAATGTTTGTGTGAAATTGGTACTATTTCTTTCTTAAATGTTTATGTAACTCACCAGACAAGCCATCTGGAACTGAAGGTTGTTTGTGGGAAGTTTTTTTTTTTTTTTATCCTCAATTAAATTTATTTTATTTATATAGAGCTTTCTAACTTTTCTATTTTTTTTTTCTTTTGAAACAGGATCTTACTCTGTCTCCCAGGCTGGAGTTGAGTGGCACGATCATGGCTCACTGCAGCCTCAACTTCCAGGGCTCAATTGATCCTCCTGCCTCAGCCTTTTGAGTAGCTGGGGCTGCAAATGTGTACCACAACACCCAGCTAATTTAGTTTATTTTTTGTAGAGACAGTGTCTCACTATGTTGCCCAGGCTGGTCTCGAACTCCTGGGCTCAAGCAATCAATCTGCCTCAGCCTCCCAAAGCCCTGGGATTATAGGCATAACCTACCACACCTGGACTTGCTTTTCTATTTCTTTTTGAGTAAGTTTTGGTAATTTGATTTCAAGAACTCTGAATAAAGCATCTTATCGCATAGAACAGAAAAACAGAAGACAGCAGGACCAACTGTTATTATTATGTCCCAAATAAAATGAAATTTGAAAATACACTTCTTACGTTTTCAGATTTCTCTCCATTACTTCATGGCATATGTTATATACTTCATGGCATGGCATATCTCATTAAGAAATGAGTTCCAGAACCTCCTCCTCTTCAGTTCACTCTTCGAGCCCAGCTCTGATTGTTTTTCCTTCTGCATCCCACTGTCATTTCAGCCACTCTCAGCAATATCTTCAACACCCTTGTGCTGTGATTCTGTTCCATTGGCCCTGCGAAATCCACACACCATGGATCAACTTAACTTTTCACTTTCTCTGCTCTTGCTTCCAGGCTGCTAAATAACAGTGAAGGAAATTATACAACCTCATGAAACAGTATGACCTCAAATCCATGATTTCTGCCTTCTCTTGAGTTTTCAGCAATCTGTGACAATTTGTCCGTTTTTCTTTCATCAGATCTACCTCTTGGCCAGGCACGGTGGCTCACACCTGTAACCCCAGCTACTCGGGAGGCTGAGGCAGGAGAATTGCTTGAGCCCTGGAGGCGGAGGTTGCGGTGAGCCCAGATCGCGCGATTGCACTCCAACCTGGGCAACAAGAGCGAAACTCCATCTCAAACAAAACAAAACAAAACAAAACAAAACAAAACAAAAATCTACCACTTATTTTTCAGGGTGACTATTTCAAACTTCTACCACTGAAAATCTGTACATTATCATATCCCTTCTTCTTTTCAACAGACAACTGGCCTTCTATTTTATGGTAAAATAGAAGTCACAAGACAGAAGGAAATACTTTCTCCTTTGCTGCCACCTCAAGCTTCCCGGTGTTTCTAAAGGGTCGTGTTCACCTTCCTAATTAGGACGATGGAAGAAGCATCTCTCTTCTTGCATAAAACTAATCCCTCCCCTTATGATCTAGATCCTATTTTCAACAGCTCCTCCAGGGATTTAATTTCATAAATGATCTACTTTCTCACCTGAGGTTTCAACACTGTTCTATACTGGGGCTTTTCCCATCAGTATTTAAAGGTGCTTAATTCTCTTCCCGCACCCTCTACCCCAAATTATTTTTCTTTTTATGTATCTCATCCTATCTCATTCTCATGTCACACCCTCTTCACAGACACACTCATGGGAAGAGTCGCTTGCAGTAGCTCCATACAGCCAGGAGCGCTCAGTACTCTGAAGTTTGGCAGGCTCGTTTCCACTGAAACCCCCTGATTCACCACTGCCAATGGACTTGTGGCAAAATCCAGGGGCACTTTTGTGTCATACTCGACAAAGGGCATCAGAAAGATTAAATTGATGAAAATGTTGAATCAGACAAATGGCACCCCTAGAAGCAGGAGTCCCCAAATTAGTATTAAACCAAGTGAAATTCTGAGCAAAAGCTATAAAATGGGAAAAGGAGAGTCAATTTAAACTCATAAACTTTAAAATTAACAGATACTTGATGTGATGGATATGCAAATTACCCTGATTTGATCATTATACATTGTATACATGTAGCAAAGTATCATACCCTACTCCATAAATACGTACAATTATTAGGTGTCAGTTAAAAATAATAATAAAAGCAGAAAATATTAACAGAGAAGTTAGTTGATTTGAATCTTTATGAAGAAAATGGCATATATTGAAATGTATAAAGGAAAAATTGCTTGAATGTTTGGAAACACTGACAAAACACTGAAGTGAAAAGCTGTAATTAAACTCTCTAAGTCATTGTAAGATTAAGTAGTACCCTTAAAAAGTTTACAAAAGATATGAGTTATATAATTAGTAAGTATGAGTAGGGAGATGGCTAGATTCAGCTTTTTTATTGCTTTAATTAGCATTATTCATCATATTTTAGACCAAATAAAGTAAATAAAAGTTAAAGATATTATTTATCTTTAATAAAGCTTTAAATTGTTTCATTATAAACTAGAAAGAATGAAAATCAATGACCTAAGCATACAACACAGGAAATTTACAGAAAGGAAACAGGTAAGTATTAGAGAATACTAATAAAGATAAAGGAAAAATGTAATGCACTGGAAATAAAAGATGGATTGATTAATAAGTCCAAGAGCTGATTTACTGACAGTAAAGTGGACAGAGCTCTAAGTCAGCTTAACTCCAAAACAAAAAAAAATCATAAAGGAGATAGGGCATGTAACCAAGATATAAAAGAAAATTTTAATATAAAACACTACGTACAAATCTACTAATGTGATATTTCAATGAAATGAGATTTTTCCAGCAAAAACTAAGGTTCCAAACTTGACACAAGGTTGAAAACAGAAATAGCTGCCAAAAGAGTCGTTAATGATTTTAAGGAACCCCAAATAAACCTGGACTGAGGAATTTTACTGGTGAGTCCTAGCTAATATCAAGAGACAGATAGTTCATATGGCATTGCAATTGTTCCAAAGCAAGTAAATGGACAGAGAATTGGCAGAATCCTGATAACAGAATCTGAAAAACATTGCCTTAAAAACAAACAAACAAAAAACTTAGACAAATATTTAGTTATGAATATACAAGAAAACTGGTAAGGAAAATATCAGCAAAACAAACCTAGCCACATATTAAATAAATCACATAGTCTTAGACAAGGGTATAAAGAAAATCAATCAATCAATCACATACATTGAAGACAGCACAATAGTCTTTCTCCAGAATTGTGAAAATGAATCAGTCTTTTTTAAAAACTATGAACATAATTAATTATATCAATGAATCTAAAAAGATTTTCTAAAGCATATGCAGTTTTCCCTTTTCCACGGTTTTGCTTTTCTCAGTTTCAGTTACTCACAGTCCAAATATATTAAGTGGAAAATTTCAGAAATAAGCAATTCATAAGTTTTAAAGTCGGTGCTGTTCTGAGTAGCATAATGAAATTTCTTGCTATCCAGTCTATTCCACACAGGACATGAATCATCCCTTTTTCCAGTGTATCCAGGTGTATTAGTTTGTTTCACTCTGCCCTAAAGAGCTACCTGAGATTGGGTAATTTATTAAAAAAAAAAAAAAAAAAAAAAAGAGGTTTCATTGACTCACAGTTCCACTTGGCTGTGGAGGCCTCAGGAAACTTACAATCATGGCTGAAGGTGAAGGGGAAGCAAGACACATCTCATTTGGTGGCAGGAGAGAGGTGAGGGGGAAGTGCCACACACTTTTAAACCATCAGATCTCAGGAGAACTCACTCACTATCATGGGAACAGCAAGGGGGAAATCCACCCCTCATGATTCAATCACCTCTCACCAGTTACCTCCCCTGGATTACAATTTGAGATGAGATTTGGGTGGGAAAACAGAGCTAACCCATATCACCACGTAAGGGGAAGTATAGTATAGAAAGATATTTTGAAAGAGAGACCAGATTCACAGAACTTTTATTATAGTATAATGCTTCTACTCTACTATTAGTTATTATTAATAATCTCTACTGTGTGCAATTTTAAATTAAACTTTATCACAGGTATGAAGGTATAAAAAACCGTAATAAACATAGAGTCCAGTACTATCGTATAAAAAAACCGTAATACACATAGAGTCCAGTACCATCCTCAGTTTCAGACCAGAGGTCTTAGAAACTATCCACTGTGGGTAAGTGAAGATAGTCATTTTCTTAGATGTTAAAAAAAGTTTCTAAATAAAAAGGTGCTGTTAACTTCTTTACAATCATGGTTTTTTGTAAAATAAGAATAAAATATATTAAATTAATGTGAAACCATATATCTATCCGAAACCAACAGCAAAGACCATTCTTTTTTTTTTTTTTTTTTTTTTTAGACGGAGTCTCACTCTGTCGCCCGGCTGGAGTGCAGTGGCACATTCTCGGCTCACTGCAACCTCCGCCTTCTGGATTCAAGCAATTCTCCTGCCTCAGCCTCCCGAGTAGCTGGGACTACAGGAGCCCGCCACCACGCCCGGCTAATTTTTTTTGTATTTTTAGTAGAGACAGGGTTTCACCACGTCAGCCAGACTGCTGTCAAACTTCTGACCTCAGGTGATCCTCCCGTCTCGGCCTCCCAGAGATCATTCTTAACCCTGGAAGTCTAGAGACCTTCTTATTAAAATCAGAAGCTGGGCATAGTGGCTCACACCTGTAACAGAAGACCCAGAAACTGAGGCAGAAGGATCCCTTGAGGACAAAAGTTAGAGACCAGCCTGAGCAACATACTAAGACTCCATTTCTAAAAAAAAAAAATTTAATTAGGCACGAAAGTGCATTCCTGTAGTCCCAGCTGCTCGGGAAGTTGAAATAGCAGAATCACTTGAGCCCAGGAGTTTGAGGCTGCAGGAAGTTATGATCACACTACTGCACTCCAGCCTGAATAATAGCATGAGACCACATTTCTAAAAATCTAAAAAGAGAAAATCAGGAATGACATGAATATCAGCACCACTGTTATTAAATTTGGAAGTCCTTGCAAACACAATCAGAAAGGAAATGTTTGTGTGTGTGTGTAAAGATGTGCATATATGTGTATATGTATATACACACATATTCATGTTCTTAAAAAGGCTGGATAGCAAGCAGGATAAGAATCAAATTGCCTCAGTAAAGTTTTTGCTCTTAAATTTATAAACCATGTACCTTTCAACAAACTTCTCATGCTGCCTTCATTTCTTCATCCAAAATTAAAGGAAATAACAATTGTACCTACTTTATACAAAGCTGTAAAGCTTAAAACAAAGATAATATGAGTAAAAGCTTAGAAGGCTTTCTGGCACAGAATAAATGCCAAACAAATCCTTACTCACTATAAAATATCTGCCATTAATATAGAAAAGGCCCTTAAAACTTGGTAACAAAAATTAAATATCCCAGTAGAAAAGGAGAGAAGACTTGAGCTAGTAGTTCCCATGAATTACTAACTAGTAAAGTAATATTAATAATGAATGAAGATGTAATGGTTTATTCAACACAATAAGTAATAAAACAATTATAAATAAAAATAATAAAATGACTTTTTAATTTGAATCATATGAAACATTTATATAAGAGAAAGAAGCAATAATAATTGCTTCTTTGGAGGTTAATTTCTCAGAATATACTTTATAAAACTTAAAAGTTTGCCTCCTTAATTTAGAAAATCCACTTTAAGTACTTCATCCAAATAAAAAACTAAAATCATGCACACAGTTTTAGCTGTGAGAATTCATAACAACACTGTTCATGACAGAAGAAATTCCATTAATTGAACTGTCCAAAAAACATCAGAGGACCTTCAGAAATGAAGTACTATGCTGCCCTCACAAATAAGGCTGTGGAAGTACATTTATTGTGTGGGAAGATTTTCAAATATATTATAAATCTTAAAATGCAGATTAGGAAATGATAGCAGAATGATCTTTGTAAAGAAACACACATATATACACAGGAGCAGAGACGTAGGTGCCAAGATACAAACCAAGCCACCTGGTTGCATAAAATTACAGGTATTATTTATTTGTTCTCTTGGTGAATTTGTATTTTTATTTGGTGACCATGCACTGCTTTTGTGCATAAGGTTAAAAAAAAAAGAAAAAGAAAAAAGCAGTGGGAGGTGGCAGCCAGGCAACAGAACTCCAGAACTCAAAGAAATAATTTCTATGAGGAGCTTAGCTAATGTGGCCAAGGTACATTTTAAAGAACAAGCTGAAGGGAATGCAGGGGGCCCCCCATTCACCAGACCACACAGGAAGTTCAAATATTATGAAACCCAATTTAATAAGCATTGCTGCCCCAATAAAACCTACAGCCACAGACACCAGGACTCCCTGCTGCGTGCCAGAGCAGTGCATGTATCAGCATTGGACTCAATAACTGACTCAATGCATTCTCCCCTCTCTATGTTCCTACAGTTGCTCAAAATGTATCCCTCACCAACTTCCATTTTTTCCCAGTTTGGGAAAGAGTATTGCTTTCTTTTTAATTTTATTCTGATGTTCATTTTCTTCATGTGTTTATTTGGACTCTAAGTTGGGGTAGGTGGGAGGCTGGAAGATAGAGAATTCCAACAGAGTTCCCTAAGTAATGCTATTCCAATTTAACTTACATTTTATGATACCAACCATTAGTTGTAGTTATTTAATTTCACAGATTGGACTCCTCAAACTTGTATAAATATTTAAGTAAATAAATAAAGACTGCTATCATCCTTTTAATGTTAAATGTTTCTCCACAGAAGCAAGAGGTCTTAAGATATGTATGGGAAATGTCAGTAATCGTATTTCCAAGAGGGGAAAAAGGAGTTAAACATGACTTCAAGATTTCCTCCTGTCAAGGCGGCATGGTGGTATCATTAACACATAGAGGGATTGGAAGTGAAAAGTAGATTGCAGAAAAAAGATGAATTTAGTTCAGTTGAGGAGAGTGAAGTGGTGGGACTTCTGCATGGATTTATAAGAAAATCAGTTGGAAATGCAAATGGGAACAAAAGAGAAGGACCAAGACCTTCCACTGGGTTGAGTTTATATTCTGTATAAATGCACAGAAGTTTATAAAACTCTCAAAACAATGCACAGGAGAAAAGACCTAGAAGCAAAAGTTGAGCACTGAAAAAAGTCCAGGTCTGGGTATTAAAGGAGAAAGAAGATTCAGAGGCAAGAGGTAGCATGGTCAGAGAAGAGAAAAGTAGACTGAAACAGTGCCCTAGATTCACAATTGTTAGCGGAGAACACACAAGTTAATGTTCTCTGGTCAAATCTCTAAGTGAAACAGTGGGTTAACCTAGTTAAGAAGCTTTATTTACTGCAGGTCTTTATGGAGCCTTTGATATATAGATTTGCCTTATGGGACTTTAGACTATGTTGTGACATTTCCCCAACTTACACAACCAGAGACTTATGTAGAGTTACCCCTACTTACTTCTAAGTAAGATACTTGCCTATCTAGAGTTACCCCTACTTACTTCTCAAAGAAGGAGCACCAGTGTTCCTAGATACTTAGAGTCTGGGAAACACTGATGTAAAGGTATGGCAACAAAAGGAGGAAAGGATCTTAAGAAGTTATGAATGGTTATCATATAATCCTGCACAAGAATGCATGGCTTAATTACTCAATGACATAGAAGTCTTTGCTATCCAAATGCAGCCAGAGTTGTTTGAAAGATTCGGCCCTTCTAATAGTCCAAAATCTAAAAGTTATGTCTACAATAAAAATTTGAGCCTTAAAAATACTATTTGAGGGTGTAGTGGAGCAACACTAATCATAACATGGTACAATAAATGAAGTTCTCCTTTAACTTTCCTAGAGAAAGTCCATTGTGGCCAAGCCATCTAGTGATTCCTGGAATATAATAATCACATTTGTATGATGTGTTGCTGTTCCTGTGCCCTTTTTTATGCAGAGAACAAGATAAAAAGAATTTTTTTAAAAAAAGGAAGGAGAAAAATTAGGAGGAAGGAAGAATGAAAGGAAGAGAAGAGGGAAGGAGAGATGGGAAGGAAGGAAAACTAGATACCTTTTCTGAGTGTGGCCTGCCTCCAGAGAATAATTCATCCTCATTTGAGCCTTTGTGCGTTTTACAAAATCAATTGAAGAGCTGGAAACAATAGTTAAAGCTGAAAATATCAAAATACCTTGCTTTCACAGTTGTTTACTCTTAGATGCCGCTGAATTCTGATGCCAGAAGAAAACATAGAGGGAGGTGAGCTCAGCTGATAATAGAGTCTCATCTCACCTCCAGAGCCAAAAGGCTGGAGGGTTTTTCCTCCCTGCTGAAATGTGCCTCGCAAATAATTTGAAAAGAATACATTTCTCAGCACAGATAACTTAGGAAGTTCCCATTGTGGTCATGACTGGCAGAGTGCATTGATCTGAGGTAGGATATTGGCTGTCAGACTGCCACCAAGGCAAGCAGAGAACTACAGTCTGTCTTTGATATGGAAATCCAAAGGCCGAGATTCCTGCTGAATGGGCTTATACAGCCTCTGCCTCAAACAAAGCGTAGAAGCAACATCAATGAAACCCTATTCTTGTTAGTGGGAGCAGCTTGGAATCCCACTTCCTGTTAGCCAGATCCTTTTGATTCTACTGACATCTATGGGCTGACTTAGCTTTGCTGTTTCCTTTTCTTTACTTACTTAACTGTTCCAATTCTCATATTTTTTAAAGGTTTTTTAAATGTATTCATTTAAAAGACAGTAGTAAACCTACTGTCTGCTCAAACATGGTGCTCCAAGGGATGCCTGCCTTTCTGCCCCCCAGAGATAATGAGGAGAAAAAAATTCTCCTATCAAAAGCCACTGTCCCCTACCCTCCAGTTCAACCCAAGTTTAGGCACTTCCTGCATTGGTTTTTCCACAAGAATCTCATTCTCCACCCGGCTTTGATTCAGACACATAAAGGGAAATAGTTTATATGTATAAAGTATTACTGTCATGCAGAGAGTATGTCATTTTGGAATATACTATCATCAGTATACTATACATTATCTACTTATTATCCAAGGTTTACTTAGTGCTCATTATATCATCAACAGAATAGTTAAGATGGGCAAGTTCTTTTGAGGGGGGCAACTGCCACAACTCTTGAAGTAAATCTGGAGAATTTTTCCAAAAGTTGACAGAGGTTAATTCTGCTCTAAATTTTCCATTTTGAAGCATATGGCCATTTCATTATCTCATCTCTTTTAATCCCAAGTCCACCATCCATCTCTGTTTCTTTCTTTATATTTTGTCCCCACTGGCTCTATTTTTAACAATTTGTCTCCAATCCATTTTTTGTTCCCACTGATTCAATTTGTAACTTTTGTCTCCAATCAGCTTCACCCATTTTGTTCCCTTCTTCATTCTTTGTTCTCCCTTGCTCCATTTGTAACAAGGTCTCCACTCAATTTCACCAACTCATTATCAACTCAGACTGCACATGTATTAGTCTATTCTCACACTGCGAATAAAGACATATCTGAGACTGGATAATTTATAAAGGAAAGAGGTTTAATTGACTCACAGTTCAGCATGGCTGAAGGAGGCCTCAGGAAACTTATGATCATAGCAGAAGGGGAAGCAATCATGTCCTTCTTCACGTGGCAGCAGGAAGGAGAAGGATGAGAGCCAAATGAATCCCCTTATGAAACCATCAGATCTTGTGAGAACTTACTCACTATCACAAGAATAGCATGGGGGAAACCACCTTCATGTTTCAATTACCTCCCATCAGGTCCCTCCCATGACATGTGGAGATTATGGGAACTACAATTCAAGATGAGATTTGGGTGGGGACACAGCCAAACCATATTATTCCACCCCTGACCCTCCCAAATCTCATGTCCTCACATTTCAAAACATAATCATGCCCTTCCAAGAATCCCCCAAAGTCCCAATTCACTCCAGCATTAACTTAAAAGTCCACGTCCAAAGTCTAATCTGAGACAAGACCTCTTCCACCTATGAGCCTGTAAAATCAAAAGCAAGTTAACTTCTTCCTAGATACAATGGGGATAGAGGCATTAAGTAAATACACCCAATCCAAATAAAAGAAATTGGCCAATACAAAGGGGCTACAGGTGCCCATGCAAGTCTGAAACCCAGTAGGGTAGTCATTAAACCTTAAAGTTCAAAAATGACCACCTTTGATTCCATATGTCACATCCAGGGCATGCTGATGCAAGAGGTGGGCTCCCATGGCCCTGGGGAGCTCTGTTCCTGTGGCTTTTCAGGGTACAACCCCACTCCTGGCTGCTTTCACATGCTAGCATTAAATATCTGCAGCTTTTTTAGGTGCATGGTGCAAGCTGTCAGTGGATCTACCATTCTGGGGTCTGGAGGATGGTGGCCCTCTTCTCACAGCTCCACTAGGCAGTGCCCCAGTGGGTACTCTGTGTGGTGGCTACTACCCACATTTCCTTTCCACACTGCACTAGCAGAGGTTCTCCATGAGGGCTTTGACTTTGCAGCAGACTTCTGCCTGGACATTCAGGCATTTCTATATGTGCTCTGAAATCTAGGCAGAGTTTCCCAAACCTCAATTCTTGACTTCTGTGCATCGGCAGGCCCAACACCACATGTAAGCCACCAAGTCTTGAGGCTTGCACCCTCTGAAGCAATGGCCTGAGCTGTACATTAGCTACTTTTAGCCATGGCTGGAGCTCAAGCAGCTGGGATGCAGGGCACCATGTCCCAAGGATGCATAGAGCAGGGGGACCTGGGCCCAGGCAACAAAACTATTTTTCCCTTCTAGGCCTTAGGGCCTGTGATGGGAGGTGGTGCCATGAAGATCTATGACATGCCTTGAAGACATTTTCCACATTGTCTTGGTGATTAACATTCGGCTCCTCATACTTATGCAAATTTCTGCAGCTGATGTAAATTTCACCCCAGAACATGGTTTTTTCTTTTCTGTCCCATCATCAGTCTGCAAATTTTCCAAACTTTTATGCTCTGTTTCCTCTTGAATGCTTTGCCACTTAGAAATTTCTTCCACCGGATACCCTAAATCATATCTCTCAAGTTCAAAGTTCCACAGATCTCTAGGGCAGGGACAAAATGTTACCTGTCTCTTTGCATAGCAAGAGGGACCTTTACTCCAGTTCCCAACAAGTTCATCTCCGTCTAAGAGGAGGAGCATTTGGTCAAAGCCATTCAACAAGTCTCTAAGAAGTTCTAAACTTTCCCACATCTTTCTTGTCTTCTGAGCCTTCCAAACTGTTCCAACCTCTGCCTGTTAGCCAGTTCCAAAGTCACTTCCACATTTTCAGGTATCTTTACAGCAGCAGCCCACTCTCTGTGGTAACAATTTCCTGTATTATTCTGTTCTTATGCTGCTAATAAAGACATACCTGAGACTGGGTAATTTATAAAGGAAAGAGGTTTAATTGACTCATAGTTCAGCATGGCTGAGAGAGGCCTCAGGAAACTTACAATCATGGCAGAAGGGAAAGCAAACACATCCTTCTTCACATAGCAGCAGGAAAGAGAAGAATAAGAGCTCAGCAAAGGGGGAAGCCCCTTTTGAAACCATCAGATCTTGTGAAAACTTACTATCATGAGACTAGCATGGGGGAAACTGTCCCCATGATTTACTTATCTCCAATTGGGTCCCTCCCACGACACATGGGGATTATGGGAACTACAATTCAAGATGAAATTTGGGTGGAGACACAACCAAACCATATCAATACAGTTATTCTCTATGATGACATCCATTTTCGCTCCAGTCTTTAGAATCAAACCAGCCTTATTTCAAAGTACACATCTGCACTGCCCAGTTACTCCCTTCCCTGACTTGAGACCTTACCGTTATTTCTGAATGCAGAATACCTCACTTGATTTTTAAAGTGCTTTGTCATGTAAACCATGAACTCCTTAGGGAAGAAGAGGATTTTCTTGCTGAATCAAACAGCCTAACTTCTTTCAACTGCACTGAGTGCAAGCACACATCTTACATTCAGGATAATGAGAAATGTAGCAAATAGCATACGTAAATATGAAGAGCAACATGTTCCAGTGCGACTTCAGCCAGTAACATCAGTGCCTACAGCTTCTGGTTCAGCCCTCACAAATAGCTAAGGACCTGCATGCCAAATGGAAAGAATTGACCCTATTCTCCTCTGGAGCAATCTGTAATTATAAGCAACAAACACAATGAAAACTAGAAGGCTGTAAGAAGACACACCCTTAGTTAAAAATCCACCTGGAAAAGAGGAACCATGGAATTCAGGCCCCATGTATTTCCTCTTCACTTGTAAGCATGATGTAGGAGAAAGAGCATGGACTCTTTGGGATCTAACAAAACTGAGTTTGAAACATGGCTCTGCCACTTAGTCCGTGGTTGAGCCTGACCAAGTTGTCTGCTTTTTGTAAGCCTTACATTCATCAGCTGGAAAATATAAAGGGCAATGATTTGAACCATAGAAATATTTATGTTTCTGACATAAGCTACACCCTTTATAGATTTTCCAAACTCGACATTATATATATCAAAATAAGGTTTTAATTTTAAAAAATTTTAAAGATCATTAGACAATAAGGGACCAAACCGTCTTGAGGACTTCAGCTACATTCCCTGAGGAGTCCTCCTCTGCCTCAAGATGTCCTGCCTCAGTGACTCCCCAGCCTGGTTCATCACCAGCTTCAAGTGGGGAGCTCTTAAAATGTGCCCTGCCCCTTGAAAATTTGATTAGGTCTAGAATTGAACCAGGATTCTGTATTTCGGTAAGTATCCTCATGGTGATGATGATCAACAAGATTTGGGAATTACCAATATCCCTATAGAACAAATTGGCAATTCCTATAAGTTTAGTGAAGACATTTGCCTTTACCCTCAAGCTGCTAAAACAAGAGAACCTTCTACACGAGACTGCTTCACATACGTTTGCGTATGTTAGGAAAAACAGACTCCAATTAAGGGTTCTCTGAGATCAGGAAGTTCCATGGAACCATATAAGGCTTTCTCCTTGTCTTCATAAGTTTGATTTCTAACCAGAGTTAAAAGCGAATTATTTTCACTCAGGTAAGTGAACTGAATGCTCAGTCCAAGTCTAGTGTCATATTAGAATCTTAGGGGAATATTGGGAGTCACTTTCATAAAGACCACATTCCAGCTTACTGCCCAAGATTCACAAGGCATCCCCTCCCAACTAAGGCCAAGGGTAGAAATAGTTGAAATGTTTGCCAATCACTTTCCAGGTGAGACTATTTTCAAAGCATAATCCAGTCCATAAAAGTTCTGGGCACCTGGTCTAGAAATCAGTCTTTCATTAAGGAAACACAAAATATCAGTGCTCCAGCTAAGTAGTGAGCCTTGGTCTTTAAGGACCTGGTTTGGATTTAAAACAGAGAAGCCAAAAAAACAGAATTCAGGACCCACGAGTATGTTTGTTACCTGCAAATTGTATTCTTTTGCCCGGTTTCACACTAGGCTTTCCATTGAAATCCCTGGAGATTAATTAGCTCTGTAATGGAAAAATACTTTTCTATTCTTTCACACCGCATTGCCTTTCTTTTCCTCCAAATACCAAATAAAGTATTAAAAGATGCTAAATCCCATAGGACAATTTTAAAATGAGGAATTGTTTTAGCCTGGAGGTTAAAGGAGGCAGCAAATGTACTCAATGTGACAATTTTCCAGCTAGAAAATTCAAAGCAGAATTTACTTGGTGTTTCATTCAGCCCCCTCACTTTGCCACATCCCCCTGGGCTCCACTCCTCCTTCTCTCTTCTGAGCAGAGGAGAAGCTGACAGCTTAAACAAAGCCTGGGGGAACAAAGGACGCTTCTAGGAGATGAGCCGCCGCTGCCCCTCGCCCCAGCCTCACCCCAGTCTCCTGCCCCTTAACCCTGAGTTTCAGGCAAGGGTGATTTCATCCTAAGGAATAACTGAAGTCTTTGGATAATGAACACTAACTCTTTAGCCCTCATTTTTTAAAATCTACCATTAATATAGAGTGACACTGAATTCCCTGGTAATCGGATTAGGGTATATTGCTCAAACTGTCATTCAGAGCTGAAGCCCCTTTATCTCTTTGCTGATAGGAAGCTAAGCTTCTTGACTCACTTTGCTGCTGTCTCTTTGGAGTCATCAAGAATCTGACTTCTTCAAGCCAACAATTTTATATGCTTAATCTTGGGTGAAAAGATTAGGGATTTAGAGAAGGTTTTTCAACATCCCTGCCATTCCTAAGAAGAAGACAGATTCCTCCTCCTCAATCCTTTCTCCCTCTGCCACCAACACACACACACGCACGCACACACACGCACACACACACACATCATACAAGCAGCTAACACACACAACACAACACAGATACAACATATACACACCCAACACAACACACCTACCCAACGCGCACAGCACAATGCACAGTAATATAACACAGGCACCAGAGACAAATTCAACACACACACACACACACACACCTAACATCATACAAGCAGACAACACACACAACAGGACACAGAGCTACAACACATATACTCCCTACACACACCCAACAAGACACATACAACATAATGCATGTACCCACGCACAGCATGCACAACAAAACATCACAACACACAGGGATACAGCACACACACACTAACCACACAGATACAACACACACAAAACAACACACACAAAAGCACACATTTGCATACATACAATTTAGGAGAAGAAAGAGAAATTCAAGCCTGCTGGTTGTCACATGAAAAGGTGGTATTTCCATGGACTCCGAAGAACAATTCTCAAACTTTGGGAGGCCATTGAGATCACCTGGCTAAAATGATGCACATTTGTTGTATGACTTGTGAACAATTAGGGTGCTTATACCTGGAAACTCTGTCAGAGATTGGCTCTAATCACAGTCTGGGAGCTTTCAGATGGAGATCCCCATGTGGTTCGAGTGAAAAAAAAAAAGTGCAAAAATTTCTATCACCAGGACTGACCAGTAACACTTGGCACACTCCCTGATGTTCACAAGCCCTCCGTGCCCATTTTGCACTAGGACACAGAGTGCTCAGTCAGAACCAGGCTTTCTAGCTCCACTCAACTTCCATCCAATGCCAAATAAGACAACCACAGAAAGAAAAACAGAACTCCTGGCTAACTTTAGGACCAAAAGTAAACAAACAAACAAAAACCCTTTAAATCCACATTAGAGGTGCCTCAGAATAGAAAGGCCAAGACGGTTAGGACTCAAAAAGGCAAACAAAAGAACATGAGAATGTCATTCTTCTGACTCACCTTATTCAACTGAATAGCCATGTGACCTTGCACAAGTCACTTGTCCTCTCTAGAACTGAATTTCCTCATCTCTACCATGGGGATCATGACAGATTTATATCTGCTTTACCTTCCTCATGAAGTTGTCTGAGGGCCAAATGACATAAATGCATAAAAAGCTCTGCACACTATTAAGGATTGATCATCAGTGACTCATATATTCATTGTAATCACTGGAAGGGTCTGGAAAAGCAAAGGTTAAATAGATGCTGGATGGGTACCTTCAAATATTGAATTGGTTGTGTGGAAAAGGCAATGGATTTGTCTTGTGTATGTTCAGGAAAGAGCTAGTGCCCATCTTCAAACTTACAAAGAGGTGGATTGCAATTTATCTCATCTCAACTCAATGCCACAGGCACTTATTGAGTACATCAGACATGCTAGGCATTCTGCTAGGTGCTCACCTGCTTTTAAGGCATATGCACAAAGAGAAATCATGAAGAGGAGCTGGCCTTCAGTTAGATATAAATGATGTGTAGGACTTTACCAGGAATACATTGAGTAAAGGGTATGCCATCGAAGGGGGCAGAATCAGTAAAGGTACACAAGTGAGGAAGTGCCAGCTGCATTTGGAGAACAGTGACTACTGTGTGCAACATCAGAGGGTACAGGAGGAAATGGCAGAGGATCTGAGGAGGAGACTGGCCAGATAAACTGAGATGCGACTGTGGAAGGCCTTATACATCATGCTAAGGATTTAATTCTATAGGCAGTGAGAGCTACTGGAAGTTTTTAGGCAATGGGGCAACAAGATCCTACAAGATTTAGGTTGTAGAAAAATATTTATTGCCTGTCCCTGATAAACATTGAAGATACAAACACAAAGACGGTACTGTGCCTGCAGAGGCAGAGACAAATCCACTCTCTGCTCCGCAACCCCATGCCGAACTGTGAGGGTCATCCCCCTGAAAACCTCACAGAAGGAAAATCTGACATATCTGAACTTAAGATCTTCAAATACAGTTGGGGGATCGCAGTCACAAATGAGCTCATGAAAGCTCTTATAAATATGTTTATGTTCATAATTATAAAGGCTCTTCACCAAATATAAACATTACCAATGGCGTTTCTCTGAAATGGATAAATGAATATGAATTTCATTCATATTTGATGCTTACTAACACATCTGTGGAGACACTTGTAAATCTACTGTGCATTGTTGCTGATGGAATGCACACGGAGTTGCAGCGTCCCCTCAGAACTGGTCTTGGATGTAAATGTTCAGTAACTTCACACTTATGGCCCAGAGTTGTAGGCCCCCTCTTCCCTTGACTGCCTGTCTCTAAGACTCAGAGTAGGGCAATTAGATATGCTGAATACATAAACACATATTAACCAATGCCAGGTAATATTTTCCACCCACTTCCCCCAATTTGCAGGGTTGTATCCCCCAAGCCTTGCTCTGGATAATGTTTTGCCCCACACGAACTGCCAACTTGTCATATGCTCCCCAGCACCTTTTGTCTTTAAAGAGGGAAGAGAACAGTTCTGAAGTTCTGGCTTGCCTTCCTTCAACCTCCCTTGTCTCTCCTAATTTCATTGTCAAAGTCTCTATGTTGCCCTGCTATCTACTCCACCTACTGCGCTTGTATGTGAAAGAAAACTATTTCTATATACTAGAATTTCAAATAAGGACTCAAAATGGCAATGCAAATGTGACCAAAGTACTATGAAAGGCTGTATTCTGCAATGCTCATAGATATATAAACAGGTGTTCAGGAGGCAGAATGAGTAATAGCCATGGTATCTTACCCATTAGGATGTTTTCAACTTCAAGAAACAAAATCCTTGACTACAGGTGGCTGCAATGATATTCTCTTCCATAACACAATGTCCAGAAGGAAATGGCTGAAGGCTTGATGCAGTGGGCCAGCCATGTGTTCAAGGAGCCCGGCTCCTTCCCTCTTTCTTCTCATCAGCATAATGACTTGGTCCTTAGGCTTAACTGCTCATGACCAGCTCCAGGCATCATAACTTTATACAGAAACACTTGAAACCAACAAGAATGGTCATTTCTTTTGGCGCATCTCTGTTAATTCACATCCCAGAAGATTTCCCTTTGATACCATTGACCGACATTAAATTATATGCCGAAGCCCAAGCTGCAAAGAAGGATCCAGAAACAAATATCTAGTATGACCAGCCTTTTTGACAGAGGCATCTCAGTCATGTGCAGACAACCAACAGCAGAGTGATCCACTCACTCATCCTGATTTGCCCAGGACTTTCCCAGTTTTAAAACGGAAAGTTGGACATTCTGGGAAGCCCCTCAGACCTGTGCAAACTGGATGGTTGGCCACCCATGTGTTATACTGTTCATATGTAGTGTGGTGGAGGAGTACACCAGGTGGCAAGGACATGGCCATAGTCTCAGGAAGGGGCTGAAGTACTGTAAGTGGCATTTGGGAGGGACAGGAGGGGCATTGCCTGAGCTACCCTGAAGCGGAATGCACAGGTCATAACTAGCATGTGGATGCTAAGGAGAGTCAAGAGTCACCGATGACTCTGGGGGTCCTGTCTTAAGTAAAAAGAACACCCATTTATTATTTCACAGGTCCGTGGGTCAGGAGTCCGGGCATGGTGTGATTCAGCTGCATCTTCTGCTCAGAGTTCTGCAAGGCTGAAATCAAAGGGTACAAACCCCTTTGAATTGTTGGAAGGATTTTGTTTCTGGCTCTTGCAGGACTGAGATCCCAGTTTCCTTGGCACATGACACTTTTCATCTTTAAGCCAATGACAGCACATCCCATCCTTTCCTTACCATGAATCTCTGACCTTCCCTTATGCTACCAGCTGAAGAAAGAGCTCTGCTTTCAAGGCCTCGTGTGATTAGATTAGGCCTGCACAATAATTCAGAAAAAAACTGATTAGCAACCTTAATTACATCTGCAAAGTCCCTTTGTAATATAACGCATTCACAGGAATAACACCAAGAGGCCGAGATCACTGGGGCCACGTTTTTGCCTAACACAAATGACTAGAAAGGGGTGTGTGTGTGTGTGTGTGCACGCATGTGTGTGTTGTGTTGTATGTGCATGTTCCCACTCATTTTTCTAATTATTTAATTTTTTTTTGAGATGGAGTCTCGCTCTGTCGCCCAGGCTGGAGTGTAGTGGCATGATCTCGGCTCACTGCAACCTCTGCCTCCCACGTTCAAGCAATTCTCTGCCTCAGGCTTCCAAGTAGCTGAAATTACCGGCGCCCACCACCATGCCCAGCTAATTTTGGTATTTTTAGTAAAGACAGGGTTTCACCATCTTGGCCAGGCTAGTCTTGAACTCCTGACCTCATGATCTACCCACCTCGGCCTCCCAAAGTGCTGGGATTACAGGCATGAGACACTGCACCTGGCCCTATTTATTTATTTCTAACCTTTAGTTTAGGTTTGGAGGTACATGTGAAGGTACATGTTACACAGGTAAACATGTGTCATGAGGATTGTTCTACACGTTGTTTCATCACCTAGGTATTAAACCCAGTACCAACAGTTCTCTTTTCTGCTCCTGTTCCTCCCCTCCCCCTCCCCCATCAAACAGACCCCAGTGTCTGTTGTTCAAGTCTGTGTCCACGTGTTCTTATCATTTAGCTCCCACTTATAAGTGAGAACACGCAGATTTGGTTTTTTGTTTCTGCATTAGTTTGCTAAGGTAATGGCCTCCAGCTCCATCCATATTCCCTCCAAAGACATGATCTTGTTCTTTTTTATGGCTGCATAATATTACATGGAATACATGTACCACATTTTCTTTATCCAATCTGCCATTCATGGGCATTTAGGTTGATTCCATGTATTTGCTATTGTGGACAGTGCTGCAATGAACATTTGTGTGCACGTGTCTTTATGGGAGAATGATTTTTATTCCTCTGGGTGTGTACCCAGTAATGGGATTGCTGGGTTAAATGGTAGTTCTGCTTTTAGCTCTTTGAAGATTTGCCATACTGCTTTCCAGAAACCTAATTGAACTAGTTGAACTAATATGCACTCCCATCAACAGTGTAAAAGTGTTTCTTTTTCTCCATGACCTTGCCAGCATCTACTATTTTTTGACTTTTTAATAATAGCCATTCTGACTGGTGGGAGATGGTATCTCATTGTGGTTTTGATTTGCATTTCTCTAATAATCAGTTATATTGAGCTTTTTTTCATATGCTTGTTGGCCTCATATATGTCTTCTTTTGAGAAGTTTCTGTTCATGTCCTTTGCCCACTTTTTAATGGGGTTGTTTGTTTTTCTCTTGTAAATTTATTTAAGTTTCTTATAGATGCTGGATATTAGACCTTTGTCAGATGCCTAGTTTGCAAAACTTTTCTCCCATTCTGTAGGCTGTTTACTCTGCTGGTAGTTTTCTTTGCTATGCAGAAGCTCTTAAGTTTAATTAGATCTCATTTGTCAATTTTTGCCTTTGTTGTGATTGCTTTTGGTCTCTTTGTCATGAAATCTTTGCCCGTCCTTATGAATGACTAGAAAGTTATTAGTGACATTTTGCCACAGCCAAAAAGAAAGAGGTATCTAACAATAAAAATCAGCCTACAATTAGATGGTCTGTCTTAGGAAGCACTGAGACCTCAACCCAGGAAAGAATTTAGAGCCATTTGTAATGTTTCTAAGGAAATTCCTGCACTGAGGAAAGATGAGACTGGATGATTCATAAGGTTCTGTCCAGCTCTAAGATCCTACAATTCCAGTTTTCCAGATTGCTTTAGTCCTGCCAAGCGGAAGAAAATGTGGTATGTTTGATTAAAGAAAAGATAGAATTTTTCAGAAAATGACCAAACCCTTCCAATACAGATGTTTTTGACTTCCTGTGCAAATGGTTTGCAGTGAAACTTGAAAGCAGGGACTTGCAGAAATCAACCTTTCCTTTCGCATTTCATGGAATTATTGGTTCTGAAAGACAAAGCCTGAAGACACTTGTGTTGGCCCTCTTATACCAGACACCAGGTGATTGGACAATATTATGAAACACTCCCTTGGAAGTGGCAGCTAGGATATCTCACCAAGTCATGGTTTTAGGAAACTTTCCCCTTTAGGTGTCAGCCAAAGTGCAGAAAGTGGAAACAGACTGTGTGGCCCACCCCGAGACCAGGCTTTTACTGGTGGTAAATGAAGAGGCGCGGCTGCAGACCGGATGGAGCTCTAAGGAGCAAGGCACGAGAGCCTGTAAAATTTTGCTTTGAAAAAAAAAAATCCCCTTGGTTCCAAAATTTTATCAAAGTGAGAATTTAAACAAAATGTCTTCTTCAGTTATTAAGCCAACACTAATACCAAAGCTAGGCCCAAGACAAGATCATGAACACATGACTTAGGTTATTTAGGCTGAAGTGCAATAAACTTGTTTATCTGGTTCCCAGAGCAGACAACAATGTCAAGCAGCATTGTGAAAACTCTTGGTAGATATTCACGATGGTGAGAGAATTTTGGCTCCTTCATTACCTACAAAGGTGAAGGAAAGAATGAAGGATTTCCTACCTGCACAATTTTGGAGAACATAATATTGCATGTAGCAGAGCTGAAAAAGTAAGACTACAGTAAGTCAGAATGTGCCTAAGGGATGGGTCTCCCCAAAAGGAGCTCCAAGATACGCAGCAAGTCTCTGGACAAAAGAACCAAGATATCACGTCCTCCCCAATGTAGCGAGGACTGTCAGGCAATACAAAATGAAAACAATAGAACATGCTAAAATGAAGGCAAAGAGATTAAGGCAGTTGAGGGAGGGAACTTGTTATAACAATTGCTGCGATGAATAGTGCCCTCACTATGCACCAGGCAGACACTCCACCCTACATGCATTATCTCCTTTAACTCACACAACAAAGCGGTAAGTGATCTGTTCGTGTTCAACAGAGCTAGCGGGAGGCAGAGCCAGGATGTAGCCCATGGCAAGCTGATTATGTAGCCCCTGCTCTTAAGCATGACGTCACTCTAAAAGAGGTAAGAGGTGGCCTGTGGCTCAGAAGACTGAACTCCCAATAATGTTTTTCACTTTGTAACAATTTATGTAGGACTATATATAAGACTATGAGAATCTTTGTGTCCAACAGGATCACAGAGATCACTCTCACTCCCAGTTTCCTGCCCCATATAGGTTACTTTCTATGTCACCATTGGCAAGTGACTCTCTTTATCTACCTACATCTAACACTGAACCCATTTCCTCACTGAAAGCTCATTCCACCGCTGGCCACTTACACTTGTTAGAAATTCTTCCACATATTAAGCTGTTATCAACCTGCCTTTTTTTTTTTTTTTTTTTTTTTGAGACTGCCTCTCGCCCTGTAGCCCAGGCTGGAGTGCAGTGGCGAGATCTCAGCTCACTGTAATCTCCGTCTCCCAGGTTCAAGTGATTCTCCTGCTTCAGCCTCCTCGGTAGCTGGGATCACAGGCACCCAACACCACGCCTGGCTAATTACTTGTAATTTTAGTAGAGACGGGGTTTGACCATATTGGCCAGGCTGGTCTCGAACTCCTGACCTTGTGATCCGCCCGCCTCAGCCTCCCAAAGTGCTGGGATTATAGGTGTGAACCACCACACCCTACATCAACCTGCCTTTCAATGCCCACTGCCTATTATTCAAAAGTTTAGAGCAAAACAGAAAAGTCCAGCAGTTTCTCTACATATAAAGCACATCATAGAGTCGAAGGCAACTGTCACTACCCCAAGTTCTCACCCCTTCAGGAACAATATTGTAAGTTCCTTCAATCATTTCATAAACAAAAAAAAACAAACAAACAATGACTGCCTGCACTACCATTGCTATAGCCGTCAAACCCACAGCTGCAGTTGTCACCATCACTAACTCTTCAGGGGTGAAGAAAAAAGAAATATATGAGAATAATTAGGCACAATCTCAGTTCACTGTAACCTCTGCCTCCCAGGTTCAAACAATTCTCCTGCCTCAGGCTCCTGAGTAGCTGGGACTACAGGCACACTCCACCACGCCTGGCTAATTTTTGTGTTTTTTTTTTTGTAGAGACAGGGCTTCACCATGTTGGCCAGGCTGGTCTTGAACTACTGACCTGAGGTGATCTGCCCACCTTGGCCTCCCAAAGGGATTACAGGGGTGAGCCACTGTGCCCAGTCCTGTGGTGTGGCATTTGAATTAAAGGTATCAAAATGAACTCATAGGGTGTTTTTTAATAGCTATGTAAGTAGATTGATAGGTACAGGTTTCTGTGTCTACATGGGTTAATACATATTCATGTAGTATTCTCAAGCTCTTTCCATGGAGCGAGCCTAGAAGCAATGAAATCTCAGTAACAATGAGCACATCCTGTGCCTAGACCTTAGTTTCTAAATACCATTCTTTAATAAAAGGTGACAGGGCTTCTTGGAGAAGTAGCTAATTCCTGGGTTGAGACAAGAAAAATACATGATGAACCTGTGACATCTTGTGAGGCTAGAAAGTAAGAAAGTGCTGAAGCAAGGATGGGGGCTTGTCAAAAGGACATAGGAGCCAATCTGAGAAAGCACCTAGTATCCCAAACTGGAACCAATTGAACAACAAAGAAAACAACAATAGTATTAGATTGTAATCAATCTATTAAAATCAATATCCATGAGACCATACAGGTATAAGTAAATAATTGAATAAATAAGTCAATGGCAGAGAAGGGACGGCTATTCTTTTACAGGAGAATTCCAATTAATAAATGCAAAAGAAACGAGGAAGATGGAAAATAACCAACAGTAATAATTAGAGATGAAATCCACTAATGCATCATAAAATTAATTGGCAAAAGTTTGGGGGGAGATAGGATGTTTGAAGATGGAAAGTAACCAATAGTAATTATAGACAAAATCCATTAATGCATAATAAAATGAATTGGTAAAAGTTTGAGGGGAAATAGGATATTTGAATACTCTACAGTTATATCCCATGATATATATGACAAAAGGGAAGATGGTAAGTTTATTTTGAAGAAACTCAAGTAGACCTCAACCAAGTGGTGAAAATAAACATCACCAGTAATAAGACACATTAATATCATGTGCCTTCTGATGTAATGTACTCTGAAAATGCGCATCACCTCTGCAGCATTCCTGCCAAAAATTCATTACCTCAATCTAATCATGAGAAAACATCAGACAAATCCAAATGGAACAACACTTTACAAACTAACTGATGGGTAGTTTTCAAACGCATCAAAGTCTCAAAATTAAAAAAAAAAAAGAATGAGGAACAATATAGTTTGGTCAAGGAGTCTTGACACCTAAATGCAATATGGTGCCCTGGATTGGAAAACATGACTGAAAAAAATTGATTAAAGTTTGTAGTTTACTTAGTGTTAGTGTACCAATGTTAATTTCCTAGCTTTAATAACTGTATCATGATTATAGAAATTTTTCTGAAAAGATTCACGTTTCATATTTTCAATGTATAAATCAGGCCTGTTTCACATATCTCCAACACATCTCAAACTATTACATTTAAAAAGTTGGGGTACTGGCCAGTCGTGGTGGCTCACACCTGTAATCCCAGCATTTTTGGAAGCTGAGGTGGGTGGATCACTTGAGGTCAGGAGTTGCAGACCAACCTGGCCAAAATGGTGAAACCCTGTCTCTATTAAAAATACAAAAATTAGCCGGTGGTGGCAGGTGCCTGTAACCCCAGCTACTCGGGAGGCTGAGGCAGAAGAATCGCTTGAACCCACAAGTCAGAGGTTGCAGTGAGCAGAGATCACACCACTGCACTCCAGCTTGGGCAACACTGCAAGACTCTGCCTAAAAAAAAAAAAAGTTGGGGGATTCTCTATTTTTGCAATTTTCTTTCTTTCTTTTTTTTTTTTTTTTTAAACATCTACTTTGTGTATTTTTTTTTTTTTTTTTTGAGACACAATTTCGCTCTTGTTGCCCAGGCTGGAGTGCAATGGCACAATCTTGGCTCACCGCAACCTCCGTCTCCCGGGTTCAAGCAATTCTCCTACCTCAGCCTCCCGAGTAGCTGGAATTACAGGCATGCACCACCATGCCTGGCTAATTTTGTATTTTTAGTAGAGACGGGGTTTCTCCATGTTGGTCAGGCTGGTCTCGAACTCCCAACCACAGGTGAGCCGCCAGACTCGGCCTCCCAAAGTGCTGGGATTACAGGCGTGAGCCACTATGCCCGGCCTGCAATTTTCTATAAATTCAAAAATATTTTGAAATTAAAAAATTTTAAACGTATAATTACATACTCTTTAGGAAATAACAATAGCGTTTAAGGTTAGAGAAATTATTCTTAAATGCCTTTCATTATCAAAAGGAAAAATGGAAATACAAGTACTAAAATCTTTTCATGTGAGAGGCCTAAAAATATACACATGTATACATATATCCAGTAAAAAGAGAAATGAATAAGGATAAAGGCAAGTGTCAATAAACTGAAGAAAAACAGAAGTAATGTTGAATGAATCAAAAAGAGAAAAACAGAAGTACACAAGTCAGAGTCTGAAAACAGGAATATTATAGCCATTTATAACCATGGATAGAGACAATTTTTAAAACCCTAAACAAATGCTACATATTTTATTTTAATAAAGAAAAATGCTTTTTTATTTTAATAAATAAAAAAATTCCAGGAAAACATAAATTATAAAAACTGACACTAAATACATATAAAATTTAAAAGCCTAATAATGATAGAAAAAATAGTGAAGAAATCTGTTCAAGACCTATCCATACAAAGAGTCCTAATTTTAAGCAGCTTTAAAAATGAATTCTATTGGGAGCTCATAACCAAGGTTACTTTGGTCTAAGTCTTCTGAGCAAAAATAAATAAACAAATAAATTTTTTAAAAAAATGAATTCTGATGGGCTGGGCACAGTGGTTCATGCTTGTAATACCAGCACTTTGGGAGGCCAAGGCAGGTGGATTGCTTGCAGTCAGGAGTTCAAGACCAGCCTGACCAACATGGTGAAACTCCGTCTCTACTAAAAATACAAAAATTAGCTGGGTTTGGTGGCGGGCGCCTGTAATCCCAGCTACTCGGGAGAATGAGGTAGAAGAATTGCTTGAACCTGGGAGGCAGAGGTTGCGGTGACCCGAGATCGTGCCACTGCACTCCAGCCTGGGCTACAGAGCGAGACTGCATCTCAAAAAAAAAAAAAATCAATTCTGTCAAGTGTTTAAAAGTTACCTTTTATGTCAATTCAATGGTTTCAGAGCATAGAAAAGAGAGAAAACTTGTCAATTCATTTTCTAAGAATGATTCTGATGACAAAAACATGAAAAGAAAAATTAAAATGTTCATATTGCATATATGATTACTATCTCGCAGAGATTCAATTCCCACTTTAAGATTTTTGTTGAGCTTCTTTCAAATTTGGAGATTGGCAAATACAGAAAACAGATTAAAAATAAGTTTTAAAATACCAGAGTCGTTCTGTTTTTTCTGTGTTATCTATTTCACATTCACTTCAAAGAGAGGCTTCATCCATTCTTCGTAATTCTCTGACATCTGTGAGGAAGCTCCTGTCTTCTGAGGCTTTTCCAAGCCTCGGTGCTTCTCTGCCTTTGCACATTCATGCCAGCCACTATTCTCCATTTGTCCCTTGTACTAGGCCTCCCCTTATATCTCTTGTACATGTTCTCTTAAAATATGAATTAATCAGAGAGTATAGCCGTTTTGATTTTTAAAGATATCTCCCTCTTTTCTTCATCAAAAATCATTTGTAAGTATATTGTCAGAATTTAATTTCTGAGGGCATTTTCTCCTTTCTGGGTTATTGTCCCTCATAATGATTCAGGTTTGGAATAACAGGTCTTTCTTCCCTAAAGCTTTTGAAATTTGAAGACCTAGGGACAAGTATTCACATCTAACTGTGTCTAGGGCCCCCTCCCTAGGGGTTTGTGAGATGACACTTTCTTTCTCCCGAAGCTTCTTTCAATTCTACTTAAGCAGTGATTCTGTCCGAGTTGATGAAACTAGAACTTTCACTACACTTGCTTTTTTAACTTTTCAAAAGGTAGGTGAGGCCCAAATCTCAATTAAAAAAAAAAAAAAATTCGGCGGGGCGCGGTGACTCACGCCTGTAATCCCAGCACTTTGGGAGGCCGAGGCAGGTGGGTCACAAGGTCAGGAGATCGAGACCATCCTGGCTAACACGGTGAAACCCTGTCTCTACTAAAAATAACAAAAAATTAGCCGGGCTTGGTGGCGGGTGCCTGTAGTCCCAGCTACTCTGGAGGCTGAGGCAGGAGAATGGCGTAACCCGGGAGGCGGAGCTTGCAGTGAGCCTAGGTCGCACCACTGCACTCCGGCCTGGGCGACAGAGCGAGACTCCGTCTCAAAAAATAAAAAAGAAAAAAATCATGTTTCGTATTTTTAATGTATAAAGCAGGCCTAAGCTAGAATCCATTTTTCTTTCACGCTTGTTAACAGGGTTAAACAGCTCTGGAAATTTAGAGAACCTAACTAGCCCTCAGGAACAGCTCTTACAAAACTCATCAAGCTCAAATAACTGTTTTCACTCTACCAGTTTTAGAGTACCTTGTAGACACTTCTGATGATCTCAGAGATATAAATAAACACAGTTTTGCCCCCACTGGGTTCCTTAGAGAGCAGGTTTATCACAGAGGATTGGAGGATTTCCACTGACGATTCTTAAACATGGAGGCAATTGATCAAGTGCAAACCAAGGTCAGAGTGGGTCTCTGACATCCAAGCACAGAAAGTCAAGCAGACCAAAGACCTTCATTGTAAAGCTGCATTGCTGTCCTTGATGCAGAGAAACTGCAGTAAAACAGCAGGGCTTCTTCAAGAGAAATGTGAATAGGGTGTCAGACACCCTTGCTATCTAGAGGGAAAGACGCGGAGGGGTGACCTCCCCCACTGTGTTCAGCCACGGAGCTGAACCAGGGAAGAAAATTACAAGTATGTCCCAGGATCATTTTCCCCCGTCTTCTTCCTTCTCACGGCCTGCGTTTCGAACAAGTTGCTAAGCCCTTAGTGGGTTTTTTAAGAAGCTTTTTAAAGTACAGGGGCGGGGGAAATGATAAACCTACATATCTGTGTACCCGCTATCCGGAATTAACAAATGCTAATGTTTTGCCATTTCAACTTCATTTTTTTTAAATAATAGAGATAAAACATTATAGGTAGATCACTTTTTGTTCTTCTCACCAATACTATTCCTCACCTTTTCTGGAGATCTCTCTCTCTCTCTCTCTCACACACACACACACACACACACACACATACCCATATATGTATATATGAACAGTATGGATAATATTTTGTGTTTTTTAAAGTCTACACAGATGTTTAGTATATCTCTTTTTCTCTCTTCCTCTCTCTCCTGTCTCTATTCCTCCCTCTCTTTATAACAGATATAAAATATATATTGCATATATAGGGAATACAGATATAAATACACATATTGGTAAACAATATGTATAATGCCTTTTGATTTCATTAAAATTTAAATAAATTTATCATATGGTACACATTTCTCTCTCAACATTTTGTTCAGAGTATTTGGTTTTTTTATTTTGTTTTGTTTTGTTTTGTTTGAGACTGAGTCTCGCTCTATGGCCCAAGCTGGAGTCCAGTGGCACGATCTCAGCTCACTGCAACCTCTGCCTCCTGGATTTAAGTAATTCTCCTGTCTCAGCCTCCCAAGGAGCTGGGATTACAGGTGTGCACCACCACTCCCAGTTATTTTTTGTATTTTTAGTAGAGATGAGGTTTCACCGTCTTGGCCAGGCTGGTCTCAAAATTCTGACTCAAGTGATCTGCCCACCTTGGCCTCCCAAAGTGCTGGGATTACAGGAGTGAGCCACCGTGCCTGGCCAACATTTTGTTCAGGGTATTTGTAGTTATGTTGATGCATTCAGTCCTAGTTCACTCGTTTTTCTTTCTTTGTTGTATTCCACAGCCGAAGAACACTATAATGTATTTATCCGTTGAAAGATACTTCTTTTGTTTCCAGGTTTTTCTACTACAAGCAGCACTGTAGGGAACGTGTCCTCTAAAACACATCTGTGAGAGTCAACCGTGCATATCTAGAAGTCGAGTTGTTCATCTGAAACAGGGGTCAACAACACAGATAGGAAATGTTTCAGTCTTTTGACACCAAATGGTCTTTGTCACAACTTCTCAGCTCTCCACTGTGGCCTGAAAGCAGCTGTAGACAATACAAAAATCAGCGAATGCTGCTGTGCCCCAGTAAAACCGCCAGCTGCCCTCCTGGAACATGTGTCTCTTCAGCGTCACCAGATATGGTCAAATTCCTCCGAGTGGCTGCACCCACTTAGCCTGCCCCCAGTTCTGTTTCTCAGTTTTCTCCCTTCCCATTTTCTTGCCTTCATGACTCTTGTAGCACTGAAAATAGACGTTGCTTCAAGTCAACAGATCTGCATGTTTTCAGAAGCCTGAGCTCATTGAAAAGATCGTGTTTGGAGTTCAGAGAGAAGAGATGTATGTGTGTATGAGCGAGTGAGAAAGAGAGAGAGATTTTGAAGGCCAACAGAGAAGGGGAGAGATTTTTCCCCAGACTGTAGCGACTACAGGTTGGTCACTTGAGCAGTGAGGACTCATTTAGTTCTCTGGGATAGAATGTGGTCAGACCACAGAGGGATGGCTGGTGATGAACCCAGGAAAAGCTCAGTAAGGTTCTCGAGGAAAAACAAAACCAGCTGAGCTGCCAAACTCCAGAAGCCATGTGGACAAAGAGGATGAACATCCCAGCCACCACCCAGGGGGAGGGGAGAAGAAAGACCTCTCTGATGGTCTGGCCAGCTGAACTTTTAGGATCACTACACAACCCTGGGGAAAGAGAGAAGGAAGAATCCTCATTAAGACATTTTCTTGAGCTTAGAAAGTTCTTGTAAAAGTGTTTTTTAAAAAAGAAAACAGATAGTTACCACCTGAATTTCACCCACTGCAATTCAGTTCACCCTGGTTAAACCCCCTTCAAGGGAATTTAACTAGGAATCCTCTCCCCTGCATCTTCTATGTTTATTCAAATGTTGAAAATCCTTCAAGACTGTGTTCCTACCTCACTGTCTCCAGAAAACCATCTCTAGGACAACAGCCACCATTCTATCTTCTTCTACTGAACACTTATTGTGATATAAAATAATGGAGTGAATAGGATAGTAAACTCTTGCCCAGCACAGTGGTTACCCCCTAAAACCACCATATTTTGAAAGGTTAAGGTGGGATGTCACTTGAGGCCAGGAGTTTAAGACCAGCCTGAACAACATAGGAAGACCTCGTCTCTACAAACAATTTTAAAAAATTAGCCAGGCATGGTGGCACATACCTGGGGTCCCAGCTACTCAGGAGGCTAAAGTAGGAGGATCGCTTGAGCTCAGGAGTTTGAGTTTACAGTGAGCTTTGATCGCACCACCGCACTTCAGTCTGGCTACAGAGCCAGATCCTGTCCAAAAAAAAAAAAAAAAGAAGGAAAGAAAGAGAAAGAAAGAGAGAGAGAGAGGGAAGGAAGGAAGAAAGGAAGGAAGGGAGGGAGGAAGGGAGGAAGGAAGGAAGGAAGGAAGGAAGGAAGGAAGGAAGGAAGGAAGGGAAAAAGAGGGTAAACTGTGGAATTACCTAGCTCTGTATGATAACCATTTGTTTTCCATGTACCTGTTCTGTAATAATAGGCAATATACTCAATCCCTCTGAGACCCTATCCTCTCATCTTTAAACAAAAGGAGAAAGGGCTGGGCGCGTGCCTCACGCCTGCAGTCCCAGCACTTTGGGAGGCCAAGGCAGGTGGATCACCTGAGATTGGGAGTTTGAGACCAGCCTGACCAACATGGAGAAACCCCATCTCTACTAAAAATACAAAATTAGCTGGGCGTGATGGTACATGCCTGTAATCCCAGCTACTTGGGAGGCTGAGGCACGAGAATCGCTTGAACCTGGGAGGCAGAGGTTGTGGTGAGCAAAGATCGCGCCATTGCACTCCAGCCTGGGCAACAAGAGTGAAACTCTGTCTCAAAAAAAAAAAAGGAGAAAGAGTTGACCTCATAGGGATTGTTGTGAGAATGAAATGAGATATGTCAAATATTTAGAACATAGCTATTAATATTTCTCAAAAACCAAGTCACAGTCACACCTTTTTCTTGATGATTGGCCAATGCATTTATTATCTAATTATCTAGAGTACATATTTTAATATTACATGTTTCTGAGAGAGCAGTTACCTCATTGTATTGTAATTAAGTGTGTATATTTGTCCTTTGTCACTACACTAGGAACAACTCCAGGGCAAAACTGTTTTATTCATCTTTTTATTTATAGTGTATGGTACATAATACTTATTCAACGTTTGTTGAGTAAGTGACTTTATAAACAAATTGAATAACATCCATTTTCTTTGTGTTCTGACTGATTCATGCATCAATGAAATGTAAGGGTAAAGTATTTTTCAGGATTTTAAAGAGATCAGAAAGTTTACCTCCAATGAAACTATTCTTATGAAATGACTTGTAAAACAAGAGGATAAACCAAGATAGAGAAAGATGTGGAATCTTCAATCAATCCAATGCAGAAAAGGAGGAAAGAGAAAGAAAGAAAGAAAGAAAGAAAGAAAGAAAGAAAGAAAGAAAGAAAGAAAGAAAGAAAGAAAGAAAAAGAAAAGAAAAGAAAGGAGAGAGAAAGGAAGGAAGGGAAAAAGAGGGTAAACTCTGGAATTACCTAGCTCTGTATGATAACCATCCCAGGATGACAGCAACAGGTTTGGATCATAACCAATTAGGATACAGAGTGAGTTTAGGGAGGGGCTGAGTAGGGGAAATGGATAGGATATCTCTCAGGATTGAAAACTGGGGAAATGTGAGAAGATGATAAAGGCAATTATGGAGTAGAGAAAAAGCAGACCCCATTTGAACTTGAACCTAGAGAAAGATTGTCCTGTAAGTGTCCCAAGGATCATCATATTTTACATATAGCCACAAAATGTAATCACAGCAGATTACTTGGTTCTGCAGACAACAGTAATTGCATACCTATGAATGATAAGTGTTGTGGGTTAGTTTTCAACTTTTAGAATCAATTCTGGCAGAGAAGGCAATGTTACTTACATAACAACATATAAATATTATAAACTTTAATAATAAAAACTTGAATAAAGTTTGAGAGGTAGTAGGGGAAGAGAACTAGCAGAGAAAAGGATAAGAGACAAGTTTGCGATACTACAGAATGGAGAAATGGGAATTGAAGGCTAACGTTTGAATTTGCAGATGTGACTAAAGGAGCTAGGAAATAATATAAGCATTTTATAATTAGTGTACCAGATTGCTGATGGTAAAAGTAATGAAAATGTTTGGTGGAGCACAGTGGCTTATGCCTGTAATCCCAACATTTTGGAAGGCCAAGGCATGAGGATCAGTTGAGGCCAGGAATTCAAGACCAGACTGAGCAACATAGTGAGACACTGTCTCTACAAAAATTTCCAAATAATTAGCCAGGCATGGAGGCATGTGCCTGTAGTCTCAGCTACTCAGGAGGCTAAAGTGGTAGGATCACTTGAGCCCAGGAATTCAAGGCTGCAATGAGCCATGATTGCACCACTGCACTCCAGCCTGTCTCTTCAGGCTAAAGGGTGAGATGTTGTCTCCAAAAAAAAGTAATGAAAATTCTTATCTGTCATGCAGAAAGGCAATAGTCAACAATTAGATAGACAGATGTATTCAGAATTAGCATAAACATGATCTTTATCCGCACAGAGAAGATAACTCAAGAACAAATATAGACACACACACACATATATTTATTAATAAAAGAATAAATAATTATGGCCAGTCGCACAATACAACCATTTTTTAAAAAAATACAAAAGACACGTCCAGTCTTTATGGCATTATTTACCACAGCAGAAAATGAAAAATAACCCAAAATTGGTAGATAAATCTTTTATATAATGACATAAGTTCAACAGTGGAAATCAAATAGGGCTAAGCACATTGACATGTACATCAGAAACATAATGTTGAATTTAAAAGCAAATCACACACTGGCTGTGGTGGCTCAGCCTGTAACCCCAGCATTTTGGGAGGCCAAGGCAGGCAGATCACTTAAGGTCAGGAGTTCGAGACCAGCCTGGCAAAGGTACTGAAACCCCATCTCTACTAAAAATACAAAAAAATTAGCTGGGTGTGGTGGCTACTCAGGAGGCTGAGGCAGAAGAATCACCTGAACCCAGGAGGCAGAGGCTGCAGTGAGCTGAGATTGCGCCACTGTACTCCAGAGTGGGTGACAGAGCAAGATTTCATCTCAAAAAAAAAAAAGCAAATCACAGATCTCTTCAATATAATACAATTTTTAAGCTAGTAAAAACAGGCAAAACAAAACAATGCATTACTTGGAGACAAATATATATATGCTAAAACTAGTAAGAAGAGTGAGGGAATGAGAAAAATGAGGGATTCCTGATGGGGAAGTGGAGAGAGAATAGGGAGGAATATCAATAGTATTTCAACACTATCACTCATGTTTTATTTCTGATGTTGAGTGGTAGAGTCTCAGGTATTCATTCTATTATGCTTCAGAGGCTATATATGGGTTGTGTTTACTCTTTTGATGGTATCAAATGCTTCTGCTAAAACTACAGTGTATACGCCATACCCATGCACTTTCCAAAAATTGTACATAGGTGCATATATAATAAAAATAGTTTTCTCTTGTTGTTGTTGTTTGTTTGTTTTGAGATGGAGTCTCGCTCTGTTGTGAGGCTGGAATGCAGTGGTGTGATCTTGGCTCACTGCAACCTCCACCTCCCGGGTTCATGCCATTCTCCTGCCTCAGCCTCCCAAGTAGCTGGGACTACAGGCATGCGCCACCACACCCAGCTAATTTTTGTACTTTTAGTAGAGACGGGGTTTCACCATGTTGGCCAGGATGGTCTCGATCTCCTGACCTCGTGATCCACCCGCCTCGGCTTCCCAAAGTGCTCGGATTACAGGAGTGAGCCACCACGCCGGGCCATAAAAATAGTTTTTAAATGAGGCAGGTTTCTACTTTTTGAGATGGAAAGGCTAGAATGATGTCCCAATTTTATTATTATGTGGAAAAAAATTAAGACATAGCTGTACCTATTAGTATAAAGCCGTTCATGGGAGAGAGATTATATACAAATGTATACTTGTCCATGCATAGAAAATACCTGGAAGTATACACACAAAATCTGCACAGGTGCTCTTGTAGGAATGGAATTAGCGGACCGGGAAAGGAACGAGATTTTGTTTTCATTCTATTTCATGCATTGCATCTGTTTTATACTTCTGTGTAGATAGGATTGATCAAATGATAGTATTTAAGAGTATAATACTAGAAATATAACAGTGTTAGAATTTTTACTTACTGAGTGCTTACTGTTGGCACATAGTATTTTTTTTTTTTTTTTTTTTTTTTTTTGAGACGGAGTCTTGCTCTGTCAACCAGGCTGGAATGCAGTAGGCAGGATCTCGGCTCACTGCAACCTTCGCCTCCCGGGTTCAAGCGATTCTCCTGCCTCAGCCTCCCGAGTAGCTGGGACTACAGGCACCTGCCACCACGCCTGGCTAATTTTTTGTATTTCTAGTAGAGACGGAGTTTCACCATGTTAGCCAGGATGGTCTCGATTTCCTGACCTCGTGATCCGCCCGCCTCGGCCTCCCAAAGTGCTGGGATTACAGGAGTGAGCCACCGCGCCCGGCCCAGAAACGGGGATTTTTTTAACCGGGAAAAGAAAACACCCCAGATGTGATTGCTGTCTCTGAATAACTTCAGGACTGTCAGGAAAATGATGAGGTTCACTTCGTATGTTTCCAGAGAGAAGGACTAGGCCACCGGACTGCAGCTATAGGAGAGACAACATGGTTCTCCAGATGAAACCAGCTGCCCCCAGCGGCGGGCAGCTCACTGCCACCCACTGTATTCCAAGCCCGGCCCACTGGACCGGTCATCGGGGACCCCCTTTAAGCCTTCCTGCTAGAAGATTCTTTTTTCTAAAGTCGAAGGCTGCAGAGTTGACTAGGAGAGGACAGAGCTTTTCCTTCAGGTGAAAGGGAATGACTGTCATTCATTCTCAAAGTGGAAAGCCACGTACTGGCAGGTGCACTCCCAGGTCAACGCGGAAGTCATGAGTTTTGCGGGTTTTCTGCTTAGGCTGGATGGAAGCTACTGTCTTCCTCGAAACGTGTGAAAGCAATGAGATCATTCCTCTTCTCTGAGGTGGGGGAGATGGGGAGACCGGCCTGAGATACAAAAAGAAAATTATGAGGTAGGGACTGGGCGGGGGGACCCAGAGGGAGGACTGAGAGCGAGAGCCAGGGAGGCAGGCAGACAGTAGGCTGGGCAAAGCCAGAGGAGAGAGGCTGCGGGAGGTGAGAGTCTGAGCCGAGAGTGACCCCAGGTTGAATCAGGGATAAACGCTGGAATGGGCTGTAACCAGGAATGAGACGTCTGGCATTTTGTAATTTCTGGAGAATTCCTCTTAAATTCCCTTTCCCTTCAGTAAACATGATGAAAAACCACTGCCCGCCATGTGTGTGGTCTCCGTGGCACACAAGAGTGAGGGTCACAGCCAGGACAGGGAGACGGGAGCCCAGGAGCGGAAGAGCAGAGGGGCAGCCCGCCCTCTCCTGGCCTCACGGCGAAACTGCTCAACACCGAGGCTCTGAGGCCGAATCCTAGCTTAGAGATGGGCACCTCGCAGCAAGGAAAACGTCATGGACAGCAAGCATCTTGCCTAGCAGCAAACAACATAGTGCCTTTCTCTATCTGGAAATCTCATTAGAATGCAGGACGCAGAGAGCTGAAACCATCTTCTCAGCCAACTAGAAATTTTGCAAAGAAATGATTTTTGAAAATGATTGTGAAGCAGAATTGGCAGAAGCATCATCATCATCTCTCCTATTTGTCTGGTGACACTCAGTTTGCAAAAACCCTTTCGCACGTGCCCTCTCATAATACCCGCATGGAGTATTGTTTTCCTCCTTTGCAGAGGAATGCTGTCTGCAGGCATTCCTATAGGTACATTGCACACCCACGGTGCCACATCTCCCGGCTTGTCCTTCCGTCTTGAGTCCTCTGTTCCATCCAACCCAAGGGCCCTAAGAACTTGCACAATAAATGCAGAAGTCTTTGTGACCGTCATTCAGACACAAGCCAGTCCCTGCCTCTGTTCGCTCAGAACTCCCAAGATGACTGGCAGCCAAGATCTCAAGCCATTCACTGCACTCTCAAGGAACCTGTGCTAGGAAGACAGAATGAGGGCGAGGTCTCCGGCATTCGTGGATTATACACATGCGCCCACACGCGACCCACGTCATTCCTTGCTTTATAGCATTACTGGAGAGTTCATAAAAAAAAGCAGGCTTTTCTTCTCAGCAGAGTTGAATGCTTTGTAATTGCAAGATAATAAAGGAAAGATGGGGTGGCATAGGCTGCCTGCAGCTTTTCCTGATACCTGCCAGTTAAACTTCTGACACCAAAGTCACCCTGCCATTTGAATCGATCAAGCCAGGCTAGAACTAGGAAAACAAGAAGGTCAGTAGCAAATGAAGTAAAGCCCTCTTGTCTTATCCTGGCAGAGGTGGTGAGCCCCTTAGCACCTTGTCAAACACTAAATTTAATCCCAGTTTTATTTTCAAATCACTTTTTTAAAATGCACTAACCATTAAAAGATAGGGGAAAAGGTCCTTTTAAAATGATTTATTATGTGTTAACAGCTAAAGAAAACCTAAACAATGTCTCCATAAAGACTCACGATCACGTTTTTAATTAAGAGCCACAACTTTTAATGGAAGGCATAATATGCCCATTCATTGCAGGACACTGGGCTCCTCTGGGTAACCCAGCAGTCAAGCTCAGGGGAGGAGTAACGACTTTCAGTTCACACCTCAAAGTCTCCTGTTAAAGAAAATAACAATAAAATAAGATCACTTGAAACCTTTTGAGTTTGGGAATTTTAACCCAGAGAAAGGGTGCATTTTGCTCAATTACAGGGACGCTTTTTCCTGGTTCGGGGCCCACAATAGCCCGCTCAGTGCTCTGAGTGCCTCAGACACCCCCTAAGTCTTAGCAGGTAAGTGGGCTGTGCTCAAAGTGCCCTGTGTGTGTGCTGCCTGGTAAATTCCTGCCCATACCCAGGGGAGGCTGCGCCCCCTGAGAAACAAACTGTTACTTACTGTCTCTTTCTCAAACTGGCCCCTTAACAGCTTTTTCTTCCCTAGCTCTTTTATTTAAGACTGAAAGTTAACAATCTAGGAGGACAGAGTGCTGTGTCCTTTTGTATGGCCCCGCAAGGTGTATGGTATCAGGCACCATTTATCTATTGCCAGCTTCACTCCCTTAGCCCTGGCAACAATGAAGTAAAAGTATGAAGTGAGCTCATCATTATCTCCGTTTACAGATGGGGAAACCGAATCTTGGCGAGGATAAGGAATTTGCTCTTGTCATTAAACAGTACAAGAGACTATGGGCCGAGGCAGGGTGGATGGGAGATGGGGTTCAGGATACCCTAAAACATGGTACATTCACATTTGAGAAAACAGCAGAAACAGGAAAGTGACTCTCACCTTCTTCTGCCCTTCTCCCCTGAATCAGGTCCCAGGATTCTCGTTCCACGGGGGCTCTTTCTATGCCCAGAGGAAAGGAACTTTCTTCTCTCTGAAGACGCAGGGTCACAGAGAAGAATCTGAACAAATCAGCTTTGCTAAGTTCCCACAAGTTTCTTGCATACTTTTAAAAAATACAGTCACTCTTCTCCAGGTCTACTTAGTTCTCCATCAAACCAAGCACTGAAAATACACAGGTTTACCTGTTTCTTTGTGACTTCATTTCTGAAGTTTCCCGTATTACATAAACTTATTACATAAATTTGTTATGCTTTCCTTTTGTTAATTGTTTTTGTCACAGGGGCTTCAGCCATGAACATAGCAATGGGTGGGGGAAGATGGTTCTTTTCCCCTACTTGGGGCTGGAGATATGGACCCCATTCTTCCCCTCAAAGAGTGTTAGGTCTTGTTGGGAAGGCAGGATTTGAGCATACAGAAGCAGAACTAACCACACAGGACCACTACTCTAAGGGCCCATCGGGGCCAGGCATGGTGGTCCACACTTGTAATCCCAGCATTTTGGGAGACCAAGGCAAGCAGATCTCTTGAGTCAGGAGATACAAACCAGCCTGGCCAACATGGTGAAACCCTGTCTCTACTAAAAAATGCAAAAAAAAAAAAAAAAAATATATATATATATATATAGCTGGGTGTGGTGGTGCATGCCTGTAATTCCAGCTACTCAGGAGACCGACGCAGAAGAATCACTTGAACCTGGGAAGCGGAGGTTGCAGTGAGCCAACATCACATCACTGCACTCCAGCCTGGGTGTTAGAGTGAGACTCTGTCTCAAAAAAAGAAAAAGAAAAGAAAAAAAATAGGGAACTAATGGGATAGATAGATAGTACCACTAAAGTTCAGAGAGGGGAACACCAGCTTCTGCATTTAAGACAGAGGGGGGATTCAATCTTGACCTTGGGACACACAGTTTCCAAAAGCAGGAGGTGTAAGAACAAAGTAATGATGTAAGCCAGTGTTTGCCTAACTTTTGCTACTTTCCAGATCTTTGCTATATCCACACGTCACCTAGAGGCACCAGGTGTCACATTCCAAGACACTTTATCAGTACTTCATATTTTTCTTAAAACATATTACCTTTAGGCTGGGCACGGTGGCTCATGCCTGTAATCCCAGCACTTTGGGAGGCCGAGGAGGGTGGATCACAAGGTCAAGAGATCATCCTGGCCAGCATGGTGAAACCCCATCTCTACTAAAAATACAAAAACTAACTGGGCATGGTGGCACACGCCTGCAGTCCCAGCTACTTGGGAGGCTGAAGCAGGAGAATCGCTTGAGCCCGGGAGGCAGAGGTTGCAGTGAGCCGAGATCGCACCACTGCCCTCCAGCCTGGCAAGAGAGTGAGACTCTGTCTCAAAAAAAAAATTACCTTTAAAAGAAAACCCCTTAAATCTAGTTTTCAAGGAAACTTGATAACCATACTACAGGGAAGACAAAACTCCACCTCTATCCTGTTAGGCTGGACCCAAGAATTAAATTGACATCTAAAAGCTTAACAGGAGAAAAATACAGGCATACTGTGCGTAGCTGTATTGCATTTCAGAGATACTGTGTTTTTTTTTACAAATGGAAGGTTCGTGGCAACTGCAAGTCAAGCAAGTCTGTCCGTGCCATTTTTCCAACATGAGGCACTTATTTCTTTAGCATCTTTTAGCAATAAAGTATTTTACAAATAAGGTCTATGCATTGTTTTTAGACATAATTCTACTGCAGAGTTAACAGGCTACAGTTTAGTGTAAGTATAAACTTTATATGCACTAGGAAACCAAAAAAATTCATGTGACTTGCTTTATTGAGATATTTGCTTATTTCAGTGATTGGGACCCAACCCGCAATATCTCCGAGATATGCCTATATATAAGCTTATTTAATACAGATTTTATGTGGCACAGGGGCTCTTAGAAGCAGTTAGAGTCAGTTGTGTGCTGAATTGAACAAAGAATAGTAAGTTGTAAAGAAGCATCTGCGGCACTATTTACAATAGCAAAGACTTGGAACCAACCCAAATGCCCATCAATGATAGACTGGATTAAGAAAATGTGGCACATATACACCATGGAATACTATGCAGCCATAAAAAATGATGAGTTCATGTCCTTTGTAGGGACATGGATGAAGCTGGAAACCATCATTCTCAGCAAACTATTGCAAGGACAGAAAACCAAACACCGCATGTTCTCACTCATATGTGGGAACTGAACAATGAGAACACTTGGACACAGGAACGGGAACATCACACACTGGGGCCTGTCATGGGGTGGGGGGAGGGAGGAGGGATAGCGTTAGATGAAATACCTAATGTAAATGAGGAGTTAATGGGTGCAGCAAACCAACACAGCACATGTATACATACGTAACAAACCTGCACGTTGTGCACATGTACCCTAGAACTTAAAGTATAATAATAATAATTTAAAAAAAGAAGCATCTGAAATATGTGGGGAAACTTAAAAGAGAAGTTATTTTAACAGAGTCTTACAGAATTCTTTTAGTCTCAACTTTATATCATTGAGGATAAGCGTGTTATTTCTCTTCGTACGGGGAGGGTGTCTCTCACGTGGGAATTGCATCTCTGGCTTTTAAGAAACAGCATGAAGGTCAGTGTGATCTTCTGTTATCTGCTGTACTTCAAGTGTCTTTAACTCACATAGTCAATATGCTAGAGAAATATATTTGGGGATGGCATGTTTTTAACTCCTTCACTACTGCAATTTGAAAAGTAGAGGCCAGGCACAGTGGCTGACGCCTGTAATCCCAGCACTTTAGGAGGCCGAGGTGGAAGGATCACCTGAGATCAGGAGTTCAAGACCAGCCTGGCCAACCTCATCTCTACAAAAAATACAAAAATTAGCTAGGCGTGATGGCGCTTGCCTGTAATCCCAGCTCCTCAGAAGGCTGAGGCAGGAGAATCACTTGAACCTGGGAGGCAGAGGTTACAGTGAGCACTCCAGCCTGGGCAACAGAGTGAGACTTCGCCTCAAAAAAAAAAAAAGAAAAGAAAAGAAAAAATAAATAAAAGTAGAAACACTTGGTCAAAAATCCAGAAGTAGCCCAAAATAGTATATGAGATTAAAAAACAAAATAATGCTCTTAAGTTTAAAATTGTATTTAGAAAAGAATGTTAGAATAATACTCAAAATGAGATACCTTGATAATTTACCACCAAAAATCCCCACCACATACAACCAGTTATAGAAAACAGTATGGGTGTTCCATCAAAACCTAAGAGGAGAATTACCATCTGATCTGGCAACCCCACTACTGAGGATACATACAAAGTAAATTAAATATGTCCAAGAGATGCCTGCTTTCCCACACTCATGACAGCATTATTCACAACAGCTAAGATACAGAAGCAAACTATGAATCCATCAATGGAAAAGAAAACATGGTATATATACACAACGGAATACTATTTAGCATTTTAAAAAGAAGGAATCCTGTCATTTGCTACAACATGGATGAACTAGAGGACATCATGCTAAATGAAATAAACCAGGCACAGAAAGACAAATACTGCATTACCTGATTTATAGGTGGAAGCTAAAAATGTTGATCTCATAGCAGTAGAAAGTAGAATGGTGATTATCAGAGGCTGAGAGAGGGGTTTGGATGGGGAAAGGAGAAATGTTCAGCAAAGGGTACAAACTTTCAGACAGACAAGAGGAATAAGTTTTAGTGATCTAGTACGCAGAATGGTGACCATAAATAATAATGCATTGCATATTTAAAAATTGTTAAAAGAGTACATTTTAAATGTTTTCACCGCCAAAAAATGATGTCTGTAAGGTGAAGGATAAGTTAATTAGCCTGATTTAATCATTCCACAATGTAAACATGTATCAAAACATCATATTGAACCCAATACATTTATACAGTTATTATTGGTCATTTAAAAACAGCCAGATGTGGTGGCTCACACAAGTAATCCCAGCTACTCAGAAGGCTGAAGCAGGAGCATCACTTGAGGCCAGGAACTTAAGACCAGACTGAGCAACACGGTGAGACCCTTTCTCTAAAAAGGTAACAAAAATAAAAATTACCCATATGTGGTAGCACACACGTGTAGTCCCAGCTACGTGAGAGACTGACATGGGAAGATTGCTTGAGCCCAGGAGTTGGAGGCTGCAGTGAGCTATGATTGCACCACTGCACTCTAGTCTGGACAATAGAGTGAGACCTCATCTCTTATAAAAATAATAAAAATAAAATTAATTAATTGAATTTTTTTTGAGACAGTCTCACTCTGTCGCCAGGCTAGAGTGCTGTGGGACGATCTCTGCTCACTGCAACCTCCAACTCCCTGGTTCAAGGGATTCTCCTGCTTCCTCCTCCTGAGTAGCTGGGATTACAGGCATGTGCCACCCACCATGCCCAGCTAATTTTGGTATTTTTAGTAGAGATGGAGTTTCACTATGTTGGCCAGGATGGTCTCGACCTCCTGACCTTGTGATCTGCCCGCCTTGGCCTCCCAAAGTGCTGGGATTACAGCCGTGAGCCACCACACCCGGCCAATTAATTGAATTTTTAAATAACTTTTTTAAGCTGAAAAGAAGTAGCCCATAACTCAAACTTGTATTAGATTCCCCTTTTATGTTTCCAAGAGGCTCGGCTGCATGGGCACTGTTGGCACAGGCCCAGGCTTCCCTTGGTTCACTGTGGCATTATTTCAGGGACCGGTGCCACCATGCAGGCTAGGCACACCGAGAACAGTCCACTCTTGCTCAAGCATTCATTTCTGTGTGGTCTGTCTGGGAGAGTGGGCTCAACAGTCTTTCCGAATCACTCTCATCCCCAGCAGAGCCTGATAGTCCCAAAGAGAGAGGGCTGAAGAAAGCTTCCTGGGTGTGAAGGCAATACAGCAATGGTTATTCATTCTACTGGTATTTCTAAAAATACCACGGAAGAAAGTCCGGTTACGGGTTTAAAATATTGACGAGCATGCGCTTACACCAAGCCTGGGATCAGTATGTTCTGCATAAACTGGATTGCCACAGCTTTAGAATCACACACTTGGAGTGCAAGTTATATTGCTTTTTCTAATCCACATTAAAATTAATACCTAGCAGTCCATATAACCAATGATTATATTCTATCATCATTGGTCTGCGTGCCACATTTTTGGGAAATATTAGAAACCAGATCCAAAGGAGAATCCTCCACTTGTTCTCATCCCAAAGACCCCATCTCTACTTCCCACTGCCTGGTCCAATTACTTCTTTTTTGAAACAGAGTCTTACTCTGTTGCCCAGGCTGGAGTGCAGTGGTGCAATCTTGGCTCACTGCAACCTCCATCTCCCAGGTTCAAGTGATTCTGCTACCTCCGCCTCCCTAGTAGCTAGGATTACAGGTGTGTACCACCAAGTCCAGCTAAGTTTTTTTTGTATTTTTAGTGGAGACGGGGTTTCGCCATGTTGGCCAGGCTGATCTCGAACTCCTGACCTCAAAAGATTCACCCACCTCGGCCTCCCAAAGTGCTGGGATTACAGGTGTGAGCCACCATGCCCGGCCCAATTACTTCTTCTTGGAGGTCCAAGACTGTCTTTGCATAGTCAAAGAGCAGCACCCATTTGGCTCCAAGCTAACTGCATCCACATCTTTCGGTCCACTGTTCTTTGAGAAGTGTATTTGCCATGTCAATATTGCCCTAATCTTTGTACCTAAAATGTGTGAACTCTTCCTCCCTGCAGGCAACCACAGAGTCTGAACTGAAGGCCAGAAAAAAAATGACTGGAAAGTGAAACTGATTTGATTGTTTTTTCTTTTCCTTTTCTTTTTTTTTTTTTTTTTTGAGACAAGATGTCACTGTGTTGCCCAGGCTGGAGTGCAGTGGTACAATCACAGCTTGCTGCAGTTTTGAACTCCTGGGCTCAAGGGATTCTCCTGCCTCAGCCTCCCTAGTAGCTGGGACTGGGCACACACCACTGTGCCCGGCTAATTTTCTTTGTAAAGCTAGGGGTCTCACTATGTTGCCCGGGCTGGTCTTAAACTCCTGGGCTCAAGGGATCCTTCCATCTCCACCTCCCAAATTGCCACGATTACAGGCGTGAGCCACCTCGTCGCCTAGCCTGGGGGGAGTAAACTAATTTGCAAGTAAAAGGAGTAGGAACAGGAGCATTCGGTCATCATTAGAATAAAGTGCCTATTTGGCCAGCTTCAGTCCTCACCAAACCTACTGCCAATAATTTCCTCTCCCCATTCAACCTCACTCAACCACATTAGACACATTAAATCCTAGCCACATTAAACAAAGGCTAGACTGCTATTGTACAAGCTCAGGTTTCCGCTTCCTTGGCCTGCTTGACCCAAGGGAGGGGCTTAATGAAGGCTCTACTGGTGGCTGCCATATAACCATTCCAGCAGGAAGTGGGATGATGGGTGAGAAAGTGCTGTCCTCTGAGAGTGCCGCACACACACACAGACGCCAGCCCACCCAGTGCCGTCTCTGAACTCACTAGGTGATCTCTTTGCAGGGCTCTGTATCCGCTAGAACTGCCTTTCTGCACATTCTTTACATGCAAGTGACTCTGTCACCCCTATGGCTGAGAAATGACACCCCCATCTTTCTGCTTTGAAGCAGCTTGTTCAAGGTAAGGAAAACAAATCTGATAAACTCAGTGTGCTCTCAAATTATTAGTCCAAATGCAGCCTCTAGTTTGGAATTCCCTGACATTGCCTTTAAATATGTTCTCATACATTTGGAAGAAACTTAAGTATCTTAATCTCATCCGATTCTGTATTTTTAAAGCATATTAGTATTAAACAACAATATGCAAGTGGCTGTGCTGGAAATATCAGCTATACCCAGAACAGTCCCTGCCATGCAATAGTTCATTTTCCTAGAGCAAATGTGGTATTTGAATGTTATCCACTTGTTTAGGTGGATACATGACAAAGTGCTTAGGCACCTACATGACAAAGTGCTATAAGAATACAAAAGTGGCCAGCGCTCAGTGGCTCACACCTGTAATCTCAGCACTTTGGGAGGCTGAGGCAGGCAGATCACCTGAGGTCAGGAGTTTGAGACCAACCTGACCAACATATAGTGAAACTCCATCTCTACTAAAAATACAAAAATTAGCTGGGCATAGTGGCACACGCCTTTAGTCCCAGCTACTTGGGAAGCTGAGGCAGGAGAATCCCTTGAACTCAGGAGGTGGAGGTTGCAGTGAGCCAAGATCATGCCGCTGCACTCCAGCCTGGGCAATAGAATGAGACTCTGCCTCAAAAAAATAAATAAATACAAAAGCAAGAGACATTACATATGCTTGGGGGATTCTTATAGATACATCTGGAAAGTCTACCCACAGGGGACAGGAGGTCACATGACCCTGGTTTCAGGGGTCAAAGACCAGGAGGGGGGACACATTACATGAGGGGACCCACCCATGATGAAGCCAGATATCCATGCATTGAGTCAACAAAAGGACAGAAAGAGATGTCACCAGAAAACAGTAACTGAAGTTGAAGGATTACAACGTGGAAAGGCTAGCAATGGCCATGCTGGGTCATGTGCCACAGTAGAGACAAAGCAAAGAGAAAGGCAAAGATACTTCGGCGTCTGGTGAGAGATGGAGAGAAGACAAGAGGGAGGGGCAGGACGAAGGGAGATTAAGAAAGTGGCAGCGTGGCTCTGGTAGCTTTCCACTCTTTGCTTATAGTTACCATGAATCCTGGCTATTACCATAGCTCCTATCCTTAATGCCTATGGATTTCTTTAGGATTTACACCATCTTTTCTTTCAGTATCTTATACCCAAAAGAATACTGCCAAGAACATAAGTCAGAGAAGTGACATTTGAACCAGATGTAAAAGGTGAGTCACAGTTTGACAGGCAGAGAAAGGGTCAGGCATTCAGCCTAAGAAAATATTTTACGTGGTATAACTTTCAGTCACAGAAGGGGCACCTGCATGGAGTTCACTCAAGGTACTTCCTAGAGCTCTCCTGCTTACCTCCACAGCCTGCCCTACCTGTTCCAGAAGATGGACTGCCCCAGGGTTGAATCCCAGGTCTGGGCAGGGCGTGGTGGCTCAGGCCTGTAATCCCAGCACTTTGGGAGGCCAAGACGGGTGGATCACCTGAGGTCAGGAGTTCAAGAGCAACCTGGCCAACATGGTGAGACCGTGTCTCTACTAAAAATACAAAAATTTGCCGTACATGGTGGCAGGTGCCCATAATTCCAGCTACTCAGGAGGCTGAGGCAGGAGAATCACTTGAACTTGGGAGGCGGAGGTTGCAGTGAGCTGAGATCACACCACTGCACTCCAGCTTGGGCAACAGAGCGATACTTGCTCTCAAAAAAATAAAATGGAAGAATTCTAGGTCTGGTAGAGAAACAAGGGGATGATGATACAGTGAGCTCTCTGGGAGCACAGAGCCAAAGCTGCTGGAGGTCCAGACAAAAACTTATACTCCTATGTTCACAGCATAATGTCTCCCAGTAGCAAAAGGTAGAAACAAGTGTCCATCTACAGATGGCTGGATAAACCAATGTGTCATATCCATATGTCAGAATAGTACTCAGCCTTAAATAAAGGAATGAGGTACTTACACAGGCTACAACACGGATGGACCTGGAAAATCTTACACGAAGTGAAGTAAGCCAGACACAAAAGGCCTCTTAGTATATGATTAGAATATGATTTCATTCATATAAAATATTCAGAATAGGCAAATCCACAAGGCAGAAAGTAGATTCGTGATTTCCAGATGACAGAATTTCAAGACACATTACCGCCAAAATATGGCACCTTGGCACAGTGAATATTTTAAGCTGAAGGAATATTTTAAGCTAAAGGAATTTGAGAAAGTATGTGCAGGAAGGATTTTCTGACCTTCCCCTGAAGCAGGTCATAAGAGTCTCATGTGAGAGGTGCCCTCCTATACCCAGAGGAAAGAAACATCTTCCTCTCTGAAAACACAAGGACACTGATTTTGAACAAATAGACCTTGCTAAGTTCCTCCCAGTTTATCGCTGTTAGATCACACTCTTTTTGTTCTATTTCTCCATGATGGTCCATTCTTCATCAAACCTAGCATAAAACTATTCAGGTTTGGCTATTTCTCGGGACTCTATTTTCTTATGAAGTTTACTGTGTCACACAAAACTTATATTAAATACATTTGTTTGCTTTTCTCCTATTAATCTCCTTTTTGGTGTGGGACCTCAGCCAGGAATGGAGGACAGGTAGAGAAAAAAGATATTTTTCCTCCTCTCCACAGGGTGGAAAGGAAGGGAAAAGGGAGAGTGACTGCCAAAGGGTATGGGTTTCCATTTGGGATGATGATAAAGTTCTGATGATGGCTGCAAAATATTTGAATGTACTTAATGCTGATGAATTGTACACATTAAAATGGTAAATTTTATTTTATGTGTACTTTGCACAATTAAAAAATATAAAAAAATAAAAGCGGCTGAAGGGAGGACTGGAACCAACTATGGATTTGCTGGAAAGCCCCCTGGCATGCAGACAAGAGAGCCACATTGAAGGGGACTCATGTTCCCCGATCCACCAGTCCCACAGCCTGGTTACTGCCACAATTCGTGGCTTGAGAAGTTCTGTCACACATCTAGAAGAAGGGATGAGCTTCAAAAGAATTAGACTTAGGTTCAAAACCTCAGCTCTGCTACTCCTGAGGTGTTTTGATCTTGGCAAATTTTTCAGGCTCTTTGCCTCCATTTTCTGTTCCAAAAAATAAGGTAAATATTAACCCACTGAGGAGCTGGCACGGTGATTAAATGAGATAATATGCATGAAATGCCTGGCACTACCAAAAAATTTTATCTATTACTCTTGAAAACCCAAGATGAATAAAATTTCCAAATCAGTTATAGTCATGAGAAACTGAATGTACCCATGGACAATGGCCAGACAGTATATAAAAATAGACCTCTGACCCACAACCTGCAGCAACCTACCCAGGAAACCAACTCCTTATCTACAATAACCACCCAAGGAAGCCAGCGTGCCATAATTCAGACTTGCAGGAAGTCAGACTGCTATCTCTACCAACAATCCAGGAAGCCAAAGCAATAACCCCTATAGCAATTGGCCAAATGACCAGGACTTGATTGATAACTGACAGTTCTCTAATTTTTGTCCCTGCTTCTAACTCTGGACCAACGAGGCAAAGCTGTAGGGGAGAAAAAAATAATAATCATCTTTCTTTACCCATTGTAGCTTCTCCAGCTGGAGCCCTATACATTAGGCAAGTAAAAGGTTAACAAGAAATAAAACAGATGATGTTTACTGACATGTGCATCACACATACACGTGGGAGTAGGCAGTGATGAGTAACCTAAAGGTTATCTTAGGCCAAACAAAGGAAAAGGTGTTTAGGGCTTCAGGGTGAGGGAGGAAAGTATAAAAGAGGAAAAATATATGTTCCTTCTGATGTAGTGCGATGTAGTGTGGGTGAGGCCCAAAGCAGAGCTTAGCCCACAAGGTTCTTGGCTTTGCCTAGGAAAGAATTAAAGGGCCAGCCAGAGGTAGAAGAAAACAGCTTTATTGAAGCAGCAGTGTTACAACTCTGGCAGTGTTACAGCTCCGTGACTGCTCCTGCAGAGCAGGGCTACCCCACAGTCAGGGTAGCAGCTCAGGGCAGTTTTGCAGTCATATTTATACCTACCTTTAATTGCATGCAGATTAAGGAGTGGTTTATGCAGAAATTTCTAGGGAAGGGGTAGTAACTTTTGGGTCACCAGATCATTGTCATGGAAAGGGGCAGTAACTCCTGGGTGTTGCCATGACAATGGTAAACTGATGTGGCACACTGGTGGAAGCAAGGTGTCTTATGTGATCAGGTAGGAGTGCAGATTTGGCTTTGAAGGGTAGCAAAGCATGCCACCCAAAATATGCCTCTTTGGCATATGGACAATTTTGAACTAAAGGCCATTGAGAACCAGTAGATCCAGGAAAAGCTCTAATACGTCTTCCTTTTGTAAAGGAAATTTACATTTGGAAAAGATGTCTCCCTCTCCTGTGCCAGAAAGAAGATGCTTAACAACTCTTACCAATGAAGAAGGCCAGGCTAAAATCGGCATCACAAGACCTATTAAACAACCCTAGGTTACCATACCCTTCCTGGTCATTTTTTGATAACCTGCGATGAGTTTCAGCACATACTACCTGTATTAGTCTATTCTTTTATTGCTATAAAGAAATGCCTGAGACTGCATCATTTATAAAGAAAAAAGGCTTAATTGGCTCACAATCCTGCAGGCTGTCCGGAAAGAATGGCGGCATCAGCTTCTGGGGAGGCCTTAGGAAACTTACAATTATGGCGGGAGGCAAAGTCGAGGAGCCGACACTTCACATGGCCAGGGCAGGAGGAAGGTTGGGGAGGTGCTACCGACTTTTAAGCAACTAAATCTCATGATAACTCACTCACACGCTATCAGGAGAACAGGACTGAGAGGGTAGTGCTAACTTATTCATGACAACTCCACTCCCATGACCCAATCACTTCTCACTAGGCCCCACCTCCAACACTGGGGATTATAATTCAACAGGAGATTTGGTGGGGACACAGATCCAAACCATATCACTACTTTAAAGTATGGCACCTTGACATGTTGATTTTAAGCTGAAGGAATTTGAGAAAGTACATGGACAGGAAAAGACTCTCTGTCTGACCTTCCCTTGAAGCAGATCAAAACCCTTTTGTGCGAGGGGTCCTCCCTATACACAGGGGAAACAAGCATTGGGTATTATCTCTTTGAAGGGACACAGAGAGTAATCTGAGCAAACAGGCTTTTCTAAGATTCCCCGATTTATTACATTTCTCTCATTCTTTTTCTTTACTTTGTCATATTTTCCCACAATGCTTCATTCTTCTCAAATCTACGACAAAAACCATTCAGGTTTAGCTGTTTCTTCAGAACTTCATTTCCTTTTGAAGGCTCCTGTGTCACATAACACATATTAAATAAATTTGTGTACCTTTCTCTTGTTAATCTGTCTTTTGTCACAGGCGTCCCAGCCAATGAACCTAAGATGGGTAGAAATGGGGTAGGAGGTGGTACCGGATATCAGATTAAACTGAAGACTAGCTAAAACAGGGTTGGGGCAGAAGCAGCTTTCCATAAGACATGTGTGGGTGGCTGACTCCCCTGATACAGCAGCCTCTGAATAAATGGCCTTTGCTTGTTCTCCCCTGGTTGGTCTTTACCACAGCCTATAGCTTCACACAGCCGTGATAGGAGCTGGAGACATCTGAAGGCAGTTGGCATCTTCGTCGAGCCCTCTGGCCACTCCATAGCAAGTTAGAGTCTGTGAACACGTCTTCATGGAGCACACATCCTCCTCCACCTCTTCTCTCTTCAAAACCTAAAAGGCGGGCTTCCAGCTCAAGACCGATGGTGCCTTTCTGAAAGTTCTCTGAAATAAAAATGAGACGTTATAAAAATATTATCCTTGAGCAATTAAAAGAACAGGAAGGGGGGAAATCACTAATTTCAACAAATTTCCAGAAGACATAGAAGGGATGCCTGAGTGTTGGCAGGTGGGATGGGCAGAGCAACAGGCGGCTGAATGCAGCAGCTTGGAGCACAGGAGGGAGTTAGAGAGAAGACCGGGGACCATCTGCACAATGTAACTCACGGAGGGGAAGCGTGGCTGCCTAAAATGAACGGGTTCATTGAAAGCCTGTGTTTAGCAGATCTGCTGGTACCACCGCACCCCGTAAACAGAGCTCAGGCAGCTGATACTTATCACCAGACTGTCCCCGCTCCACCAAAAAACAAGAAGAAAAGAAAAAAACCCTCTTTTCTAAAGAAACCAAAAATATTTGTTAAAAATATTAACTGTAGTCAAGAGTCTCTTTAGACAAATTATTTTTAAGTAATAATTTCTTTAAAATTTTGCAGAGAAGAGCAGTGGATACTGGACTTGGGAATTCCTTTAACAGGAAATTGAATTTTAAACAAATCAATCTATTTTTTTAAGGAAATAAGCCTTATGTGGGTTGCTCTGTTATCCCCAGCCTGGACCTAAGCTGTTTCTACTCCACGTTCAGGCATGTTCAAGCATGCCTAACACAATTTGGGGGCTGTTGGCCAGAAATCTATATTCGGAAAGCCTGAGGGTCCAGGCAGAACTCAGTGGAAAAGAAAAGTGTCAGGGAGGCAGTGTGACCCGTAACAAGGGTTTCCCAATCAGAGGAGAAAAATGATGGTGTGTACAGCAAGCCATTGTTTCCAGGCCAGCCTCCCCGGACTGGACTCATACTTGCTTTTCAAAGAGACTAAAATCAAGTTCTGTTAGGACTGAAAGCTCCCAGCACTCTAGCGGAGGAAACACCATTCTGTCACCTAATAAAGAGAGGGTATCAGAGAGGAAGAGGAGGATTCTCCCCACTCTGGGGCCCGAGTCCCTCCAGAGCCCTGGTGTGTGAATAGCTGCAGTGTCCAGGGGAGGGCAGGATGCAGCGCCTAGCTGAGGAAGCAACAGAGCGCAAGAAAGAAGCAGCACAATGGATGCCTCCCCAGGCCTGAAGACCCTCTCACGGGGCCAGGACTATCCTTCCTCACGAGCACACCCTGGACCCCCAGGAACAACTTCAAATGCTGCAGTTGGAGGCAAAAAAACCCTGTAGCACAGAGGTTGTAAATAAACTTGTTAAATTAACTTTAGCCTAAAGGTGTCTCCTTACCTATTTTAAGTTTGGCCTACAGGTTTTTCTATGCATAGTGAACTACAGTCTGACTGGAGGTATACAGAGACTATAACTTACTCTTATGCCAATCACTGAGTTTTGGCCAATAAAGGCAGCCAACTGTTCAAACTGTGTTCAAATAAGACAAATGCTGAGCTATAACCAAGCTGGCTGTTTCGTTTGTTTGTTTGTTTGTTGTTTGTTTTTTGAGACAGGGTCTCACTCTGTCTCCCAGGCTAGAGTGCAATGGCGTGATCTCAACTCACTGCAGCCTCAAACACCTGGGTTCAAATGATTCTTCTGCCTCAGCCTCCCGAGTAGCTAGGACTACACACTACCATGCCCGGCTAATTTTTGTATTTTTAGTTGAGATGGGGTTTCACCATGTAGCCCAGGCCAGTCTCAAACTCCTGGCCTCAAGTGGTCTGCCCACCTCGGCCTCCCAAAGTGCTGGGGTTACAGGCATGTGGCACTGCACCCAGCCCCAATACGGCTGTTTCTGTACCTCACTTCTGTGTTTTGTATATCACTTTCCTTTTTCTGTCTATCATTGATCAATCAGTATTAAATGTGAAGAGCAAAGAAAAAGAATCCTTGTCTAAGCCTAACTTAAGAGCCCATCTATTTCAAGCAAAATGATCTATTATCAAATTAACATCCAACCAGAGCATTTTAATAGCCCCTTAGTGTTGTTGTTTCTTAAGAAATTAATTCCTGTGCTAAGAAAATGTGCAGAATTCAAGTCTGTAAACTAGGTGACTATGTTTCAAACAAAATGTCATATCCTTTTGCAAAATAAATACTGGCTATCGATTTGATAGTGATAAATGATTATTATTCACTCATTGCCTTACTTCTCATTTCTATTATAGCCTCATAAAATTGGCAGTCCAGGCCGGACACCGTGGCTCACGCCTGTAATCCCAGCACTTTGGGAGACTGAGGCGGGTGGATCACGAGGTCAGGAGTTCAAGACCAACCTGCCCAAGATGGTGAAACCTCGTCTCTACTAAAAATACAAAAATTAACCAGGCATGGTGGCACATGCCTGTAATCCCAGCTATCGAGAGGCTGAGGCACAGAATTGCTTAAAACCCGGGAGGCAGAGGTTGCAGTGAGCCGAGATCACCTGGGTGACGGAGCAAGATTCCATCTCAAAAAAAAAAAAAAAAAAAAAAAATTGGCAGTCCAGTGTGACAAAGATTATGTGCTTGGCCAAACTTTAGTTGGACTTCTGAATTTTCTCCTAGGCCCATCTATGCGCTTTCTTGTAAAATCCAGTTTTAGCAAAGAACCCTGGTAAGTCAGTTTAGCCAGAACCACCCAGTCCTGGGTATCTAATCATCCTTGATATGTGTTCAGGTTCCCCATCCTCCACCACCCACCAGGTGATGTCAGGTCACCCTGGCCTGTCTTCAGCAAGAATCCTGTTAGGTGGGTTTAGCCAGGATCCCCCTTACTCGTATTGTTTTCTGTTGGTAATTTTCCACCCACTGACCCTCACCCTGTTCTTTGGCTATAAACTCCCACTTGCCCATGCTGTATTCAAAGTTGAGCCCAGTCTCTCTCCCCAGCTGCAAGACCCTGTTGAAGTGGTCCATGTGCCTGTCACAATGGTCCTGAGTAGTCTTCCTTACTGATATGGTTTGGCTGTGTCCCCATCCAAATCTTATCTTGAGTTGTAGCTCTCATAATCCCCACGTGTTGTAGGAGGGACCTGGTGAGAGATAATTGAATCGTGGGGGTGGTTTCCCCCATTCCCCCATATTTTTCTCATTGTAGTGAATAAGTCTCACAAGATCTGATGGTTTTATAAGGGATTTCCCCTTTCACTTGGTTCTCATTCTCTCTTGGCTGCCGTCATAAGGCAACTAAGACATGCCTTTCGACTTCCACCATGATTGTGAGGCCTCCCCAGCCATGTGGAACTGTAAGTTCATTAAACCTCTTTTTCTTTATAAATTACCAAGTCTCAGGTATGTCTGTATCACAGCATGGAAATGGACGAATACACTTACCATGCTTTACCGAGTGTCATTGGGTAATTTTTTTCTCTTGCAACTGTCATTGTGAAGAGCAAGTCTCCAGAGCCATGTTGCAAAGGTGAGAATCCCATTTCACAAAGTGAACTTAGAGGTTTCTGTTTCTCCCTTTGATTCCTCACTTGTATAATGGAAGTACAAATACCACCTTCATCAAAGAATTACCAAGAGGAGTAAATGAGCTAATAATAGTATAGCACTTAAAACAACAAAACAATTCCTGAAACACAGTGGGCAGTCAATAAATGTTATCAAAATCACTGGCATCCTAGAAAGGCAGAGCTGGCAGGTACTTTAGGGGCCATCCAGCCCCTTTATCTGCAGCTGATGAATCTAAATATAAAAAAAAACTGTTGGAGCCAGAGCTTGGACTTCAAATCAAGCTCCCTTTCATGCTTAACTGAGAATTTCTTTGACACAAATTATTTGAGTAAAGCAGAAAGCAAGAGTTGTTTATTCTATGAGTACTTAGAAGATTGCCTTGAAAGAATTCCTGGACAACTGGCTTAAAATGTTATTCTCTTAGGAAACAGGACACAAACACAGCTTTTCGCCAGATCTACGGTGCTGTGGGGAACAGTTTCAGGACCCAGAATGTCAGGAGATTTGTAGGTCTCTAAATGTCATAAACTCCCACAGGGCCAGATCTACATACACACCGAGGTCAATTGGAGTCATCCTAACTGCCTGCCCAAAGAAACTTCCGGTTTTCTCAGAGCATGAGAAAGATCTCGTCTTGCAAGAGAAAGATCTCGTCTTATACGTGGTGCTGTTTCCTGCAGATCCTGCTTAAAACACTGAAGAACCTTCCAACACCACACACAGCTTTAACGAGAAGCTAATCCAACACGTGTAATATATTACACAATAATTAATTTAAATGCCTAAGTTTCAAATTCACTCTTTTTGAAAATTAGGGCAAATCCCAAGTTTTCCCCGCATAAATATGGCTTTCACTCGCCTGTATTTTGGTGTGCCTTTCCAGCATGAGATAAGGGAGTGGTGACAGCTGACAGACCAAGGTCTGAACGTGAGAGCTCATCACACGTTGGCTGACGGGTACACATGTCGCAGCAGAAAAGATGCCCCACCTGGGTTATAACCGATAGGCAACACGTATGGTTTTAGAAGTTTAGTCTAGGATGATTTTCCCTGCATGGGTCACCTTACTCTTGCTCTTGCAAAAATCAGTAAAACAGCTCAGCCAAGTCCAGGTCTAAATTCTCAACTTTTTAGGAAAAGCATTGCCTCCCTGGAGAAAATAGAATGTTTTTCCTTGTTGATGACGTTAGAATCCTGCCTTTAGGATTGTTATGAGGATTCTAGTGCACGTTTACAGCATGCCTGACAGAGTAGGTGCTCAATATATATATATATAACTTGTAAGGCGAGTACAGCTATCACAGTGCCTCTCCTTTTGAGGAAACTGAGTCTTAGAGAGATTCAGAAGCACCAAGATCACAGACCCAGTAAGAAGTAGAACCAGGCTCAGTGCTGTGGACTCATAGACTCAAAGCCACAGACTTGCCAAGAGAAGCCTGGCGAGGCTAGGACAGTGGCCATGGATAGTAAAGACGGCTAAGCTAACACAGCCATGGCTAACTTAGACCTCCTGACAATTTACCCTCAGCACAGAACCTTCTGAGAAAAAAAGGTGATAATTCAGGTGGGAGAATGGAGACACTTTCCTGAGAATTCTTAGAGGAGTTTGAAACAAAAGTCTGCTCACTTGTGCTGTTTGGGGTTGGGGTTGTGGGGATAACTTTCTGAGGAAAAACAAGGCATGGAAAACGAAGCCCAGAGGCTTCAAGGGGTGCTCCCTCATTCACCCACAAATGATCTGCTGTCCTAGGCAGGGCTTGCAGGAACCTGTGGTGTCAATGGATCCCCAACAAAGCCCTCCTTTAGGTGAACCCTCTACTACCCAGCCCCAAGCCCTGCTTCCTCACCTGGCTCTCATCTCCAATAATTAAAAACACCCTGGAGGAAGGAAGCAGAGAAAGTGTGAAATCTACAAATGAAGCCAAAATAAAAGTGCAGAAAAGTTAACGTTTAAGATTCCCCACCCTCCATTCATAAGGCCCTGTTTGGGGAATACAGGATGCAGGGGAGGGGAAGGAGTTATCACTTAACTGTTGGTGAACTTGGTTGGTGGATTAAGGAATCCTTTTGCTCCTTGGCTAATTTCACAATTTGTCTTTTTTTTTTCTCTCTGAAGCGTATCTTTGTAGCGGGTTTAAATGTTTTCTGCTCTGGGTTTAAATATTTTCTGATCATACTCTGCTCTGATTTTGCAAAGTTCTTGGCATATGGCCACTTAATAATGGTTTCTCGGGTTTTAATCAGTATCAGGAAAGTGGGGCAGGGCAGGTTGAAGAAGACCTTATTCTTGGAGGCCACGTGGGTAATGCCATGATCCAGTCACTGACTCCCCACGCCATGTGGCCTTACGGACATCATTGAAGCTTTCTGAATTTTTTTATTTCATTACCTCTAAAAGCAAAACAAAACATATTGAATATTGCTTTACAATTATATAAATAAATTAGACATTTTTAAAAAAGCAAACATACCATGAATATTTGGATCATTTCCATCTGCATGGAAGCTTAGTGCAGCTCCTCTTTTAAGAAAAAAAAAAAGATAATCCCACCATCTTCTGCTGTAGAGAAAAGACAATAACTCCCAGAGGTTCTTAGTTGGAATTGATCCGGGTTACCAATGACCGATCAATGAGAAAAAAAAATCAGAAGTTTAGGCATGTGTACATTTTATTTATACATGGAAGACACCTAGAGAATGAGTAGTTCTCAAAGAGGTGGCTTTGAATTCCAGCCTATACAGCACCCTCAAAGAATAGTAAATTTTTAGAGAAGTGACAAGACAAAGAAAAAGGACTTTGAGTCTCTACTAGCAGCAAAAAAGCAAAAAAAATGGCAGATAAGGGCTAGCCAGTGAAGCTTGTTAATGTAGATTTCTCTGGTACCATCTCCAGGCTGATAAACATTTAAAGGTGTCTTCAGTGGTTAAGCTTTGTTCTCCCTGGTAGAGAGGGGCCAGGTTACCTTTTGTCTTTCCAAATCTATGCCCTGCTTTTAGGCAAATGGAGGGCGGGCAGAGAGCTTTCCTGCATCTGCTTATTCTTAACTGTCTTCAGCTCAACAATTCTTTATATTTGGGGGAGGCATATTCTGGTCTCCCACTCTGCCATGTTTTGCTACTTTCCTTCTCAGCTGACCTTGCAAGAGGGTTAGCCATGCTTTCTCCACTTTCTCACTTCTATTCTTATGCCCCCTTCCATCCAGCTTGCATCTCTGTCACTCCAAAAACCACTCGACAAAGTTGACAATGACTTCTATTTGGCAAATGGCAATGGACAGATCTTTCCCTGTCTCATCTTGCCCTCTCAGAAACATTCATGACAGTGAATCACTCTTGTCCCTCTTTGCTTCTTTGTCCCATATTATCCTTGCTTTTCCTCCTACCTCTCAGTCTAGTTGGTTCTTCCTCCTCTGTAAAATCACCAGATGGATGGGCCCATCTCCTTTCCATTTCTTTCCTTAGAAGATTTCATCAATTCTCATGGTTAAAATTATCCATGTGCTGATAATGTCAAAATATATTTTTCATTTCAGATTAGTCCTCTGAGTTCCAGACTTTAATATCTGACTACTTACTTGTCATCTGTACTTTGATGTATCACAAAATTAAATGTCTCCTCTTTCCCATCAATAACTAATTGTCCATCAACCATCGATCATATCCATCTCTGTAAATGACACCACACTCTGCCTGAACCAAAAATCTATCTTAAATCTACCCATCTGTCTCGACCTCCACTGCCCTCCTGGCCCAAGACAGATCTTCCTGGTTCCATCTTTGACCCTTTCCATCTTTGCTCCGGAGCAAGAGTGATCTTAAAATGTAAATCAGAGTGGCATATTATCTGCTTAAAACTCTTCAATGGCTTAAGTTTGTTCAGGATGCTGTAATGAAACACCTTAGATTAGGTAATTTGTAAACAACAGAAATTTACTACTCATGGTTCTGGAGCCTAGGAAGTCTAAGATCAAGACACCGGCACATTCGGTGTCTGGTGAGGGACCACTTTCTCTTAGATGGCAACTTCTACGTGCCCTTACGCAGCAGAAGGGGCAAACAAGCCTCCATGGGCCTCTTTCATAAGGGCCCTTATTCCATTCATGAGGGCATAACCTTCCCGAGGCCTTATCTCTCACTACTCTTGCATTGGAAATTAAGTATCAACATATGAATTTGAGGGGGAACATTGACATTCAGACCATAGCACTTCCCATTGCATTTAGAATAAACTTTTAGCCCCTACTAATGGCCCTCCCTCACCTGGCTTCCACTCATTCACTCTCTCCAGCTGCACCCCACCCCACTCTGTCCAGCCACATCCCATCCCACTCTCTACAGCCCACTAGGCTCAGTCCCTGTGCTTTCTCAATGCCTGGATTTCTTATTTCTCCTTTTCACCTGTGGAAATAAATGAAGACCAACCAAATGACAGCAAGCAAAGGCTAGCTGCTTAAAGCTTGCTAGAAGGGAGTTAGCCATCATCACTTGTATTTTGACAGAGACTCAGAGACAGGAAGAAGAGTGGGACAGTTTTACAATGGAAAAAGGGAAAGCTTCACGTGTGCCCTGATTGGAGGCAGTTGGCGTAAGGAAGCTGCAGGTAGGCTAAAAGTGGGGCATCCTATGATTGGTTAGGGGAACATGCTTAGCCTTCTTTGATTGGTCCTTATTTATTTATTTATTTATTTATTTATTTATTTATTTATCGCTCAAGACAGGGTCTCACTCTGTCACCCAGACTAGAGTGCAGTGGTGCAATCTTGGCTTACTGCAACCGCTGCCTCCTGGGTTCAAGTGATTCTCCTGCCTCAGCCTCCTAAGTAGCTGGGATTACAGGCATGCACCACCACACCCGGCTAATTTTTTGTATTTTTAGTAGAGACAGGGTTTCACCATGTTGGCCAGGCTGGTCTCAGACTCCTGACTTCAAGTGATCCACCCACCTCGGCCTCCCAAATTGCTGGTATTATAGGTGTGAGCCACCGTGCCCGGCAGAGTGGTCCTAATTTAGAAACAGGAACAAAACTTAGGTAAACTGCCGTTTATCTTCATTTAGTCCCCTCATGTATTCCTGTCCATTTTAAGCCAATTGTCATATGGATTTTGCTTGGCTTCTCTGATTGTTAACAATTGTGAGTGGTCTGACTTCCTATAAATCTGACTTACAGAAAGTTGCATGGCTTTCTGGGCTGGTTAATGAAATGGTTTCTTGGGCAGGTTGCTGCAGATTGTAGATCAGAGTTCTATTTTTCTATGTGGTCTGGCCATGGCTAGTCTGTATTTCTTTTTTTTCTTTTTGAGACAGAGTTTTGCTCTTGTCACCCAGGCTGAAGCGCAATGGCGCAATCTCGACTCACTGCAACCTCTGCCTCCCGGGTTCAAGCGATTCTCCTGCCTCAGCCTCCTGAGTAGCTCAGATTACAGACATGCGCCACCACTCCCACTAGTTTTGTATTTTTAGTAGAGACAGGGTTTCTCCATTTTGGTCAGGCTGGTCTCGAACTCGCGACCTCAGGTGATCCACCTGCCTCGGCCTCCCAAAGTGCTGGGATTACAGGTATGAGCCACCGCAACCAGTGCAGTCTGTATTTCAGTCTCTCACACCTCAAGGCCTTTTCCCATGTTGCTTTCTCTGCATAAAGATCTCTTCCCTCATTGATCACTGATGCTCCTTCTCCTCTTTCAGGTCTCAGTGTAAATGTCGCCTTCTCGGGGAGGCCTTCCAAGACCACCATATCCAAACTGTGTCTCTTGCTTTGTTCTCCACCTATTTCCCATATTGTAGTTGTTTCATTTGCAAGACTTGCCAAAATTTGTAATTATTTGTTTTACTTGACATTTTTATCCATCTTCCTGATTAGAATTGAATATGCCACCCCAAAATATGTTATTTTGGCATATGAATTATTTTAACCTGAAGATAACTAAGAATCAATAGATGCAGAAAGAGTTTCCTGCCCTCCCCTTATATGCGAAAAGTAGGACATATCTCCCCTTGAGGAAGGTAATCCTCCTTTACCAGAGAGAGAAGAGTGGCTCTTCTTATTCAAGACAGGGAATTAACACCAAGATAAGTTGGTATAAATGGATCTTACTAGAATAGCCCTTGTCTTCCTTTAGTCCCTGATATATTTTCTAGACACTTCCCTACAATGTGTCATCCTTTTTAGCCCAAGCTCTGTTTCATACCAAAACCCTCTTATATACCTCTTGAAAGGGCATATGAGCCCCCAAATCTAACCACTATTTTGAGTTCCATTTCTTTCCTGTGAACTCTTGTGGACATAAAACTGTGTCTCTTTTCTCTTGTTAATTTTTTCTGTTAGTTTAATTTGCAGCCCCCCCACTTTTTTTTGGGTTTTTTTTGGGGTTTTTTTTGAGACAGAGTTTCACTCTTGTTGCCCAGACTGAAGTGCAATGGCTTGATCTCGGCCCACCACAACCTCCGCCTCCCGGGTTCAAGTGATACTCCTGCCTCAGCCTCCCGAGTAGCTCAGATTACAGGCATGCACCACCAAGCTTGGCTAATTTTGTATTTTTAGTAGAGACAGAGTTTCTCCATGTTGTTCAGGCTGGTGTTGAACTCCCGACCTCAGGTGATCTGCCTGCCTCAGCCTCCCAAAGTGCTGGGATTACAGGCGTGAGCCACCATACCTGGCCAAGGAGTTTCTAAAGAGCAATGTTTGTTGAGGAGTCAGAGGGGTCATGGAAGAAAAGACAGAAAAGGGAAGCAAGACACAGATCACAGAGAACTTTGTGTAATATACTTATGAGTGTAATTCTTATCCCATGGGCCAGCATTTTTCAAAGCGTGGCCTGTATCAGAATTATCTAACTAAGGTCTATTTGTGACTCAGCTTCCTGGGCTTTCCTTCCAGATCTATTAGATCTAAATCTTTAGACAATAGAAAGCCACCGAAACTATTTAAGATGAGATGGTCAAATTTAAGGTGAAACTTTAGATCAGTTTTATCCCTAGTAAAGAAAGTAGTTGAAATCTAGATTTAAACATTTTCTTTTCTGTTGCTCAAAGGCTCATTGACTAAAATAATACCTGGACCAGGATTCCTTCTCAGTAAAAGTTTAGGAATACCGTGAATTTTTGTAATGGGAGAGGGAGTATCTTCCGGGAAGTAAAGAGCTGGAGAATTTCATCCTAAGCCTCATCCTGCCCCCTCCTTAGCCAGCTTACCTCTCCTATGATTACAATACCCTTGTGGGATGAATTGAGCCCCTCTTCCCCCAAAAATTTATATGTTTATGTCCTAGCTCCCAGTACTTCAAAATGTAACCTTATTTGAAGATAGGGTCTTCATAGAGGTACTAAAATTCAAAGGAGGTAGTTGGGGTGGGCCCTAGTCCAACATGACTCATGTCCCTATGAAAAGGTCAAATTTGGGCCAGGCGCGGTGGTCCACCCCTGTAATCCCAACACTTTGGGAGGCTGAGGCGGGCGGATCACGAGGTCAGGAATTCAAGACCAGCCTGGCCAACATGGTAAAACCCCCTCTCTAATAAAAATAATACAAAAAAACTTAGCTGGGCATGGTGGCAGGTGCCTGTAATCCCAGCTACTCTCAAGGCTGAGGCAGGAGAATCATTTGAACCTGGGAGATGGAAGTTGCAGTGAGCCAAGATTGCGCCATTGCACCACTCCAGCCTGGGCAACAGGGTAAGACTCCATCTCAACAACAAAAAAAAAAGGGCAAATTTGGAAACAGTCATGTGCAAGGGGAGAGCACCACATGGAGATGAAAGCAGAAAACCTGGTGATGATTCTACAACCAAAGGGCTGCCAATGATTGGCCCAGGAGAGAAGCATGGAAGAGATCCTCCCTCACAGTCCTCAGAAGGAACCAACCCTGACTTGATCTTGAACTTCTGAACTTCAGAACTGTGAGACAATGTCTGTTGTTTAAGCTGGCTAGTGTGTGGCACTTTGTTACAGCAGCCCAAGGAGACTAATTTGGACACCAAAACACAGACACAGCCTGGCCCCTAGTATATAACCTCAGAGATTTTACAAATGAGTAATAAATCAAATAATGAGAGAACTCAGGCTCTTGGTCACTCTAGTCACGGAATGTTTATAAATAATTTGTAGTAGCCAGGCGCGGAGGTTCATGCCTGCAATCTCAGCACTTTGGGAGGCCGAGGCGGGGGGCATTGCTTGGGCCCAGAAGTTTGAGACCAGCCTGGGTAACAGAGTGAAACCTCATCTCTACAAAAAAAAAAAAAAAAAAAAATACAAAACTGAGCTGAGCACAGTGGTGCACATGTGTAGTCCCAGCTACTCGGGAAGCTGAGGTGGGAGGATCACCTGAACCTGGGAATGCTGAGGCTACAGTGAACCGTGATCGTGCAACTGCACTCCAGCCTGACAGAGCGAGACCGTGTCCCCAAAAAATAAAAAAAAATTTGTAGACTGGGTGTGGTGCCTCACGCCTGTAATCCCAGCACTTTGGGAGGCTGAGGCAGTTGGATCACCTGAGGTTAGGAATTCCAAAACAGCCTGGCCAACACTGTGAAACCCCATCTCTACTAAAAACAAAAAAAGTAGCCAGGTATGATGGCAGGTGCTTATAATCCCAGCTACTCTGGAGGCTGAGGCAGGAGAAGCACTTGAACTCTAGGAGACAGAGGTTGCAGTGAGCCAAGATCACACCACTTCACTCCAGCCTGGGTAAAAGAGCGAAATTCCATCTCAAATAATAATAATAGTAATTTGTAGTGAATATATGGCTTTCCTTCCTTTCCTCTGAGAAACAATCCCTTTCCTACTGTGCTCCCAGCAGGATGAAAATCTTGGTACCCACTGCCCTCTCCCAAAGGCAAGCATGTGACCTAAGCTAGTCAGAGAACAAGTGACTCTGGAGATTATTTCAGAGCTGGGCATGTGACTCAATCCAAGCCAACCAGGTCCCAAGACTTCTCCGCTGGAGCTAGCAAGAAAGTTATTCTTGGCTTTGAAATCTAGGTATTGGGAAAATGGGCAGCTGGAGCTGATGGCAGCCCCCTAACCCAGGATGCATACGCAGGTTATCCACCTGCAGGATGGGAGAAATTGATCAGTATGTATTAGGAAGCAGAGACAGGAAAGAGAGAAAGAAAGAGAGGAAAGAGGATGACAACACCTTTAGTCTTCACTGTGCTCCAGCCAGATCAATTGCTGCTCCCTGCTTGTGAAAGTCAATAAATTTCCTTTCTGTCTAAGCTAGTTTAAGTTATGTTCTTCTCATTTGCAGGCAAAAGCATACTAGGGAATTCAATGTTATTACTCTTAAGAACAGCTGTCAATAAGCTGTGCATAGCTATAACTGTGCTTTTCCTAGGGAATCCCTGCAGAGGAACACAGTGTACGTGAGTTACTAACATCTATTTTCTTTGAACTATTCCCATTGCACCCGTGGTTTACATGGGATACAGAAATGTTCCATGGTCCTGCACGGCACACTTCGTTTTTAACCTTTCCTGTCATTTAAGTAACTCCGATGCATCAAGAATCATGTGAATTTGTGTTCAGAGCTCAGTGGTTCCAGAAAATTGAAGAAAACACAACAACTGGTGCCATTGTCACCCTGCTCCACCCTTACCCCTATGCAATACCTATGCCTCCTAAATATACATGGAAAAATATCAATTTATGTCTCATAGTGACCTTGTTTGAAGAGTGCCTCAGAGCCACCTCTAGAGATGGGGGATTTGGCCTTTTGTAGCCCACCTTCTGTTCAATGAGGGAAGCTGTGCCTTGAATTACTTTGTTTATTGGAATATATATTTGAGTTACTTTGCATTACTTATATATTGGAGTAAAGTAATTATATATTTCAATATAATTTAATAAAGTAGCAGAAACTGCTGCTAGGTCCTGAGTACCTATGTTTATTGCATCAATAAATGAATAAGAAGGCATTACGGGACTGAGATTAGCACCCCTACCCCAACATCTCCTGCCCTGTTGTGCCTGCAGAGTAGCTCTGACTATGGGTCGAGGTACCTGAGCAGAGGTACTGCAGTGGGTGGCTGGGGGCCCTGGCAGGTGGAATGAATCCTTGCTCTGCCATGAACTAGTTACACAGCCTTGGATAAGTTACTCAAGTCCTTGAGCTTCCTCAGCTGTCAAATGAGGACAGTATCAGTAAGTCCCTCATAAGACTGTAGTAAGGACTGAATTCCTCTAAGCGTACACAGTCTTGACAACAGTTCCTGGCATAGCCAAAGCCTGCGGAGAGTCCAAGGCAGGCAGGGTCTTTGCCAGCCTCTCCCACTCTGCCAAAAGCCATTCTGCACACAGGATATGTTGAGAAAAGGACAGTAAGGCTGGAGAGCTGTGAAAACCAGGGGGAATGTGTATCACACACATCTGTATTGTGCAGTGCAGGATGGGTGGCTCATTCCTCTGCACACATTTTCTATTAAAAAGAACAAGAAAGAAAAAGAAAAATCCTGGCACCATCCGGTGTATCTGTCCCCTGGGTTTTGTGCAGGGAATGGTTAGCGATGACTAATCTGATATCGAGGTAGCTTGATCGCCAAGGACTTAATTTATGAAGTGTTTAGTACATTCCTGACAAAAATCGGCTCCAAACTATGGACACACGTTCATTCGTGCCTTATGGCTCCCAGCTGCAGTGCTGCAGCTATAAACGCTCATTGTTGGAAGGGTGAAGGAGGCTGGGAGTGGTCGGAATGAGTGAGTGTTCCTACAGAGTGGCCTGGAGAGCAAGGCTCCCACAAGACCTGAGGGCTCAAAAAAATGGGCACCAGCAGGCACGGGGAGGGGGCAGGAGGAGGGCTGAGGGTTGGTCTTGCCTGTTGGAAGTGGCAAAGAACCTGGGGATCATCCTGGTTGCTCACCATCTCTGGAATTCTGCTACTGACAAACTGACAATAGGGAAGAAGAGGCAGAGGTGATTTACTTCTCTACAATTTGTAGATAGGGTTTTGAAGACCTATGACTTCATGGGGTGAATCTGTTTAATAAAAAGTATCCACCATTTAATAGAATGCAAAAAAGAAAAATGTCTAGAAAACAATTTTGCATAGAGCATTCTTTCTGCAGGCTTAGGAAAGGCTGTTTAGCTTGAACTAACTGCCCAGCAAATGAATGAATGAATAATGGACACTTCCTCATTTTGACTTTGGTCAAACTATTTGCCTTCTCTAACCCTCTATTTCCACAGAATAGAGAATAGAGCAGCGTGCCCTGACTGCTCCACAAGATGGTTATTTAGCACAAGCAAGATAACATATATGGAAGCTCTATAAAGCCCATTTCAAATGCAAGGGAACGCCATGGGGTGACAATGTAATCTCGTGGCTGTGTGAAGCTCTGCACCAGTTGATTACGGAGTTGGAGGAGCTCAGGTACTGAAAATTGTGGGAGCACCACTGGTCACCTACAGGCCAAGGCAATGTCAAGTTCAAATAATAGTGTACCCCTTGATCAAACTTTAATGAGATGTAAATGAGGCGTTTTAATAAAGAAATCTTTTTGGTCTCTTAGGTGCAATTTTGGTTGAGCAGTTATCTGAATTCTAAGATGACAAGGAAATATGTACAGCAGCTAGGGAGTTTGCAGTGTTGTTACTAAATTTCTCTTTGTTTGTTTGTTTGTTTTTCTAACTTATGGTTAAGCAAATTTTTATTATGCCCTGACTGTTTTTGCTGACACACATCTTGGCCATGATGGGGTTCAGGACATGCTACCCCAAAATATGGCATGTTGGCATTTGAGAAAACAGCAGAATCAGGAAATTCCCTCTGATTTCCCACCCCCTAACTCTTCTTTCCTGAAGCGGGTCATAGGATTCTCATTCCGGAGGTGCCCTTCCTGTACCCAGAGGAAAGGAACTTTCTTGTCTTTGAAGACACAGAATCAAAGAAAGGAAGCTGAACACACAGACCTTGCTGAGTTTCCCCCAGTTTATTACCCTTAGATCAGACCCCCTTTGTCCAATTATAGTTCTTCACAACTACCCGCTCTTCACCAAACTTTGTATAAAAATACACAAGTTTAACTGTTTCTTTGGGTTTTCATTTGCTTATGAAGGCTCCCATGTCACATAAAACTTATATTAAATAAATGTGTATGCTTTTCTCTTGTGAACCTAGGGATGGGTGAGGAAAAGCTGTTTCTCCTCCCCTACAGCTGTATTTGAAAATGTATGCAAGGCTACAAGGAGCATTTAAAAATTTTTTTTAGAAAGTATTAGTTTTGGTTCCCCCCAGGTAGATTCTAGGACAATGATTTGGGTGTAAGTTGTTTACATGATTGAGTGACTTCCTGCGTGGGCAGCTGGGACTTTTTATAGACCGAATAGAAGATGCTTCAGAATTGTCTCTTCAGGAGGCAAGGAAGCTGGGGTATTTATCCACCAACTCCCATTTATCTCTGCATGAGAGTCCATCCTAGGGATAACTCTCTGGTGCTTCTGGCAAGCTCCAGCACCGACTGAGAATACCCTAGAGGCCAGGTAAAAACACTCAGGCAGAAACAGGGTTTTAGGGAGGGTGTATTTTAGAGTATACAGGAAATACACACCTACGATGCAGAAGAAAGTTTTTTGATTTTTTTCCAGAGTTGGTCAAAATCTATGGGAGGGTCATTAACAGTCTACTACACAAAGAAAGCAAATAAATCTAGAGGAAGTAATGGCCTTAAAGTTATCAATGACACTCATCATTTCCTAACACCTTCCAACCCCTCTTGTGACTTTTTTCAGAGTCTAATGTTTCTGCGATCATGGAACCTAAAAGCAGAAGCTGGGCTTGAAACATGCAATGAATGGGGGCCTTCAGTTTCAGCCTAGGATTTCCTGCATCAGAATTAGTTGGGGCCAGGGGTTGTGGCTCACACCTGTAACCCCAGAACTTTGGGAGGCCGAGGCAGGTGGATTGCTTTAGCTCAGGATTTCAAGACCAGCCTGGGCAACACGGCAAAACCACCTCTCTACAAAATATAGCTGTGCATGGTGGTATGCCCCTGTGGTCCTACCTACTTAGGAGGCTGAGGTGGGAGGAGCACTTGAGCCCAGGAGGTTGAGGCTGCAATCGTGCCACTGCACTCCAACCTGGGTGACAGAAGTCTCCATAAAAAAAAAAAAAGAATCACTTACAGGGTGCCTCAAAAATTTATATTCCTGGGTCCTTCCCAGGCTTACCAAATTTTGGTTGTGGGAAGTGAGGTATCATGGTGTATGCATTTATAATAATTAAGAAAAAATAAGTGATTCTCATAAAAATGACTTCATCTTCAGCCCAGCTTTCTCTAAACCTCCAGCTACCCAGCAGTCACTTGAAATTTCATCACAGCAGTGGAAAATTGTTTAGCCAGAGGCGCAACCTGTAGGACTTAACCCTTGCAAGGTTGCCGGTCGAGGGTGCACATCTGCCTGGGCAGCCCAGAGCACCTTCAGCCACATGGGTTATGGTGCTGAGAAACCCTCCTTCCCTCACACAGCACCTTCCTACCGGGTACACCTAGTATTGCTCTCCTTTCTACCTTTGCAGACCTCAGCTTCCTGCTTTGCTCCATCCATAGTCAAGTTCCATTATCCATCTATGCTGGCTTTGTGGGGAGAGGCAGTGAAAGTAACACGTGGGGAAGGGTCTGGCACAATGTAGAACTCTGGTGGAAAAATCATTTTGAGCTCTGCTCAAAAACTATCAATAGAAAAATTGAATGGGTCTTTGTGTCTTGGGTCTTTGTTATCTTTGTTGTCTGTCTCTTTCCATCTTCCTCTTTCTCTTTTCACAGTCTGATGTAGTTTGGATATTTGTCCCCTCCAAATCTCATGTTAAAATGTGATTCCCAGTGTTGGAGGTGGGGCCTGATGGGAGATGTTTGGGTCAGAGGACGGATTCCTCATGAACGGTTTGGTACCGTCCTCGTGGTAATGAGTGAGTTCTCACCCTATTAGTTCCCCTGAGATCCAATTGTTAAAAAGAGCCTGGCACCTCTTCCTCTCTCTCTTTCCTCCTCTCCCACTATGTGACGCCTGCTCCCCTTTCACATGAATGGAAGCATGCTGAGGCCTTCCCCAGAAGCAGATGCTGGCGCTCTGCTTCCTGTACAGCCTGCAGAACTGTGAGCCAAATAAACCTCTTTTCTTTATGCATTACCCATTCTCAGGTATTCCTTTATAGCAACACAAAACAGACTAAGACATACTCTCTACCTCCCCTCTGCTACCCCCATCCTTCCGTAACATTTCTTCTGGTTTCTGACTCCCTTCAACCCATCCCTCCTCCTCCTTCTTTATATGACTATAATTTATTACTAAATTATTTGTGACTCTGTCATTCCTATTAAACATCATTTTATCTTTCTTTCAATTACAAAGCATGTAAGACATTTCATATTTATGCCTTTGTCTCAAACTACTCTTCTTTGACATCTGTGTTCTAAAGTTTCTTTTTAATGTATGGAGCTCTCAATTTGTTCTTCCTAGTCACTGAGTATTAGGAGGAAAGAAACGTTTCTGAATATACTACTGTGTGCACACACGCACACGCATGCACACACACACACACACATCAGAGTGTCTCGGGGCAGTGCCTTTCTGGACATTAGGTAAAGAACCATGAACTCTCAACCTCACCAACCTGTTTTTGTTTTTGTCATTCACTTACCAATTTCATACATACCTAAAGATGATTAAGTAAAGAGAGCAAATCTAAGAGACTTTTGTTCCAACTCGAGAAAAAAACTGATGTTGCTTTTACATTATGTGGGAGGCCGAGGAGGTAAAATGAGGATCAAGCTGGATTCCACATTGCAAACTGAATCTCCTCTGAAGCCTGGCCCGTGCCGTGAGGGGAGAATTATCCTTTGCTCATGTGATACTGCTGTGAGCCTGAATTTTGATTTAAAGAATGTGCCATCATTCAGAAATGTCAGTTTGTTTGTAGCTCTCTTTACATGGAAGTCTATAAATTAAGGAAGAGTTAAGGAGGAAAAGGGGGATCTGGATAGGAGCGAAAAGGGTGAGTTGTGATGTCTAAAAGGAACAAGTGCTGAGTCTTTGATGATGTATAGCTTATAAAACAAGAAAAGAACAGAGCCAGGAGGACATCAAAAGGCTTTCCTGGCACAATGCCTGTGATGTTAGGTGCCTCGGGAGCCCAGGAACTCTGTAGACTAGACACAGGTTCTCCCAGGCCCATCTTATATCCTAGGGCCATATCAATGGGCACTTCTATTTTAGAGATGAGGAAGTTGAGGACTGGGGATGACCGTGGGAACTACTAGTGGGAGGTCTCCTTGGCTTTAGATTTATGGGCTATGTCTAGTACTTAGAGCCACCCATGCTTTAGTAGTCAATTTATAAGGAGCAATAAGAAGACTTCCTAGAAACTGGGAGAGGAAGGTCAGGAAGTCACGGGAGGTGATGTGGCCAATTTGAAGGAGAAGGTGAATTCACCCGGAGCATTTCTAACCTTCCCAATTTCCCTTCCCAGCCCATACCTCAAAATGGGGAAGACACTGCAGGTCACATTATTATGCCTCCCTCCTTTCCATGCAAAGTCAGAGAAACGGAGATGGGAGGGGAAGGGTTTAATTGGCCAAGCAGTGGTTACATGCCTGTCTACCACACTAGGCCTAGAAAATGAAAGAAGGGATTCACTCAGAAAGCTCGTTTCTCTACTCAACTATCAGGAGAAAAGGAGAAGGCATTTTGGTATAAATACAAGTACACTAGTTTTATTTTTATGTATTTGGTTTTTTTAGATACAGGGTCTTGATCTGTTGCCCAGGCTTGAGTGCAGTGGCACCATCATAGCTCTCTGCAGCCTCAACCTCCTGGGCTCAAGTGATCCTCCCATCTCAGCCTCCCAAGTGTCACTACTGGCACACACTACCACCCTGGCTAATTGCTTTAATTTTTACTTTTTAGAGACAGAGACTCACTATGTTGCCCAGGCTGGTCTTGAACTCCTGGCCTCAAGCAAGCCTCCTGCCTCGGCCTCCCAAAGTGCTGGGATTACAAACATAAGCCACTGTTCCGAGCCTGCACTAGTTTTAATACCACTACTCAATTCAGCCCTTATAGCCACATTGAGAGCATACACAAAGACACACACTCTCCCTTTCTCTCTCTCTCTCACACACCCACACACACATATGTACACACACACTCACTGTTCACAAATCCAGGACATTCAAAAAAGAATGGAGAAACATAAAATATGGAATTGAGTTTTCAGGCCACATTGCCATATATGAAGACTTTGTGCAAATTAGAGAAAGACATACTATCCCCAATGAGCAGATGCCCAGCTTCGTGATTGGTTACTGTCCTTGTGCTACAAAAACGATGCTTCTTCCTCCTTGTGGACACGACCTGTGACAGAGTGTGTAGTGTCAAGAATAGTGTATGTAGGCTGAATATGAGTGCCAACAGATCCCCTCTGCTGGCACATATGAAATATCCAAACTGCCCATGGATACATGGAAGCCTTGAATGTTGGAACCAGGCCCAAATTTTACTCCATTACCTGGACTTGACCTTTCCTCTTCTTTCTGTCTGTCTATGCTTCCCAAAAGGCCCAGGTGTAACTCAGCCTGAAATATATGTCTGCCTGAAATCAGGTCTGGCATTAGTCTTTCACTTTTAGTAAGTCCGAGAGCATCACCGCAGGCAACAGGTGGAGGCGGGGAAGAGACTCCACAAAGAAGAAAAGGGATTTTTCTAACATTGAAGACGGCATCTTATCCCCTGTCCTGCCTCCCCATGAAATCCTCAAATGGTGAACATGGCTGGAAGTTAAAGTAAACACAGACACGTGTGTAACCACAACAATAGACCAAGAAAGACTATATATCTGAAAGCAAGACAAGTCCCAAGCCATCTGCTCATTTATTCAACAAATGTTTGTTGAATCTCTGATATGTGCCCAGGGATGTGATAGAAGCCATGGAAAGAGATGCTTACACAATCTCTGTCTCAAGCATTATCAGGGCTTAATTACTCCAAGGTAAACCAAGGAGGGCTCTTGTGCCCGAACAAAGTATCCCAACAGGGCCCTCCCTGGCATCACCTCCAATCTGAGTTGGAATCTCCTGAGCCACACAAACCAGGATGGCTTGAGGCTGGGCAGATGGCATTGGGTGGGCGGCTCTGGCCAGCCATTGACAAGAATTTCTTTGCCAATTTCCCGTTCCATTAATAATACCTCAGTAATGAGGCAGAAGATGCCTGAGGTGGGTGGAAGAACAAGATGGGTGTGGTAGGATGTGGGAAGGTTTTCCGTGAAACATCAAGAACTTTTCCAAGCCAGAAATCAGAATGGAGCTTTGGGGGCATTTGCTCTGATGTGGTGATGTGTGTCTGTACAACAGAGAAAAGATGTTATTCTTCCCCAAATTAAAGTTAGAGGCAACTTGGAAGCTGCCACTCCTTTTTCATTTTGAGGAGAGCTGGATTCTGTTCAAATCAAATACAACCAAGGGGGACGCCAAGGGAGACGCCAGGGAATGCACCTTCGTCCCTATCTGGAGGCGGGGTTGGCCAGTGCCCCAGCTTCTGGGTCTGGTTTGGGTTTAGTCACTCACGGCTCTGCTCCCCTGCCTAGAAGGCTGCTCAAATCAGTTGACCTGAGCCGCATGCTACCTCCTACCAAGAATCTTTCAAAAACATGCGCTCACCACATGGCAGCTAATTCTACTGGAAACAGCGGGCGAGACTAGGAAATAATTCACACAATCCCCAGCCTAGCCCTCTCTTAAGGCAGTATAAGCCTCAGGGTCATAGCTGTGCTGAAGAGAAATCAATATCACATGGTGTAGTGTGTGCGTCTTATCCCAAGCTTCCCAAAGCAATTACTACAGGAGAGTGCACATGTGCACACACATGCACACACACAAAACCTGTGCCCTTTGCAAACTACCTGGTTTCTTGTCTGTTTTTCAAGAGGAAGAAAGGGTGCTAGATTGGATCTTTGTTTTCCTGACATTTTCTTCTTGGTAAATACCCCGTGGCTCATAAATATGACACCATGGCTTAAAACAGACCCTGAGGAAAAAAAGGGAAGAGTAGTCTGAGCCAGAAGAGGCGAATGCTAACACTGGTGATACCTCACTGACTTCCCTCTAATGTCTTTCTTCTGCTGGACAGCTGCCCCAGGAGCCCACGTGGAGCTGTGAGAAGTGCCTTAAGACTGACCTGGCTTCAAGCTCTAGTCTTCCCACGGTGACAGGAGCGCTTGAGTTGATGCTATCTAAGATCCCTTCCAACTCTGATATTTTACGAGTCTGTGATTCCCTAAGATTTGTAAAACTGACATAGGGTCTTTTATGCACATAAAAAGACACAGAGCCTTTAACTCAACAATTCCACTCTTAGAAATATATCCTAAAAAGATAATCCAACATGTGTGCAAAGCTGTAGGTACAAAAATGTTCGTTGCAGTGTTATTTATGACAGCAAAGAGTTAGGAAACCTTGGTATTCAGCAATAAAAGATTAGTTAACTCAGCATTTCCCAAAGTGTATTCTGTGATATGAATGGGTATTAATAGAAAAGACAAAAAAAAGAAGAACAGGAAGAGATCGTAGCATACCATGGTCATAAATGTTAAAGAAACATCACCATAAACAAAGAATACAGTCAAAAAATTATTTTACTCAGGAACTTCCTTTGCCTTTTATACAGCATATATTAAGCACTCAATAAAATTTGTCAAATGATTGAACAGATGAATGGATATTTGTAGTTGGTAAAAATGCTATTTGCTTCATTTTAAAAAAATTCTTTTTTTTGAGACAGGGTGTGGCTTTAGCGCCCAGGCTGCAGTGCAGTGGCATGATCTCGGCTCACTGCAACCTCCGCCTCCCAGGTTAAAGTGATCTTCCCACCTCAGTCTTCCGAGTAGCTTGGACTACAGGTGCATGCCACCATGTCTGGCTAATTTGTATGTGTGTGTGTGTGTGTGTGTGTGTGTTTTGTAGAGATGAAGTCTCACTTTGTTGCTCAGGCTGGTCATGAACCCCTGAGTTCAAGCAATCCGTCTTCCTTGGCCTTCCAAAATGCTGGGATTACAGGCCTGAGCCACTGCGCCTGGCATGTTTGCTTCATTGTTTTAAGTCATGGAATATGATGTCTCCCAGGATGGTATAGTAATCATTTAAAGAGCATAAAGGGGCCAGGTGCGGTGGCTCACGCCTGTAATCCCAGCACTTTGGGAGGCCGAGGCGGGTAGATCACAAGGTCAGGAGTTCAAGACCAGCCTGGCTAACATGGTGAAACCCCATCTCTACTAAAAATACAAAAATTAGCCGGGTGTGGTGGCATGCACCTGTATTCCCAGCTACTTGGGAGGCTGAGGCAGGAGAATTGCTCGAACCCAGGAGGCAGAGGTTGCAGTGAGCTGAGACTGCGCCACTGCACTCCAGCCTGGCCACAGAGCGAGACTCCATCTCAAAAAAATAAATAAAAATAAATAAAAAGGGCATAAAGGGTAGGAATTAGATTATTATTTCAGACTTTATTTATTTATGGCTTTTTTTCCAGGAAAATATTTTAGGTGGATGAGCAGGATTTACCTTATAAAATTCCTGGAGGTCAAGATATCCTGTCTCTGGCACTTTCTGGATGCAGAACCTCGGCCTGGAGAACAGGCGAGCAGCATAAGATGTTGTTCATGCACCTACTGAACAAGCCTCATCTGTTTTCTATAAAAATGATTAGTTCAGAATGGAAGTGTATATTTGTTTGGAATCCCAGATCTCAGAGTCTTCAGCTAACACCTACTGACACTGCAACTATTCACAGGCAATATGTACATTCTAAATAAGACAAGGGATATTTATATTATTTATGACTCTGAGCCTTTATTCCCAGACTCTTCAGAATCAGATTCCTGGTGAGCTGGGCTGGACCGCATGCGAGTTAAAAAAGGCTTCTTTGTGCTCCTGGCCTTGCTTAATCTAAAAGTATGTTTGTGGCAGAATCAAGAGTTTATAAATGTCTTAACAAACTGGAGCTTAAGACCTAAAGCAAAAAAGTTATTGGCCACAGTAATAATACCTAACATCTATTGAGTTCTTAGGGCATGCCAGCATTGTCCTAAGTGACTTTATATGGATTAACTCATCATTCTTACAGCAATACTACAAGTGTCGAGTACTACTGAGTCAACTGAGTATCACTTTTTTACAGTTGAGAAAAACCGAAGAACAGAGAGGTGAAACGACTTGCCCAAGGTCACACAGCTAATGATAAAACTAGGATTTAGCAGTCTGTGTACAGAATCTACACTCTCAGACATGGCATGATATGGTCTCTTAAATTGCTCCTAGATTATTTAAAACAAATAAACAAATAAAAAACATTGTTCTATTGCAAATTCACAGTATAGATGGGTGACCTTTTAGATAGAGAACTCACCTGATTAGCTACCACCTAGATCACAAAATAGAGCATCAGCCACGGTGCAGAAGCCTGCTGTATAATTACCTCTCCAAAGGTAATCATTCTTTTGACCTTCATCACCATAAGTTAGTTTTGCCTGTTTTTGAACTTTATGTAAGTGGGATTATAACGTGTATGCTGCTTTCAGTCTGTTTTTCTTCTATTCACCATTAAATCTGTAAGGTTTATCCATGTTGTGGAGTGTGTAGCAGTTGCTGGTCCTTCTTCATGTACGTCTCACTGCAGGTTTTTGTGCAACCTGCAAGCTAATAACAGTTTTTATATTTTTTAATAGTCAAAAAAAAACAAAGAAAAAGAATATTTTCTAAAGTGGATTGTATGGAATTCAAATTTCAATATCCATAGATAAAGTTCTAGAAGCACAGCCGTGTTCACTTATGTATCCTCTGTGGCTGCTTTCATTCTTCAAAAGCAGAGATGAGTTGTTGTGACAGAGACTGAATGGCCTGCAAAGTCTAAAAGATTTACCATCTGATCTTTTACAGAAAAAGTTTACCAAACCTACTATGTAGTCTTCCATGGTGTGAATGAATTATAATTTATTAGTTTATTAGTCATTTAGTTGTTGATAGACATTTAGGTTGTTTCCAATGGTAATGGGGGGTGGGGTTATAAGAAACAGTGATGTTATAGGCACCCATGGATATGTCTTTTGGTACACACATACACATTTCTGTTAATATACTGAAATATGGAACTGCTGTGTCTCAGAAGATTCATATGTTTCTCAAAGTGGGTGCACCAATTTACACTGTCAGCAGTAACGCAACTGGCAACTCTGTCATAAATCAGGTGACCAAATATGTGTGAATCTGTTTCTGGACTCTCTACTCCATTGGTCATATTAATAACCTACAGGCTTAATTACTATGGTTTTAGTAGTACATCTAATATGATCCATTGATCATATTAGTAACCCATAGCCTTAGGTACTATAGTTTTAAATACATCTTAAAGTTTAGTACATCTTACTCATCTTTGACGTTGGCTATTCTTAGCTCTGTTTATTTCCATATAAATTTTATTTATTTATTTATTTATGTATTTATTGAGATGGAGTCTCTGTCACCCAAGCTGGAGTGCAGTGGTATGATCTCAGCTCATTGCAGCCTCCGCCTCCCAGGTTCAAGCAATTCTCTGCCTCAGCCTCTCAAGTAACTGGGATTACAGGCATGCACCTCTACATCTGGCTAATTTTTGTCTTTTTAGTACAGATGGAGTTTTGTCGTGTTGCCCAGGCTGGTCTCAAACTCCTGGCCTCAAGTGATCCACCCACCTTGGCCACTCACGCCCGGCCCCATATGTATTGTAGAATCAGCTTGTCAATTTCCACAACTATAAAATCTGCTGGGATGTGACTGGTATTGGATTAAATATATATGAATTTCAAGAAAACAAGATATAACAACTTTGACTCTTTCAGTCCATAAACTTGGCATTTCCTTCCATTTATCATCAGTAACTGTGTGTAGTCTTCTGTGTAGGAGTCTCGAGTATCTTTCATTGGCATTTCCTAGGCATTTGATGTTTTTGATGCTCTTTTGAATGACAACTCTCCATTAATTCTCCAAACTAACAAACAACCTCTGTACACAAAACCCTGAGCACCCACAGAACATCCTTCTGCAAGTCCTCTTTTCATCCCCTCTCTTGTGAGATGCTCTTCTTGCTTTTCCAACTTACCAGGATCCTGATTATATTTGAAATCCAGAAAAAAAAATATATCTCTTACTTGAAATCCTCTCAGGGGCCAGGAGCAGAAGCTCATGTTTGTAATTCCAGCACTTTGGGAGGCTGAAGCATGAGGATTGCTTGAGTCCAGAAGTTTGAAACCAGCCTGGGAAGCATAGGGAGACCTCATCTCTTAAAAAAATTTTTTTTAAGCAGCTGGGCATGGTGGTATGCACCCGTAGTCCCAGGAGGCTGAGGACTGGGAGGCTGAGGTGGGAGAATCACTTGAGCCTAGGAGGTTGAGGCTGAGGCTGCTGTGAGCCACGACCATGCCACTGCACTCCAGCCTGGGCAACAGAGCCAGATGCTGTCTCCAAAAAAGAGGGGAGTGGAGGGGGGTGGGTGGGAGAAATAAATCCTCTCAGACCCTGACATACTTTGGATATTTGTCCCCTCCAAATCTCATGTTGAAATGTGACTTCCACTGTTAGAAATGGGGCCTACTGGAAGTGTTAGATGATGCGGGTGGATCCCTCATGAATGGCTTAGCACAATTCCCTTGGTGATGAGTCAGTTCTTGCTCACTTAGTTCACACAAGATCTGGTTGTTTAAAAGAGCCTGGGACGTCTCCCTTCTCTGTCTTGCCCTCTCTCTTGCCATGTGACAGGCTGGCTCCTCTTCACCTTCTGCCATGATTGGAAGCTTTCTGAAGCCCTCACCAGATACAGGCACTATACTTTGTGTACAGCCTGCAGAACCATGAGCCAATTAAAACTCTCTTCTTTATAAATTATCCAGCCTCAGGTATTCCTTTACAGTAACACAAAATGGACTAATATAGACCCCTACGATCCCACAGTAATGCCTCCAGTTAGTGGTAATTAATATCCTTTTTGCTTATTTGCCAAGTAATGACCCTCTGCTGCTTCACCTCTCTTGGGAGTAAATTGTTAAGGAAGTTTTCAATGTCAATACACGACTTTTAATATCTTGTCTCTTCAAATACAGTGCACATTCACCAAAGACAAATATACCTTATTTTTCACTTTCAGTGTCCCTCAAATATTCTTCCAGAGTAGTGTGTTCAGAAGGAATTTAATGTTAGCTCCTTGTTTGATTGAATTCTAGCTTCATTTCCCTGAGCATAGTTTAGCTGAAGATTGATGCAAACCTGTTACTATTTCCTGTTCTTTCTGTAATTGATTCATATATCATACAGAGTAATTCACGGATTTAAAATCTCATAATGCTTTAAAGTTAAGCTTTTCAGTAAATTAATATTTTTGTTTTCTTTCCTTCTTCTTACTTTTTGAGGGAAGAGGTAGGCAGGTAGGTCAAAAAGAGCTTTGAGAGAAAAAAAACATTTCATTATTTAGCCCTTTTTGTTAGCTCATTAAGTCCTTTTGAATGAGGTCATGAAATGATAGAAGATGCAAATCTGTTATCCATAATTTGCAGTTGTTGACATGCAAGACCCTGCGTGTATTAATAAATCAGTTTTCCAAATGCCAAGCGGCATTTTTTTGGCTCATAAATAGCAGTGGTGGCCTGTGTGACCCAAATAATTTGTTTCTTCAGTTGGAAAGTCCCTAGATGCAGTCAGGCAAGTTTAGAAAAGAGAAAGGCTGAAATACAGAGAGAAGTCAGAGGGAAATGTTCAGATTGAAACTGGAACCTATTTGGCTCCCACACTGTCTTCCATGATTGTGATCGGGACAAATGAGGGGAGAATAAAAATTAGAAAGACAGAGTTTTCGACAAAGGGGACTTCATGGAGAGTCTGTACACTCTCCATGTACAGACATTTGGGGCTCATGTTTTGTTTAAAAAAAACGTCATCCACAACAACCAGCCTGATCCCTCAAAATGCTCCCAGCAGCTGGCTCCTAGAGATAAACAGTGGTATTTCACAGTCTAATACTAATCATATTTGGGCATTTCAAGTCAGATTGGAACACGCATTTCTTTTTTCATAGTGTTTATTTTTAAGTCCAAAGCAAGAACTTGTTATGTATGTGAAAGATCCCCCTGAATCTAAAATACAACACAGAGGGAGAGAGAAGGGAGAACGCAGCACCAGGTGGGAATGAGAACTTGAAAGAACACTTGTCCCTATTTCCAACAGAACTCCATCATTAACACTGGAATTCTTATACAAATCCAGACAGCCCCAGCTGATACCCACATGAGGGTGGAGGCTACTACCAAGGTACCAGCCCTCTGGGGAGGAATGGAGTTTAAAGACCAACAATGATGGCCAGGCGTGGTGGCTCACGCCTGTATTCCCAGCACTTTGGGAGGCCAAGGCAGGCAGATCACCTGAGGTCAGGAGTTCAAGACCAGTTTGGCCAACATGGTGAAACCCTGTCTCTGCTAAAAATACAAAAATTAGTCGGGCATGGTGGCAGGTGCCTGTAATCCCAGCTACTCAGGAGGCTGAGGCAGGAGAATCATTTGAACCTGGGAGGCAGAGGTTGCAGTGAGCCGAGATCATGCCATTGCACTCCAGCCTGGGGGACAAGAGCGAGACTTTGTCTCAAAAAAAAAAAACAAAAAAACAAAAAACCAGTGATGTCCCAGGATGTTCTAGGGTGTCACCGAGAGGAGGATCCAAGGGAGAGAGGACACATTCTGAGTCATGATGAGCATCTTTATTCCTTCGCCAAACCCCCTAGTCCACCCCGCAAAGCAAACTCCCTCTTCAATAAGCAATCATAATTCGACATATTTTGTGCATCATTTCCTTGGGCCATTATTGGAAAAGAAACTGTAGTCTATACCAGTTAGACTCAGTTACTGATTAACTTCCTTTTCTTGAAACAATTTCTTTCCAATCTTGTCTACTTTATAGATCTCACATGTTTTTCTTCAAGTATATTAAACTGGGTATGAGGCAATGGCTTTAGACTAAAAACAAACTCACATCCTTACATTAGGTCAAAGTGCAGGTTACCAACAGTTGGTCATCTTTAACCTCACTGTCCCTTACTATTCCAGCTTTTCCTTCCAAACCACCTCCCTAATCTTCATTCCCCAATCCCAAGCCCACAGGAAATCAGAGGGTGAAAAAAAAAATCCTCATTTGTTAATCCCATTTACAGCAACACAGACATAACTTGATGCATTTATGCCTTTGTCTATGCTTTTCTCTTTTGCCTAGAATTCTTTCATCTCTACCACTGTGTGTTGAACTGCTAGTTCAACTGTGCCAACTCTCACCTTTCCAGGGAAAATTCTCCTAAAATTAGTATGAAGAAAAGTCTCTCTCTCCATTGTGGTCTCTTATGGTCCTCAATATACCACAATTGTGATCCTCAGCAAATAATCAAATAATTATGAGTCAATTTAGTGTTCACTTCTACTAGACTGTGAGTACAACAGGAAAAAATATTATTTCACGGACATCGCTACATCCATAATCTCTAGAACTATACCTGGCATGCAGTGGATACATAATAGAATACAGGTGGATGAATGGGCGGATTCACAGGCTGCATAGATGGAGCTAGAGGAAGATTAGTGTACCAGTTTTCTCTTCTTGCCGTATAATGGAGTTTGACTCCATTTCTTGCTGTTTGACTATTGACATTATTTAAGCCTCACTCCACCTTATTCCTTTACTGCCCCACACCTTGGCAAGCTGCTAAGAAAGCTTGGGTGCTCTCTCCTTTGGAGCCAATGGAACTATCAAACCACGCATGGGAACCTTCACTCCTTCCCTACCACCTAACTACCACAATATTCCCAAGCCAGTCTCCTTTCTCTGCTTTTTCAAGCCATTTCTGGACCTGCGTGGAAGCCATACTGAAAGACTTATTATGTAAGTAAGAAACCTTTTAATACCCTGTTGGCACATGTGTATAGTGGAGGCATCATCATCAGGCTTGACATCTGAACCAAATTTTCAGTAGGGGCCCACCCTGTCTCTGAGGAGAAGCTGTAACATGCTATAGCAGCAAAAAATAAAAATAAAACACAAATATAGTGACTCAAAACAAGACCAATGTATTATCTTACAGTTCTGTAGGTTCAAAGTCCAACATAGGTTTCACCAGTCTAAAACCAAGGCATCAGCAAGTCTGCATCCCTTTCTGGAAGTTCTAGGAAAAAAAAAACCCATTTCCATGCTTTCTCCAGCTTCTAGAGGCTCCCTGAATTTTTTGGATTTCAGTCCCTTTCTGCATCTTCAAAGCCAGCAAAGTTGCATTTCTCTAACCCTGCTTCCATTATTGCTTCTCTCTCTCTCTCTCTCTCTCTCCCTTTCCCCCTACCCCTCTCTCTCTCTCCCCCCCCTTTCTTTCTCTCTCTCTCTCTCTCTCTCCCTTTCCCCCTACCCCTCTCTCTCTCTCCCCCTCCCTTTCTTTCTCTCTCTCTCTCAACCTGACCACAGTCTGAGAGGGTTTTCCACTTTTAAGGACTCACAATTAGATTAGGCCCACCTGAATAATCCAGGATACCCTTTCTACCTCAAGGTCTGTACCCTTACCTTCATCAATCACATTTGCAAAGTTTGTTTTGCCAGATAACATGAAATATTCACATTTTCTGAGGATTAAGACACAAATATCTGCCCATCGCAGTAAGCTTAAAAAACAAAACAAAACAAAAAAAAGCACTTGTCAGTCCTTTGCTCTAGCTATGAGGTTAGTCTTTACAGAAATGCAATGAAATTGGAATTGGGAAAGTCCCAGTAAACAACAACAAAAACTCATGATCTATAGCATAATGGAGTTGGAAGGGAAGGGAAGGGAAGGGAAGATTGCTGTTTTTTTGAGTAAGGATAATAGCTCACCCTCCACCACTTCTTCCTGCGACAAACAAGTACCATGAGAAAGATGGCAGAAGCGATACTATAAATCCTCACTTAATGTTGTTGATAGGTTCTTGGAAACTACAACGTAAGCAACACGACAAAGAACCAAACAATTTTTTTTTCTCATCAACATGATAACAAAGTAAAGACCTTGAAGGAAACGATGTTATTCAAGGACCTGCTATATGTTGCTTTGCTTCAAATCAGTTTCCAAGAACGTATTGAGGATGCTGAGGGAGGCTACTGTACTTGCAGCAAACCAGGACCACTAGCTTCAGGTGTGCCCTGGTGAATCCAGCCAAAGAGCCTGTGCAGTCTAGTGAAACACCTACCCTGTGGCAAGTGCAGGAATAGGCAGTGTGAAAAGAATAAATAGATATTTCATCTTTTTCCCTGGTTCCTGGCACACAGCTCCTAAAACCCTCGTCTTTTCTATGCTAAAGAAATTCAAAAGTGGCCAGGCGTGGTTGCTCACACCTGTAATCCCAGCACTTTGGGAGGCTGAGGTGGGTGGATCACCTGAGGTCAGGAGTTTGTGACCAGCCTGGCCAACGTGGTGAAACTCTGTCTCTACTAAAAATACAAAAAAAATTAGCCTGGCATGGTGGCACACACCTGTAGTCCCTGCTATTCGGGAGGCTAAGGCAGGAGAATTGCTTGAACCTGGGAGGCAGAGGTTTCAGTGAGCCGAGATCACGCCACTGCACTCCAGCCTGGGTGACAGAGTGAGACTCTGTCTCAAAAAAAAAAAAAAATGCAAAAGCAAGTGTCCTTTGTATGCTAATGAGATATCTAGTAGCTTAGGGCTCCTAGATAGCTTTAGGATGTGGATTGGTGGCCGGAAAGACTCTGATGTGATTACAGGGTTGAAACTTTCAGTCCCATCCTCTGATCGCCACTGGCTGGAGACTGAGTCAATCTTCAATGGTTAATGATTTAATCAATCATGTCTACATAATGAACCTTCCATAAAAACCCCTAAACAAGGGGGATTTGGAGAGTTTTTATGTGGTGACACGCTGAGATGTTGAGAGGGTGGCACACCAAGAAAGGGCATGGAAGCTCCATGTCCCATCCCCATACCTTGCCCTAAGCATCAAGAGATAGAAGACCATGTGTCTGTTGTACCCTAAGTAAAGCTCTTTCCTGAGTTCTGAGAGGCATTCTAGCAAATTATGGAACATGAGAACTGGGTGGTGGGAGCAGGCTGTTTGCAGCCTGTTGGTCAGAAGTACAGGTAGAAACTTGGAACGTGCAATTGGTGTCTGAACTTGGGGTAGTCTTGTGGGACTGAGTCTTGACCTGTGGGGTCTCTGCCAACTCCAGGTAGTTGTGGCATAATTGAATTGCAGGACACATAGCTGGTGTAAGGAAAACCAGAGAATGGGTTTGGAGGTAGAAGAAAAATCCCACACATTTGGCATCAGAAGTATTATGAGTAAAACAGCTAAGAGGCAAGTAGATTGGAAGCCCAAAAACCTAGGTTTAACTCTCTTGTTGAGAGCAGCAAGAGGCAGACAAATGCCTAGGCAGACAGGGTCAGGTCCCCGGTGAAACTCCACCTTCAAGCCAAAAACAGCCTGGACTGCTGGTTCCGGGTGAAACCTGTGACCCAGAGTGAGAACTTCTGTTCCTGTTTGTCTGCCCTTTCCCAATTGGTTCTTTCTGAATAATGCCTTTTAAACAATCAAATGTTATCCTTTTTAATACTACCTATGGTCTCTCCCTCACCCATCCTGCACCTATAAAAATCCCCAGACTCAGCCACACTGAAAGAGACAACCTGGCCTTTCCATCCCCTCTCTGCTGACAGCAGTTTCATTGCTCAATAAAATTCTCCGACCTCAACACCCTTCAGTTGTCAGCATGACCTCATTCTTCTTGGATGCGGGACAAGAGCTCAGGATGCACCAAACACGGGCACCCAGAAAGGCTGTAAGACTGGCCTTCTACCCTCGCTGGTAGAGTGCAGCCACCCCACATGATGGAAGAAGAGGCAGGGCCAAGCCGGTCCTGCAGCCATCTATTGGGCTGCAGACAGTGGAACTAAAAGAGCTAGTTAGCACACTGTAATACTCCCTCTGGGGCTTCAGGATTGCAGGCACACCTGCCTGAGTGCAACTGTGTTCCCCTCAGGGCAACATGCCTGGTCTGGCCTCAGGCCCCACACGGAGCCTGCTCCTGTGTCAGGGCTTGCAACGGCCAGCTGAACCCCACCCTTGCTCACTCACAAACTCCCTCCCACCAGGAGCTGAGTGTGTAGTTGCATGACTACAGGAACTGTGGGCCAGAGCACAAGCCAGATGCAGCCCAGAGAACTGAATAGACTGGGTGCCCCCCGCTGCAAGCCTGGCAAAGGGTCCAAGACAAATCCTGTGTCATAGTTTATCATTCATTAGTTGTGTGCCCTTTGACAAATCATCTAGTTTCTCTTTGCCTGAGTTGCCCCATCTGTAATATGGGTATAATATTTGCCTTACATTTTTTTAATATAATAGAATTTTTAGAGTGTAAAGAGTTACTTCACAAATGTAAGTCATTGCCATTATAATAAATCAGAACACTATGATGGAATACAGAGAACCCCGAACCAGGTACAAGAAACCAATCCTGCCAATTATTAATTGGGTAATCTTGAGCAAACCAACTAATTTCTCTCTGTCCAGCATTCTCCATATCCAAGTGGGGGATTACATTACATTATTTCTTTTAGTCCCTTTTTCGCTAAAATTTTCATTTTCAGCACTGAATCATTATTTTCAGCACATGCGGTAGCCCATCTAAAGTGCTGGTTCTTGATCTTGTGGCCTGAATACATTTTATGACCCCTTTATTTTTAGCTCTGGTGGCCTTTTTGATGGGTTTGACTCAGCAGAAGTACAAGTTAGAAGCAGTTGCTTGATCCCAGGCCTGGTTGCCTGATTGAAAGAACATATTAAGCATGTGCCTAATTCCGTAACCACCATTTTATTGCACTGAATGCTTGTGCTCAGCAAAGCAGCCATTGTCATTCTCAAAGAATATGTCTAGAGAACTTCAGCATACTATGAATGCAAAAGAGGGGAGCTAGACTGGACTCGGTGGCTCACGCCTGTAATCCCAGCACTTTGCGAGTCCAAGGCCGGTGGATCACCTGAAGTCAGGAGTTCGAGACCACCCTGGCCAACATGGCAAAATGCCGTCTCTACTAAAAATACAAAAAATTAGCAGGGCGTATTGGTGGATGCCTGTAATCCCAGCTACACGGGAGGCTGAGGCAGGAGAATCACTTGAACCGGGAGGCAGAGGTTGCAGTGAGCTGAGATCACACCACTGCACTCCAGCCTGGGCGACAAAGTGACACTCTATCTCAAAAGAAAAAGAAAACTAAAAAAGGAGTGGGAGCTAGGATTTGAATTCTGCCCCTACTGATACTACTTAGGAGGTATGTGATCTTGGACCTCGCTAAAATTCTGAGCCTCATCTGAAGAGTATATGGAATAATATTACCTCTCCCACTTTTCTTCATCTCATTTAATTTTTTGGCAGTACTGCATGGAGTTTATAAACTTATACATGCTGTAAAGAAGAAGGAGAGACAGGCGAGGGATGTGGAGAAAGAAGGAGAAGAAAATAGAAGACCAACTTCTACTGTTTCCAGCCATAGCTTTTGATTCATGGTTCCAGCTCATTTGATGGGTACAATTCCATTATTTAGGGTTTCCACTGTGTTATCTACAAATACAATGAACCTAAAATTTGCCTTCAAACATGCCATAAATAAAAACGTCCTATATGACAGGGCCCTGTGGTTCAGCACTAAAATAATCTCCCAGATTGATGCTAATCTTTGTTCTTCATATTTGGAACCCAGGTGTTCAATGGCATGCAATTCTTTCTCATTACATTATCACCAATCTGTAATTTTCTATCTTATCTACATGGAGAGACTTTGCATGCATAACTCAGAAACCTTACTCAAATTCAATGAAGTGATTAAGCAAGATGTTGGTTAATATGCAGTAGGATTCCAGTACTTCCTTGATAGAACTAGCCTAGTAATCCCATTAAAGCAATGGGTCCAGTCGGGAACACACTCATAACTAATACATGGCCATTTTTATTTGTAAGTGCTCAAAAAGCCATCAAATGCCCTGCTCAGCAGGCCTCATCAAAGGCCAAAGGTCTCAAGCTAAAGGACTGGTCCAGCCTCATTAGACAATAATTGCTCTCTAGCTCACAGGGATGGTTACTTTTTGAGGTATCCCCTTTTGAAAATCTGTTCACTTGCTCCTCTCCAGTCTTCCACTTTCCCTGCATTTCCCACAACCCCTCAATGTGCCCTAGTAGTCGTTCCATTACAAACACCTCTAGGAATTTTAGAAAAACAGGAAGAAGTTTCAGATGACCAGGACAGGATCAATCTTAAGCTCTTACTGGACCCACACTCAGGAATTTTTGTGTAGAAAACAAGGATTAAAACTAGTCAACTCTTTTCCCCCAGAGAGGGAAAGACGGCGATGGAAGTTTTAAGAAATTTATCTGATATTTATTTGGTACAAAATGCTTTTCACAGATGTAAACATTAATCAAATTCATATGTTAATTATCCAACTCTCTATTTCCCTTCATTTGAATCTTCTCAAGATGCCTCCTGTCTCAGGCAAGGAGACAGAATTGCCAGCAGTTTGGCATATGAGAAGTCTAGCTCCTAGGACAGCTCTGGGTGCGGCTGGCTTCTTGGTGATGTTAACCAGAGTTGGCTGCTGGGATCTTTGAGGATCAAAAGGAATTTTTAAAAATTGTACATAAGCCCAGAAGAAAGCCTATAAAATCACTTCCTTGTGTCTGTGGGTTCCACCCATTAATAGCCTGCCAAACCCAAATACCTGAAAGGAAGCAGGGTACAGAGAGAAAGAAGGAGAAGCTGACTCTGGAGGAAAAATGAATTAATCCCCAAATTCTGAATTCATTCCTGTGTACACCATTTGTATATGCTTTTAGGGAGATAGTTAAATAATCTTCTTCTATGCTCCCAGCTAATATTTATCATCCATTTTGTAAGAAACTAGCTGCTCAGTGAGGGTCTAGGAGGAGAAAAATGGGAAGAGAAATAGAAAGACTGAGCAAATTTGAAGAAAGTTAATTCATTCTTTTGCATTTACAAAAGGCAGTAAATTCTTTCAGTTTCTCATTTGGTCCCCAATCTTTTTTCCAGCAAAGGTTAAATTGTGGGGCTTTATTTTTGTTTTGTCCCAGTAAATATCATGACTATGAATATTAACAAGGCATAGTTGTTTCCCTTCTCTACTCTGCTGACCTCATTAAACCATCCAAGATAAGCTCCAGTTTGTAGGTGGGCTACATCAAATCAAATTCAGTCACAAAATCCACTTATTTTCCATACAACTTCACTGTGGAAGAATGGGCTGTTTATTGGCAGACTAAGCAACCCACTCCCACAAGTCTCTGCGTCTTTGCATAATCGTTCCCATCACTAGTATGCCCTCTCCTGCCCACCCAGAAAATTCTTGCCAATCTCTCATGACTTCAGAACTCTGGGAGGCCAGTCCTAACTCCACCATCTCTATAGCCCCATGTCCCCACCCTTAAACAAGCCCTCAAGCCCCCTGCCTTCCTGCACCAGCACTTCTCTCTCTATGTTTTCGTCAACTTTGTATGTTCTGGAATAATATTCCTCACACTCCTGGTTTTCTCAGTTATGAAGACTCAAAGGCAAAATCCACATTTTACCCATCTTATTTTTACTAGCACCAGCCAGTGATGGTTGAATGAATGGAGAGCTTCCGTCAGAAAAAGCTCAGCCCCATTCTTCATCTCATTACAAACTCTAAACCTCATTCTTTGCTTTCAATGAGGCCAGACAGCCCAGGCATAATGGACATAATAAAAGGATAGCGCCATAATCTATGCACATAGGTAGCTCTATGAGTGGTTTATACATGAAGCCTCAATGCAGTTATCTTCCACTGCCTGTTTCTGTATCTGTTTCTCCCTCCTTCAACACATAAGTAACATCATATCCAAAATGAAGATAGTTAGAATTGAGGCATATTAAATAAGAGCCTCTAGGCATGCTCAACAAATGTCTGTTGAATGAATTAATTGAATGAGGGAATGAGTGAATAAAAGCAGTGTTATCAAGAGCAAGTATGCAAGATGCTGGGGTAATTTTCTGCAATAGTCTCTATGATATATATGCTGAATGGGGCACAAATGCTTAATATATGTTAGTCATCATCATCATCAACAGTGCCTGGTATTTTCATTTAGAAATGACTCTATTACCATTAAAGTCTAGATGTCCACAATTACCATTATTATTTAACGTTCTGGGAGTTCCAGCCAATGCAATCAGACAAGCAATAATAGCAGCTGTATATGCCAGCTAATTGGTTATGTGCTTTATAGACAATATTTCATTTAATCCTCCTAAGATCTCCATAAAGTAGGTATTATTATTCCTCTTTGAGGAAACTGACCCTCAGAGATTGGATAAATTGCAGAAGGTTCAAGTTAATAGGTGGTGCAGCTGAAATTTAGCCCAGGTCTGTCTGTCTCAAACACCTATTTTTTTTTAGCACTATACTATATTGGTCTATAAGAAAAAGAAGTAAAAATTCTAAATATTGACAAACATTTCTTGCAAATAATATGATTATCTCTTTGCAAAGCCCAAGATATCCAACTTAAAAATGATTATAGCTAATATAAATATACAAAGCTATTAAAGTTAATTATAAAATAAATACCTAACATTTATACCTTGCCTATATATTCTTAATAATATGTTCAGAAATACAATGGAGGGCTGGGCATAGTGGCTCATGCCTGTAATCTTAACACTTTGGGAGACTGAGGCAGGGGGATCTTTTGAGCCCAGGACTTTGAGACTAGCCTAGGCAACATGGTCTGTCTCTACAAAAAATCCAAAAATTAGCTGGGTGTGGTGGTTCCTGTAGTTCCAGCTACTTGGGGGGCTGAGGTGGGAGGACTGCTTGAGCCTGGGAGGTCAAGGCTGCAGTGAGCTGTCATTGTACCAATGTACTCCATCCCAGGGCAACAGAGCAAGATCCTATCTCAAAAAAAAAACAAAGAAATATAATGACATTTTAAAATCTCACTTATAAAAGCAATTTAAAAATGTTTAATATCATATCATGTGCCTCCGTCCAGGAGATTTCCTATTATGGCTCCCAGCCTAATTCCCCATTACTCCCCAGAAGCCAGGGCCAAGTACGTCTTTTTTTTTTTTTTTTTTTTTTTTTCAGGTAACGTCTTGCTCTGTCACCCAGGCAGAAGAACAATCACAGTTCACTGCAGCTTCCACCTCCTGGACTCAAGTGATTCTCCCTCCCATCTCCGCCTCCCGAGTAGCTGAGATCACAGGTGTGCACCACCATGCCCAGCTAATTTTTGATTTTTTTTTTTTTGTAGAGCTGGAGTTTCGCTGTATTTTCCAGGCTAGCCTTGAATCCTGGGCTCAGGCAATCCACCTGCCTCAGCCTCCCAAAGTGCTGAGATTACAGGCTGAGCCACCGAGCCCAGTACCAAGTATGTACTGAAGAAAATTTATCCAAGTTTTTGGCAAAGTGGGAGTGAAATTCATAAGTAATATTCAGGGCCTAGATGATGGAAAAAAACTAAAAAAAATTTACTGAGAGATATAAAAAATGAAAATAAGCAAAAAAGTATACCATATTTCTGAAGGGGAAATTTAATATTGATAGAAACCAATTTTTCACAAATTTAGTTTTACATTTAACAATGTCAGTGGAAACTTTGACAGGGCCATTTTCTAAAATTTTAACCAAATAATTTTAACATTCATACGGAAGGAGATGCATGCTATAAAAGCCAAAACTATTTTGGAAAAGAAGAGTTACAAAAAGGACTTGCCACACCAATATTAATATGTGACACATAGTACAAATAATTAAAGCAATATGTTACTTGTGCCAAATTAGAAAGACAGTAATGAACTAGAATAGGAAATATTATATATATATATATATATATATATATATATATATATATAGTATTCTATAAGGGTGAAATTTAAAATCAGTAGAAATAGAATAAATCATTCAACAAATTGGGAAAAACTGGCTAACCATTTAGAAGGTAAATGTAAATAACCACCGAACTCATACCACACCCTAAATAAATTCCAGATGTATTAAATGTTTTAGGTGTTAAAAAAGTAAACCATAAAACAGTAAATATTTATGTGTAATTTTTAGCAGGATAGAGCTAAAGTATCTTATCAAAAGCAGAAATCTAAAAGGAAAACACTGTGAAATTCAACTAAATATGATTTTATAATATTCGTAAGTTTAAAAATGAAAAGCAAATGATAAACACAAAAAGCTTTTGTATGTTATGTGGTAAAGACTTGACCCCTCCATATATAAAGATCTTGTATGAATCGAGGCCGGATACGGTGGCTCATGCCTGTAATCCCAGCACTTTGGGAGGCCAAGGTGGGCAGATCACTTCAGGTCAGGAGTTCACGACCAGCCTGGCCAACATGGTGAAACCCCATCTCTACTAAAAATACAACATTAGCCAGGGGTGGTGTCGTGTGCTTGTAGTCCCAGCTACTCGAGAGGCTGAGGCAGGAGAATTGCTTGAACCCAGGAGGCAGAGGTTGTGGTAAGCCAAGATCGCACCACTGCACTCCAGCCTGGGTGACAGAGCAAGATCCTGTCTCAAAAAAAAAAAAATCTTGTATGACTCAATTTAGAAAAGGATATACATTTTGGTTAAAAACTCGGCAAAAGCAAGTCACAAAAAAAATACAAGTGGTTATAAATCCTACTAGAAATCCAAGAGTTGCAAAGCAAAACATCTTTGGGATAATGCTGCTTCAAGTGTCAAAATGACAACAAATTTCTCAATTGTTGTCTAGTTTAGGATAAGAAGCACTTCCATACCTTACTTTTGAGAAGTGTCAATCTAAGCAGTCTTTCTGGAAAGCAATTTTGTACTAGGAATGAAAAATGTGTAAAAACCGCAATCTGCTCCAGTAGTAATAGTAAAGAAGTAATCACACATGCAAATAAACATTGAGTCAGGAGAATCACTTGAACCCAGGAGGCAGAGGTTGCTGTGAGCCGAGATCAAGCCATTGCACTCCAGCCTGGAAAACAAGAGTAAAACTCCCTCTCAAAAAAAAGGTTTATGGAGTCATTGTTATAATAGTGACAAACTAGAAATAACTTGAATTTCCAACTTTAGAGAAATGGTTTTTAGAAAGTGATTACAGGCCGGGCGCAGTGGGTCATGCCTGTAATCCCAGCACTTTGGGAGTCCAAGGTGGGTAGTCCACGAGGTCAAGAGATTGAGACCATCCTGGCCAACATGGTGAAACTCTGTCTCTACTAAAAATACAAAAATTAGCTTGGCATGGTGGCGCATGCCTGTAGTCCCAGCTACTCAGGAAGCTGAGGCAGGAGAATCACTTGAACCCGGGAGGCAGAGGTTGCAATGAGCAGAGATCGAGCCACTGCACTTTAGCCCGGCGACAGAGTGAGACTCAGTCTCACCAAAAAAAAGAAAAAAAAGTGATTGATTATAGATGTACACAATGGAATATTATGCAGTCATTAAAAATGATACTACACAGTCATATTTTATAACACGAAAAGATGGTCACAGTGAGTAAAGATTATTAGGACTATAGCTACGGTAATGCTGTCCAGCAGAACTTTCTGTGTTAATGAAAATGTTCTTTATCTGTATTTCCCAAAAGCCATGTACAACTTCTGAGCACCTGAAGTGTGGCTACTACAAATGAGAGACTGAATTTTAATTTTGATTTTAGTTTTTTTTCTATTCTAATTTGAAGAGCTATATGTGGCTAGTGGCTACCATATTGAACTGTGCAGACTGATGGTATGAGACTATTTTACCTCCAAATATATGTACAATAATAATATTGGAAAGACATACAGCAGAATGTAAACAATGGTCATCCCTCGGGAGTGGGGCTATGGTTGTTTCAGTTTTAAATGTGTTTAAATATGGAAGGGTTTTTTTTTTATTAATTAATTAATTTATTTATTTTGAGACAGAGTCTCACTCTGTCACCCAGGCTGGAGTGCAGTGGCGTGATCTTGGCTCACTGCAACCTCCACCTCCCGGGTTGAAGGGATTCTCCTGCCTCAGCCTCCCGAGTAGCTGGGATTACAGGTGCCTGACATCGCACCTGGCTATTTTTTGTAGTTTTAGTGAAGATGGGTTTCACCATCTTGGCCAGGCTGGTCTTAAACTCCTGACCTCATGATCCACCCGCCTTGGCCTCCCAAAGTGCTGGGATTACAGGCATGAGCCACCGCGCCCGGCTGCAAGGGGTTATTTTTTAAATGGGAGTACAATGTGCTTCAAACTGCTTTGAAAACACTGTTCTGTGTGGAGAGTGGTGAAAACTTCGGGCCGGTCACATGGGTCCCTGAGGGTTTGCCTGACCACCCAGGCTGAATCATATTTAATTGGAGCCCCAAATGTCCCCAAAGGATCATTCCAGATGTCACGGACTCATGTCTCGGCACACCAAGGATCACTTCCCCAGTCGCAGCCCTGGGCTTTGGTCAATGTTATTTTCCTAAAAGTTTTCATACCTGATGGGCAGAGTTAAGAGAAACTTGTGTGTCTGATGGGGCAGGAGGCCTGGTTTTAATAGAGGCCATGCCGCCGGTTGTGGGATCAGCACTCCTTCTCACCCACCGTCAAAGCTTTTCATCACTTCATGTGCCCCAATCCGGAGAGATTTGCTTCCCATTATGGCTCCAAGCCTAGTTCTCTATCCCAGGAGCCAGGCATCGGCACACCTTGTGGATGAAAAATTATCCAAGCTGCTAGTGCAGTGGGAGAACTAATCCTTCCACCATGGGTAGCTCAAGGTACTTAAGAAATCCTCTGGTACTGCAGGAATCGCCATGAGAGAAGTTGTCCCAGATGCCCACATCTAGGGGCACCTAAGGCCCATCGCATCATACTGCTTATGTCCTCATTTGTCTGTGCTCCACCCCAAGACCAGCAAGAAATAAATGAGGCAGACTTTTCACAATCTTTGACTCTTACTGTTTTTTTTTTTTGTTTTTTTTAGACAGAGTTTTGCTCTTGTCGCCCAGGCTGGAGTACAGTGGGGCCATCTCGGCTCACTGCAACCTCTGCCTCCCAGGTTCAAGCAATTCTCCTGCCTCAGCCTCCTGAGTAGCTGGGATTACAGGCGCCCGCCAACACGCCCAGCTAAGTTTTGTATTTTCAGTAGAGACTGGGTTTCACCATGCTGGCCAGGCTGGTCTGGAACTTCTGACCTCAGGTGATCCACCCGCCTCAGCTCCCAAAGTGTTGGGATTACAGGCTTGAGCCACCGCACCCGGCCTGACTCTTACTGTTTCTTAAACAAAACGTGCCATTTTGTTATGTCCTATTTTATATGGTTTGCTAATTGTGGAATATTATCCTCCACGGGGTTACCATGGTGCCTCCAAGCCCACAGCCTCTTCCAGATAAGACTGTCCCATGAAGATGCAGCCCGAAAAGCCAGGTGGCTTTTCCCACACCTAGTAATAGGACCCCATTTGTAAGCTGGCCAGCAACCTGAGATGTGGACTGGCACAAAACCATAAATGGACCAGTTCCTATGCAGCAAGAAACACACAGTTAGCAGTGAGAGCTGAACTGAGGTACAGCTGTAGCCATTAGCTGAATTTAGTGAAGAAAAGCTATGAGATAGAGAAAGGATATGAAGAATTAAGGTAAAGAATAAACCATTTAGTAGTGAGACAGGAAGAAGCAGACAGGAGAAGATCAGCTTAATCATGATGAATGGTGGAACCCAGAGCAAAGATTCACCAGCTCCAGCTGTGGAAGTCCACTGAGCCATCTTGGATTCATCCCACTGACATGGTTTGGATCTCCGTCCCCGCCCAACCAAATCTCATGTGGAATTGTAATCCCCAATGTTGGAGGTGGGGCCTGGTGGGAGGTGATTGGATCGTGGAGGTGGCTTCTCATCAATGGTTTAGTACCATCCCCCTTGACGCCATTCTCATGATTAGTGAGTGAGTTCTCATGAGATTTGTAATCCCAGTATTTTGGGAGGCCAAGGCGGGCAGATCACCTGAGGTCAGGAGTTTGAGACCAGCCTGGCTAACGTGGTGAAACGCCGTTTCTACTACAAATACAAAAAATTAGCTGGGCGTGGTGGCAGGTGCCTGTAATCCCAGCTACTCAGGAGGCTGAGGCAGGAGAATCACTTTAATACAGAAGGCGGAGATTGCAGTGAGCCGAGATCGTGCCATTGCACTCCAGCTTGGGCAACAAGAGCAAAACTCTGTCTGAAAAACAAACAAACAAACAAAATTTGTGTGGCACCTCCCCCGAGTCTTCCTCCTGCTCCTACCTATGTGAGATGCCTGGCTTCCCCTTTGATTGGAAGCTTCCTGAGGCCTCCCCAGAAGCAGAAGCTGCTATGCTTTCTGTACAGCCTGCAGAACTGTGAGCCAATTAAGCTTGTTTCCTTTATAAATTACCCAGTGTCAGTTATTTCTTAATAGCAGTGCAAGAACGGATGAAGACACCCATCTGCAGCTTCCTACTCTTCTTGAGGCCTCCGTGTCTGGCTTTTCCTGGGTTCTATGCTAGTGTACATTTTCAATAAGCCCCCATTACTTGAGGTAACTGAAGTTCTCATAAAACAAACACATGCCCAACCATTCCTTTGCATGGTTCTTGTTCCTAGAATGGAAGCATGGTTGAAAAGGGCTGGCTTTAGGCCAGGCATGGTAGCTTACGCCTGTAATCTCAGCACTTTGGGAGGCTGAGGTGGGCAGATCACCTGAAGTCAGGAGTTCAAGACCAGCCTGGCCAACATGGTGAAACCCCATCTCTACTAAAAATACAAAAATTAGTCAGGCATGGCGGTATGCACCTGTAATCACAGCTACCTGGGAGGCTGAAGCAGGAGAATCACTTGAACCTGGGAGGCAGAGGCTGCAGTGAGCCAAGATCGCCCCACTGCACTCCAGTCTGGGCAACAGAACAAGACTCTATCAAAACAAAACAAAACAAAAAAAGCTGATTTGGATAAGAAAGCATCTCGACACCTGTCCTTGCGCCTCTCCTAGGCTCCATTGGTAGAGGTCCCCCAAAGGATCAACCAACCCACTAACACTTCCAAACTCCTTGATTCTTCATGGAAAACCCCGACAATTCTCAGATACGAGAAAACAGGGCGGCAATTTAACATGACAGAAACGTGGTAGATCTTTGGGACATGGTTTTAAGCCAATGTTAGAATAAAATATGGAAGTGATTTAATTAAAATAACAACAAAACATCTCAATACTTATTTTTCAAATGACCAGGCAGTAATTGTAACTTTCTTGGTATATGTACACTTCTATGAGTTTCAGCATGTGTAAAGATTTGTGTGAATAATGCTATAATAGGAATAAAGAATAATTAAATCACCTTAAAAACTGCCTCCTGCCATCCATCTATAGTCAGGTATCCCGTCACGTCACGTTGGCCACCACTGATCCATTTATTGTCCCAAAAGTTGTGTCTTTTTTTTAATGTCATATAAATGCAATTCTGTAATATGTTACTTTTGAGTCTGGCTTCTTGTACTCGGTGTAAGGCCTTTTAAACCTATCCATGTTGTTTTGTGTGTCAACAATTTGTTCCTTTTTTTTTTTTTTTTTTTTTTTTGAGATGGAGTCTCGTTCTGTCACCCAGGCTGGAGTGTAGTGGCGTGATCTCGGCTCACTGAGACCTCCGCCTCCTGGGTTCAAGCAATTCTCTTGCCTCAGCCTCCCAACTAGCTGAGACTACAGGTTCCCGCCACCACGCCCGGCTAATTTTTGTATTTTTAGTACAGATGCGGTTTCACCATGTTGGCCAGGCTGGTCTTGAACTCCTGACCTCAGGTGATCTGCCCTCCTCAGCCTCCCAAAGTGCTGGGATTACAAGCGTGAGCCACCATTCCTGGCCAATTTATTCCTTTCTATTGGTGAGTAGTATTCTGTTATATGGACACACCATACTTTGTTAATCTACTCACTTCACAAGAACATCTCTCCAGGTTACCGTGGCTGCCTGGGTGATAATGTTTTCTGCCATCTCCCCTCCCTCATCAGCTCAAGGAAGGGGAGAACTAAAGCAAGAAACCTAATGGTGTCCGATTCTCAGGGCCAAGCTCCCTCTAACCCTAGAGTGTGCATCTCATTGAAGGCATCACTGTTTCCACAGTGAGAGATAATATTCTGTATATGCAATAGCAATTTATCCTTTTTTCTTCTGGATTTTATTTTTCTTCCTGGGTATGTAAATCCCATAATGCTTCCCCTATTACTAAATTACTCTGCACCTTTTGGATCACATAAAGATCTAAAAAAGGACAATATTGATCCGAATAGTAGCAGCATATGACAGCTTATCCACAGTCACAGTAATATGAACTGACTTTTTGGGGTACCATTTTCATTTTCCTCCTTTCCAAGCTTCTGTCCTATGTTCAGCATCATACATGACAAACCACATCAGCACGGTGGAATCCAAACCACACACCACACCAGGGCAAATTAATAACAGCCTAAAGTAAAATAATAGCAGCGTTGAGCAAATAGTTAAGTTTAAAATAAATTTCGGTCATTCCAATTGAGAGAGTCAGTAAACCATCATGTGAAATCAAACCCAGGAGTCCATGAGGAATCAGAGCAAACGATTTTGAGATCATTTTCTCAGAAACGCAGACAAGCCTTCCAGGTCAATCATCATCCATCTCAGTCTATAATGCAGGTAGCATCTGTTGAATATGAAATTTCCTTCCAGTCACCAAAGAGCACAGTTAACCTTTCACGGCTGATGCCAACAACATCTTGCACTATTTTGTAACAACCTCTGTTTGAGATTTCCATTATTTTCCAGACGGCCCAACCCTTATTAGACGAGCCATATTCAAGGGCTGCAGCAAGCTCTTATCTCATCATGACCAAAGCTGTGAATTTCTCTGTGCAGGATATTTACTCTTCCAAATGAGTTGTTAGAAGGCTTGACTGATAGGGGAACCAAATCAACCTTTAATGAACTGCTATGTAATTACAAAACAAAACAAAAACAGTTATAAACATCAAACACACCCATCTATTGACGAGGAGTGAGCAAAATTACTCTTCCAGACCCAGGCCAGCTCCTCGGCATTTTTTTATTAGGATGAAACATTCTGGAACACCAGAAAATCAGTGTTTGGATTGCAAGAGATTCTGCTACTGGAGGTGTGAGTCTGCATTTTACGTCTCCTTTCCCCAGGAATAATCTTATTTGTTCTTATTACTGTTACGACTTGGCAGCATAGTATAGCAATATTCCATGCAAAAGCAATTATTGAGGAGCAGTGGTTAAGAATTAGCTTCTGGAGCCAAACTACCTCCGTTTAAATTTTGGCTCTACCACTGACCATGTAAACTCGGATGAATTATTTCATCTCTCTGGGCCTCGGTTTCCTCAGCTCTAAAACAGGAATAATACTATGTGCCTCATAGAATTGTTGTGAGGGTCGGCCAGGTGCAGTGGCTCACACCTGTAATCCCAGCAGTTTGGGAGGCCGAGGTGGGCAGATCACGAGGTCAGGAGATCAAGACCATCCTGGCCAACACAGTGAAACACCATCTCTACTAAAAACACAAAAATTATTTGGGCATCACGGCACATGCCTGTAGTCCCAGCTACTCAAGAGGCTGAGGCAGGAGAATCGCTTGAACCCGGGAGGCAGAGGTTGCAGTGAGCCAAGATCACGCCACTGCACTCAAGCCTGGCGACAGAGCTAGGTGCCGTCAAAAAAAAAAAATAATAAGAATTGTTGTGAGGATTAAGTGAGTTATGACATATGAATCACTTAGCTCAGTACTAGGCACATCAAAAGCATTGAGTAAATGTTAGCAGCTTCCCACCCAGCACATTCGTTCCTGGTTTTATTACCTTGCGCTCAGGGACATCCAGATCTCAAGGGATGAAAAAGAACCATCTTCCACTTAAAGAAAGTGTTTCAGGCCAGGCGCAGTGGCTCATGCTTGTAATCCCAGTACTTTGGGAGGCCAAGACGGGGGTGGGCAGATCATCTGAGGTCAGGAGTTTGAGGCCAGCCTGGCCAACATGGTGAAACCCCATCTCTACTAAAAATACAAAAATTAGCTGGGCATGGTGGCACGTGCCTGTAATCCCAGCTACTGGGGAGGCTGAGGCAGGAGAATCGCTTGACCCCGAGAGGTGGAGGTTGTAGTGAGCCAAGATGGCGCCACTGCACTCCAGCCTGGGTGACAGAGCAAAACTCAATCTCAAAAGAATAAAAAAAAAAAAGAAAGAAAGAAAGAAAAAGAAATTGTTCCATCGATTTTTCCCTCTATTCTGTGGACAGGGTGACCCCCTACCCAAGAGTCCAGAACAATAACCACTGATGTAGAGAGAGAATATCACAAGTGGGCTGCAGACTCCTGGATCTGGTGATGGTGATTCCATCTCTTTCAGGTGTGGACACTCAAGGATGGCTTCAAAACCCCACTCTGTCTGGTTTCTGGTCCCAGCCCACTTGCATTTTACATTCTTCATCACGCTGGCCAGATATCAGGGTGCCACCAACTCCATTTAACCTGACCTTTTGCACACTCTATTTTTTAATTAACCTTGGATCAGCAAAGCAATATCTGTTCTCCAAATACAGTCATATTTTATTCAAGCAGTGACAAGCTAATTAAGTTAATTATTATAACACCTATCCATATAATGAAACTAAGGTTGGATGATTCCAGCGCTTCTCCTTAAAGTGCATCCCAGTGATGATTAAAAAATAATTAATATTTCACCAAAGACAGGAACAAGAAGTTAATTAAAAGAGGAAAGTGCAGTCTTAATGAAACATATCCCATTGTGTTCACCACAATGCACTACAGCCAAATCCCTTCTCAGAATATAGATGAACACCAATGAACATCGGGTCTTTCTTGAGAGCATTTAGAAAACATTAACATCTCCCATTTGCCACACACCGCAAACATTCTAGAAATCTCTTTTTGCTTTTAAATGAGAGAAAGAAAATTTATTTATTTGTGCAACGTCAGTTGGCTGAAGTAAATTCCAAAGTTGGACCCGCAATTTTACTTTTTTGGGAGGACTACACGATTAAAACTATCATTTCTCTGACAGGAACGCAGACACTCAAACAGGTCCCAACCACAATGGAAGGCTCCAACTATTCCCTGTTTTATCAAGCTAATTGTCCTGTTTTGCCTTAGTCTGTTTGGGCTGCTGTAACAAAAATACCATACACTGGGTAACTTATAAATGATAAACATTTATTTCTCACAGTGCTGGAGGCTGGGAAGTCCAAGATCAAGACATGGACAGATCTGGTGGTTGGGGACTGCCCACTTCTTATAGATGGCCATCTTCTTGCTTGTCTTCACATGGTGGAAGGGAAGAGTGAGCTCCTTCAATCCTCTTCTACAAGGACATTAATTTTTTTCATGAGGGGCTCCATCCTCATGACCTAATTTACTCCTAAAAGTCCCACCTCCAAACACCATCATCTTGGGCATTAAGGTTTAACATGTGAATTTCAGGAGGACATATACATTCACTCTACAGCATGTCTTCATAAAAGAAAAAGTAAGTAAGATGTCATAGCTAAGAAAATGTAGAATTTTATTTGGATTCAGCCTATTTAAATTACATCTATTGAATTCCAAGCACTGGTTTCCTCATCAAGAGAGACGGAATGGTTTTTCTGGCTGGCTAGGATTCCCGAGGCCATGTCTGCAGTCAACAAGATGGTTTGTTTGCTTGGCACGTAGGATGAGAACAGAAGTGGGATAAATTTCTCATTCCGTGGAGAATGCCAGGGCCACAGCCACACTTTGTGCCAGCCAAATGGCTCTGCTGCTTAGGAAAATGAGACTGAAGTCATTTGCAGAGGAGAGATTAGGAATTAGCAAGGCTCTGTTTTAGCCAAAATTCTAACTAACCACCATCCTTCTCAAAGCTGGAAAATCTGGGTTCTTCTTCCTCCTACTACTCAGCAATTCTGTGTCCTCAGGCAGGATGCTCTGGTTTTTTTTGCGATTCTGTCTTCTGGTTCAGAAAATGAGGTGGTTGGACCTAAACTCTAACTATGGTTTCTTTCAATGCTATCATTCTATGGATATATCACCTCAAAGAGTTTTCTTCTTTTATTTTCTTTTGGGTTACTTTCCCTTTTTGTTTGTTTGTTTGTTTTTGTTTTTGTTTTTTTGAGACAGGGTCTGGCTCTGTCACCCAGGCTGGAGTGCAGTGGTACCATCACAGCTCACTGCAGCCTCAACCTCCTGGGCTCTAGTGATCCTCTCACTTTAGCCTCCTGAGTAGTTGGGACTAGAGGTGTGCACCCCATGCCTGAAAAACATTTTAATTTTGTGTAGAGACAGAGTATTACTATATTGCCCAGGCTGGTCTTGAACTCCTGGACTCAAGCAATCCTCTCACCTCAGCCTCCCCAAGTGCTGAGATTACAGATATGAGCCACCATGCCCAGCATTTTTGGAAGGATAAAATGAGATTGGACAGGTATTATGAAGCCTATTTTACAGATGGAAAAGCTACTACTCATAAATCTTCCTGAAATTTGTTCAAGTTAGTCTTTTCCAAACCTCACATTTCTGACTAAATGCTAGATATTCCGATTCCTCATTAACTGCTCAATAGTTGATATTTAAGGGCCGGGCTTGGTGGCTCAGGCCTATAATCCCAGCACTTTGGGAGGCTGAGGCGGGCGGATCATGAGCTCAGCAGATCGAGACCATCCTGGCTAACATGGTGAAACCCCGTCTCTACTAAAACTACAAAAAATTAGCTGGGTGTGGTGGTGGGCGCCTGTAGTCCCAGCTACTCAGGAGGCTGAGGCAGGAGATTGGCGTGAACCTGGGAGGCAGAGCTTGCAGTGAGCGGAGATCGTGCCACAGCCTGGGCGACAGAGCAAGACTCCATCTCAAAAAAAAAAAAAAAAAATAATTGATGCTTAAAACAATGCATCCAGAAACACAGTTTCAAGTTCCTTTCCTCTAAGGAAGCCTATCCCTAGATGTGGTCACAGGTCTGAAAGAAGCTGACAGGTGGGTAAACTAGCATGATTGTAGTGTTTCAGCTGAGCAAAAGGGGTGGTTCTTGTTCTCGTTTATGGTTTTGTTCTTGCTTTTTTTTCTATCGTGGGATGCTCCCTAACTAACAAGCACTGGAGGGACTCTATGAAGGGCCACATCAAAGGGCCACATTAAAAAGCAACTTAATGTAGTCCATCCAGATGGGGCTTCACTACAGTAACAAATCTTGTGGTGCTTATCATTAACACCCCATTTCGAGCAGGCTCTCCTGGTCTTCCTCTCAGGTAGCAATTACACACACATGTGCCCTGCCATGAAACTGTATCCTAGCTTTGGGTTGCCGGGGCACAAGCAAAACCTGGCGGAAAGGGGTTTCTTTCTCATTTATTTGGAATGGTGGATTTGAGTGCTGGTGTCATGTGAAAGGTGAAGACATTTTGGAAGGGGCTTTGGTGCCTGAAGAGGGATGGGTGAGAAGGAGGGGGAAGGAGTCTGTTCCATGGGGGAAACCCAGAATCCAGGCATCCAAATTGGATTCTACAAATCCAGGCAGAGAAACGCCCTTATCTTGAGGGTTGGGATGAGAAACAGCATCGTGTCCTTATAAGGGGTTCTCGGCTCCTGGTCTCCGAGGGTCTCAGGGCGCTTTTCTGTAGATAATTACTGTTTGAAAAGTACCGTGAAGTCATTTCCAGCCTCAGAGGAACAGGTCTGCATCTCTGGCAAGCACTGAGAAATCACATGTTTGTGTTCTAAGGAAGGAAGTCTGGCAGAAAAGAATCTCAGGTTGGGCCAGGCATGGTGGCTCACGCCTGTAATCCCAGCACTTTGGGAGGCTGAGGTGGGTGGATCCCCTGAGGTCAGGAGTTTGAGACCAGCCTGACCAACATGGTGAAACCCCGTCTCTACTAAAAGTACAAAAATTAGCTGGGTGTGGTGGGGGGTGCCTGTAATCCCAGCTACTCGGGAGGCCGAAGCAAGAGAATCCTTGAACCCGGGAGATTGCAGTGAGCTGAGACCGTGTCACTGTACTCCATTGTGGACAACAAGAGTGAAACTCCAGCTCAAAACAAAAAAAGAATCTCAGGTTAGAAATCAAGACTGGTGGGCACCTCCTCAATACCTCCCTACGCTGCAACTCCCAATGGTCCAGGAAAGAACACTGAACTTTCCAGACATCCCTTTTGATTTATAAAGCATTCTCCCAGCCACAGTCTCATTCCTGCTCAGCACAAATAAAACAGCTATTATCATTATTTCCATTTTACAGTTGAAGAAACCGAGTTCCAGAAAGTGTAAGCAGCTTATATCTAAAATGACATTGATTTCAAGCAGCACAATCATGATTCAAATTCAAGCATCACTGCTGGAGTCCTAACCTGTAGACCCTCCTCTCCCCTGTGCCCCCTCACCCCCTACTGTGACTCCCCAGAAGACTGTACCTTCTGGTGCAGGAATTCAAGACATTTAAGTACCCTGGATACAACAGGACTGAGTAGATTTGGCCCTATCCTGAACAGGAGGTCAAGATAACTCATCTATCAGAAGTGAAATTAAGGGAGCTTGAGAATGCTTTTAGTTTCTCTAAAAAAAGGATACCTTCTGGCCAGTCTCAATGGCTCATGCCTATAATCCCAGCACTTTGGGAAGCCAAGGCAGAAGGATTGCTTGAGGCCAGGAGTTCGAGGTCAGTCTAGGCAACACAGCAAGACCCCACCACAAAAACAACAAAAAAAAATTAGCTGGGCATGGTGGCATACACCTGCAGTCCCAGCTACTTGGGAGGCTGAGGCAGGAGGATTGCTTGAGCCCAGGAGTTCAAGGCTGCAGTGAGCCATGATTGCACCACTGCACTCCAGCCTGGGTGATGAAACGAGACCCTGTCTCTAGAGAAAAGAAAGAAAATGATGGCTTCCTTTCAGAAAGACATCCAAGCCCTCTCTATCCTCGCAAGCTGCTCTGTGTACATTTCTCCCCTTATTTACAGTTGAGACTTTTTCTTCACGTGATGCATGGAAGAGGTCAGATGGTTATAGTCAATTCGGGAAGCATGCACTGAACAGGGCAGCCTGCTGGGTAAGAGCACGGGCTCTGGAGTCAGAACCTCTGGGTTCACATCCCAGCTTCCTCATGCATGGCATTGGATTTTAAGCAAGCTGCTTCACCCACTTGAGTTTCAGTGTCCTGATCTGTAAACGGCAGATAATAATAGTGCTGACCTCAAGGGGTTATTCTGAGAATTCAATAATATAAACCACATGAAGGTTTAGCATGCCATGTGGCGTGAAGAGCTCAATAAATGTCCGCTGTTACTCTTGTTACATTTCCACAGCAGCACCTAGTATAGTGTCTTGCTCCCAAGTGAATAAGGCAGAAGTCCTGCCCTCAGGTAGCTTACAGTCTAGTGACCAAGATAACACATATCACAGAACCATACATCAGAAGCAAGCTGGGTATGGAAGAGTGGTTCTCAAACTTAAGCATGCACCAGAATCCCCAAGGGGCCTGTTAAAATACAGATTTCTGGGCCTCAACCACGAAGTTTTTGTTTCCATACGTCTGGAGTAGGGCCTGATAACTTATATTTTTAACAAGTTCCCAGGTGATACCGCTGGTCCAAGGACCACACTTTGAGAACCATTAATACAGAGACAAGAACAGGCTTCGGAGCACATAGTCCTGAGTTCAAATACTGCTCCTGCCCCGTCATAGCTGCCTGACCTCCAGCAGGCTGATGGAGCTGAGCTCCCATTTCTTCTTGTGCAGGTGTGGTGGGAAGATGAACGAAGAGAATGTGTCTAAGCCAGCAGTCAGCATATGAGAAAGCAGAACCTCACATAATATAACTGCAGAAGTTGTACCAGGAGCTAGAAGGAGACATTGATCCCCGCTGGGCAGACGGCTTCAGGGAGGAAGTTGGATTTGAGTAGAGTTTTAAGCAGCTGAGAATCACAAAGATAGTAACATAAATACCTTGCAGTCTTTCAGTAACAAACCCGGGAGTATTGAATAAGAAGATGATTAGAAGCATATTTAACTGAATTTTGATTGACTTTGGCCCTTCTGGACCTCGAAATATGAGTGATGGCAAATAGCCAAAATGCACCCCATTCTTTCCACCCATTATCCACATAAAAGACTTCCACATACTGTGGCTTCACATGACATCAGGATGGGTTTTAAATTCCATGCAGCAAAGCACCAGGAGCAGTTGTGCTACACCAATGCTTTTCTTTGCTTTTTTCGTAATTAAAAAGTGAGTTACTTCTATTACCCAAGCTGGTTTACCACTGGAGCTGCGATCCATTCATTTCACTCACTCATTGTTACAATTCAACACTTCACTCACTTACCGTTTGAAAATGTTGATGTAAAATGTGGCAGACATTTCCTGAACACACCAAAAATTTGACAACCAGCTCCCGGGAGAGTCATTTCAAATCGCTCAACGTATTTGCCCACAACAGAGTCCAGGGCCCTGCATTCATCCCGCGTCCCAGTGGTTACAAGTTTCTCCTTCATGGACGTTTGCCTGGGTCCCGAAGCCACAGAATGTGGGGCAATTTGACGTCTGGCACCTCCTGCAAAGCGAAGATGCAGGCCAGGAAGAGCAGAGCAGGAGAGGAGGGGGTTGGTTTCAGACCCACCAGTGAAGGAATCTGGGCTTTGGTTGCATAAATTCTGAGCTTCAAGAGGGAGCCAAGTTAGTACAACTAGAGGGGAGGTCCTGATGCTGGATCGAGGGAGCCGTAAGTCTCATGCCCAGAGCTGGGACTGCAGAAGCCGAGAAAGGAGGATGACAGGAGAGGAGCCCGGGGATAAATGGAAGCAATAAGCAATCTGCATTTCTTCCAGCCCAACAGCCCATTTGGCAGGTCACTGCATCTAGAGATGGTTAGCCTGACTCTGTCCTCCTTCAGGAGCCCTGCAGTGTTTCTCAAAGTGCTCCCGAATAACAGGCACTTGGAGCCCCTCTTGTTTCAAAAATCAATATTGTCTCTGTTTCCTTGAGACCACAAACCAGATGTCCACAGACAGCTATTTGCAACCTCCTCTGAGGTTCCCAACTCTTCTCCAGGTTCTGTCTTCCACGGTTTTTCCCTGTCTCCAAACTGTCTTCTCCTCCAGTCCCTACTGAAAGTGAGCACGCAGGTATGTCCCGCCTGTGCGCTTCTCCTCCCCTCTTCTTAGATTTAAACCACAAACTCACTACCTACAACAGGCAGGGCTGAGCGAAAGCATGAGTTGTAGACGCGGCGGCTCTCAACTCACTACATGCGTATGAATCATGCGGGGCTGTCGTGAAAACACAGGCTCTGTATTCAGTGGGTCTGGGCTGGAGCCTGAGCTTCTGCATTCAGACACAGTCCCAGGTGACGCTGCTGCTGCTGATCTGTGGACCACACTTTGAATAGCACAGTTGTAGCTCATAAGAAATTCATAGAAACCAGATCAGAAGTGCCCTGTTATTCTGAGATATCCACTGGGACATGAAGAAAAAAAAATCAAATGTGTGGATTTCATGTTAGTGCTGGTTTAATGCAAATGGATTTTAGCAGTAGCTGTCGTTTTCATGTTGCTTGGGGGTTATGGATGTTACTTTGTGGCATTTCTGGATTATGCTGATAACAGAGGGGAATTATGTGAAAGGACACCCAGTGTGGCGTGGAAACTTCCACGGAGGTGTGAATATGCAGCTGTTCCCATTACTATCTGTGTGCACTACACATGCCACTGAACCATTTGAAAAATAGAAATCATAACTGCCCTGCTTAACCTGACATGGCTGCTTTGAAGGCTGAACCAGACAATATATGAGAAATTTCAACACGCTTTCATATGATAAAGTATTGATAACTTCTCATTGGGCTCAGTGGAGTGCAGTATTAGCAAATATGGGATGCAAAATCATCTTCTTATAGAGAAAGAACTGCAAACATTTTCACTGGTCACATATAGCACTGCTTTGTCCCACATTGCATTTTAATATACTATCCCATTTTATTTTCCTTCTGGTCTTAGAGCCGAAAGAACAAGTCCTTGCATCATAATAACAGCCTCCATGTAAAATATAAAGTCATCAAAGATCCCGGCTCATTTTTTTTTTTTCCTGAGATGGAGTCTCACTCTGTCGCCCAGGCTGGAGTGCAGTGGTGTGATCTCGGCTTGCTGCAATCTCCAACTCCCGAGTACAAGCGATTCTCCTGCCTCAGGCTGCCAAGTAGCTGGGATTACAGGCGTCCACCACCATGCCCAGCTAATTTTTGTATTTTTAGTTGAGACGGGGTTTCACCATCTTGGCCAGGCTGGTCTTGAACTCCTGACCTCATGATCCATCCATCTTGGCCTCCCAAAGTGCTGGGATTACAGGCATGAGCCACTGTGCCCAGCGGCTCATTTTATTAATATGGAAACAATGAGATTTATATAAATCTGCTTATTCGAGCTTGGCCATCTTTCCAGCTGAAACATCTCCAGACACTGGCCCTTCTGGAAAAAAAAAAAAAAGATTCACTTTAGCCTCATGTGAATTCTTTTCCATGAGAGCCCTTAAGGAAATAACCACCCAAAGTGTCCCAGCCCACACATCCAAGTGTTCCTCTTTGTTTGGGGGTGGATGGTACACTCTTGAAAACTTCCAGGAGAACTACAAAGGAGAACATGAAGGGGTTAATGTTTAGAATGGACCATCTGAAAAGGAAGTCCGCCTTAATAAGACTGAAGTCCAGTCCGAAATTATGTCTCTATGAATGTAATAATCTCTGGATAAGCGTTTGCCAAAGGGACCAAGCTTCTGTGTCCAATTTGTATCACATTTAGACAAGTGATGTTAAAATCCTGGGCCTGTATATTATACAATTACAGAAATGTGATTTTCATTATGCTGTTACAGCGCTAGTTGTTATTACGCAGGCCATACTTGCAGCAGATGTTTCTCCCAGCAGCACGGTTGCTGCCGCTGCCTCCTTCAGTGGCCAAAATGTCATCCTCTCTTCTCCTTTTTTCTCAGTGCCACATTTGTCCTGCTCACATAGAGTTGTATCAGGGCTAACAGGAAGTGCTCCTCAGCCTCCTGGATTGTTTTTGATTGGGTTTGACTTTTGGGAGAAACTGAACTCCTGCAAAGCGCAGCCTGGAAACAGAATTCTCCCTCCCTGTTGTCATTAACCCTTTTCTCGGCAGGCAGCAATTCACATAAATGCAAACCAGATGGGTCAGTCAGAGAGCCTTTGCAAGAGGAAAGTACATTTTTATATGCTCCACATGGAAAATGAATAGGAGGTGTGTTTCATGCATTCGTCTTCTGTTCTGGGAAATCTGCATTGATCGTTATGTGATAGTGGAATTGGCTGGAGGTTCGTACCTGGTGGGGGAAGAGGCCTTCACCCATCTTGGATAAAGCTGACCCAATGGATGATCCTAACAGCCTTTGGAACCAAGATGTTGCAGGTCAGACCAGGTCGGCCACAAATCAAAACTGTGTTCGATGATATCAGTCTAATCACTCAGCAACTATTTTTTGTGTGTGTATTCAGTGCAGAAGGGTCAACAGGCTTCAGAGAAGGTTCAGCGCCAGAATTTCAGAACAAGGTCAGAAAATATTACCTTCTCAGACTGAAGCTAATAAGAAGGAACATGAAATTGGAGCAATTAGCCATCTGTAGAGGAAAACTGCCTCTTGGCAATGTGTTACAGATGAGATTGTGATGTTCCCTCAGTCTCCACCCAGAAGCCACGTTGTCTCCATAACCATTCAAGAAGAGTGAAATTGGCCGGGCACGGTGGCTCACGCCAGTAATCCCAACACTTTGGGAGGTCAAGCCGGGTGGATCACCTGAGGTCAGGAGTTCGAGACCAGCCTGAACATGGCAAAATCCTGTCTCTACTAAAAATACAAAAAATTAGCCAGGCGTGGTGGCGGGCACCTGTAATCCCAGCAACTTAGGAGGCCGAAGCAGGAGAATCACTTGAACCCGGGAGGCAGAGGTTGCGGTGAGCTGAGATCGCCCCATTGCACTCCAGCCTGGGCAACAAGAACAAAACTCCATCTCAAAAAAAAAGAAAAAAGAAAAAAGAAAAAGAAGAAGAAGAATAGTGAAATGTAAGAAATATAAGGCATCTATTATTATGAAGTTCTCAGAAACGAGGGGTGGAGCTGCCCCTGGCAGACATGTCCTGAGAGAAACATCTAGAAAGGGTAATTCTAGTGACCCCACCTTGAAGGAAATAATTCCTAGAGCAACCGATGCCCTTTGATAAATTCTGTACTTGTAAGCAAACTTCCCCTGCTGACCAATACCAGTTACCCCACCCAAAATGGTTCTCATGGTGAACTAACACATTAACTTCCCAGTAGGTGAGGCTTGCCAGAATTTGAGGAACAAATTCACACTAATTAAGTATGAATGTCCCCGGGTGATAGGGTTGGGAAGTTTGTCTCCTCCAAATCTCATGTTGAAATATGACTGTCAATGACGGAGGTGGAGCCTGGTGGGAGGTGATTGGGTCATGGGGATAGATACCTCATGAATGGCTTGGCACCATCCCTTTGGTGATAAGTGAGTTCTCACTCAGTTAGTTCACACAAGATCTGGTTATTTAAAAGTGTGTGGTGCCTCCCCTCCTTCTCTCTCTTTTTTTTCCCCTTTTCTCCCTCTCCCTCCTCTTTCTCTTGCTCCATCTCTCACCATGTGACATGTTGGCTCCCTTTTGCCTTCCATCATGATGGGAAGCTTCCTGAGACCTCACTGGAAGCAGATACTAGCACCATGCTTTGTGTACAGCCTGCAGAACCATGAGCCAATTAAACCTCTTTTCTTTATAAACTACGCAGTCTCAGGTGTTTCTTTATAGCAGTGTGAGAATGCACTAATACACCGGATAAATTCATAAAAGTGAATCCTGAACCAGTATGAATTGCACTAATACACTGGGTAAATTCATAAAAGTGAATCCCGAACCAGTATGAATCATACCAAAAGTCAGACAACTTCATTCATTCATTCACACATGTATTTGATGAAATTGTAATACCTGACATCTCTGTCTTGGATGTTGTGTTAGGCGCGGAGATGCTAAGGCAAATTGCAATGTTCCTGTGCTTAAGAAGCTTCCAGTATGTTACAGAGCGTTTTTTATAGTGTGGCCAATAGAGAGTTATAAAATTAGTCACAAATAGCGTTGTAAAAAATGCAAATATAATAGAACAAAAAAATAGAATAGGATAGAAACTATTAGTGTTTTCTCACTTTTACATCACCAACAACAACTAATTCTTAAATTCTCCAACCCAACTTGATGTCCAACCATTCAATTTGATTCCGACACTAACTACCTGGAGTCAGCACTGACCCCACAGTTTAAAGGCTCAGCCCCACAAGACTACCCCCTACTTCAGATGCCAACAACAAATGGGGTCTCCAGGCTACTTGCACTGATAAGACCCTGAAAAACAGGATGTGGACCAAGCAGGCTGGACCTAACATGGCACTGACTTTGACCTAGGTTTCTCCTAGGACCTCATTATATGTTCATTAACATACTCAACACACATCCACTAGCATCATGACTGTTCCTAGAACACCCATATTTGGTGTAAAACTGGGTGGCACCACGGTTCCAAGAAATCTTTTTCCAGGAACTTTCATGAATATTCCAGCTCGTGTTAAAGAAATCCATAAAGGTAACAACGCCAAAGTCCCTTCCATGTGACTTTTTTGGGTATGCCCATAAGCTCATTTCTTGAGTGTGTCCTTTTTGCTTTGCAATAAATCTCCATACTTTCACTATTTTCCAACTCATCCTTGAATTCCTTCTCATAATAGTGTCAAGAATCTAGACAGCGGCTGGAGTTGAGGTCCCACTGGCATTTGGTGACCTCCCTCAGCCCACCAGGATCATGATTATTTGCTAGAATGAGTCACAGAACTCAGGAAAATGCTACACTTACTATTCCAGTTTATTATCAGGGAGACCAATGAAGAGCCAGATGAAGGATAGAAGGTCAGGTCAGGAAGGACCCAGGGCTCAGAAGCCTCTGTCCCTGTAGAGCTGGGGTACATCACCCTCCCAGTACATAGATGGGTTCACCAACCAGAGAACTCCCCTAAACCTTGTAGTTCTGTGTTTCATAGAGCGGTTTCATTATGTGGGCATAACTGATTAAATCACTGGTCATTAGTGATTGATCTCAATCTCTAGCCCTTCTCTGCTCTCTTGGAGGTTGGGGATTGCAGCTGAAAAGTCCAACTCTTTAATTGTACAACTAGCCCCTATTCTAAAGCTATCTTATACTTCACCCTACGAGTCATCTTGTTAGCATACAAAAGACACTCCTATAGCTCAGGAAATTCCAAGGGTTTTAGGAGTTCTGTGTCAAGAATCAGTAACAAAGAGAAAACATATTTTATGATAATACCTCAGTTGGACAAGGTAGGAATTAGTGTTATTTTGTGGAAGTTTTGTTCTCAACTGTTCATATATGTGTTTGTGTGTCTTCCTTCCGGATCTTGATATAAAAGATGTTTCTTACTGTGGACTGTGGTAAAAACATTTAAAAATCTGGCAGCTAGACATGCCTGCCTCCAAGACTGCCCTGTAAAGTCTGACATGTTCACTGTTTAAAATTTAAAAAAAAAAAAACTTTAGACAAATTAAATTGACAGAGTTTAATTGAGCAAAGCATGATTCGCAAATTGGGCAGCCCTTTCCTCCCCCAACCAGAATAGGTTCACAGAGACTCAGCGCTGCTGTGTGATCGGAGAGGATTTATGGACAGAAAAAGGAAAGCGATGTACAGAAAATGGAAATGAGGTACAGAAGCAGCTAAATTAGTTACAGCTTAGCCTCTGCCTTGTTTGAACAGGGTTTGAACAGTTGGCTGCCTGTGATTGGCCAAAATTCGGTGATTGGTACAAGAATAGGAGACAACCTGTTTACACATCTGCTTAGGTTCCAGTTCACTATGTAGGGAGCAACTTGGAGACTGAATGTAAAATATATGCAAGGAGACAGCTTTAGGGTAAGCTTAATTTAACGTCACTATGCTGGTGCTTCAGGAGGGCTGGTGGATGACATTTCTCCGATCCTTCAACTCCTCTTTCTGGATCTTCATTCCCCAACTCCTCCTACGATGTATAGGATCTAATTCCTATAATAAATCTTATGTTCCATGTGTTTTCTTAAAAGAAGTTTGTAAAACACCTTTCTGGAGGAGACATTATACAGTATTTGTAATGATTTGTGTCTGTGTGCAAAGACTTGACAAAAACATGTAAAACATAAAAAGAAAGGCCAGACAACAAGTGCCTTTAACGAGCAGGAAAAGCTTCTTATAAGAGGTAACATTGAACTGAGCCTTGAGTGATGAGCAGAGACACCCATGAGACAACAGCTCTCAGAACAACAAATCTGCTTTTCTCTCTCCCACTAAGCGTGATCACTTCACTTCCATCCAAGTCTATTCTGCATTTATCACTTGAAAATTCAGCAAAATATTCATCCAACTAATAAGAAATCAGCCAATTCAGTTGCATGCTTGCATCTGTGTGTTGTTTCCGGTGAAATTGTCCCAAGAAGATGCCCCAAACCCCAGGCACCCAGAGCCTACCTAAGACAGAGGTTAGACCAGGACAACAGAAAACCTATTCCCCAAATTAGAGACTTTAAAAGGTGAAGTTTACTTATTTCTTGTAGGGCAATAAGTGGACTGACCATAAAGAGAGGAGTCCAGATGTCTTATTGGGTTCCCTGGAAACAGATTCTGGAATGAGTTGCATATAGAAAGTTCACTGTGGAAAAGACAGCAGTAAGGAAAGAGGAAAGGCAAGAATAGGCAGAGGGGAAAATTGACCCACAATGTAGCTGCAGCTGACGCCTCAGCCAGTACAACAGGGAGCTCTGCAGTTGGAGTAACTCTTCAGAGATGCCCGCAGTTGAGGTAAGAGGGCTGAGCTTTTGTAATCTCAGGGTAAAGCAGTTCCCTGTAGCCATGGACAATTCTCAACGATGACCATGACTGTGAGCCCTCACAGCTATGAACGATATTCCTAGGAGCTAGGAAACGGGTGTGTGGGCCTTGAAAAGGGCATCTGGTACAGCCCACCATGATCTAACACAATCCTATATTCTGGTTAACTGGCTTTCCAGTTACTGGCCTGGAATGAGTATGAGCTATAAAGACAAATTTTGTCAAGGTTTGATTAAGCCTGTGTGACTGCGTGACTCCTTTGTTGTAAGTACAGAATTTAAAACAGCATTAAGAGGAGAAACAGTCTGATAGGCAGGGGTAGACCCAGTCCTTTGACAAGAGATATTTCCAAGGCCAATACAGAAAGAGGACAGCAGACTTCTAAAATTATCAGATTCAAAAGAGTGTATGAAGAACCATCTGTCATTTTTGGATGGCCAGAGATGATTTTTTCTGGTGATAATATCATCCCTATTTTGCTTTAGGAGGCCATTTCTTTCTCGCCATCAGTCTATAAGGTTAGGATGGGCTGGCCCTTTCCCTTCATTCTATAGGTGGGCAAGGAAACCATCTTGGCAAATAAGAAGTCCCCCTACTTCTGGGATTGTTCAGAGTTGGGCATACAATCCAAACTAGCCAATGAAAGTTAATGAACCTCATCCCCAAGACTTTCATTGGAACATTTGTGAACAAGACCTTCCCTTTCTGCCAGGGATACTAAGATAATGGACCATCTGCCTGGAGCTTCCAATATCCATCTGCTTCCTCCTGGGTAGAGCCCATCTGAGAATTAGACCGACAAAGAGGAGCGTGGGACTCAGAGGTAGAGTGGGACAAATTCCTGGTGATATCTTTTGAACATTGGTGTTGCTATAAAGGAATATCTGAGGCTGAGTAATTTTAAAATAAAGAGGTTTATTTGGCTCATGGTTCTGCAGACTGTATAAGAAGAATGTTTCCAGTATCTGCTTCTGGTGAGGGCCTCAGACTGCTTCCATTTATGCTGAAAGGTGAAAGGGATCCAGTGTGTGCAGAAATCACATGGTGAGAGAGGAACCAAGAGAAGGGTGAGGTGCCAGTCTCTTGTTATCAACCAGCTCTTGAAAGAACCAGTTGAGCAAGAACTCACTCACTACCACCAGGATGGCACCAAGCCATTCATGAGGGACATGCCCCCATGACCCAAACACCTCTTACCAGGCCCCATCTCCAACACTGGAGATCAAATTTCAATATGAGGTTAGGAGGGTCAACTTCCAAACTATAGCAAGTGCCTAGATATAGTCATCACTGAAGATTCCCTACCATGTCTGCCTCTGGCCTTTACACTTCATTGAGCTAGTAACTGTTCTTTTTTGCTGAAGCCCGTAAGTTGTTCTTTTCATTCTGAAAAGAGTTCAAACCAATGCCACATGACACCTGAAAGGGAGCAGATGGTCTTACGAGCTCCTCTCCCAACCTCTCCAGTCTAATCCATCCAAGCTTTTCACCCTTCATATGCACAATCGTCCTACTCCTCAGGGTGAACTGGGGGTGAGGGAAGAGTCTGCAGTTTCATCAACAAGCCAATAGTGACCTGGGAAGCATTTATGGAAAAGTGAAGATTTGAATGTGGATTTTAAAAACAGTCAGAGTAGGCTAGGCACAGTGGCTCACGCTTATAATCCTAGTACTTTGGGAGGCCAAGGCGGGTGGATCACCTGAGGTCAGGAGTTCGAGATCAGCCTGACCAACATGGTGAAACCCTGTTTCTACTAAAAATACAAAAATTAGTTTGGTGTGGTGGCACACGCCTGTAATCCCAGCTACTCGGGAGGCTGAAGCAGGAGTATCGCTTGAACTTGGGAGGCAGAGGTCGCAGTGAGCCGAGATCATGCCACTGCACTCCAGCCTGGGCAACAGAGCAAAACTCCATCTCAAACCAAACCAAACGAAACAAAAATAATAAAAATAGTCAAGGTAGAGACAAAGAGGAAATTGAGGGGAAATACAATGCGTGAGAACTCTAGGGAAGGAAAAACTTTTCTTCTACCCTCTTAGGTTCTGTGGTTGGGCCTGAGAATTCAGTTGATAAAACACAGACTATCAGGAGGAAAGCATACACATTTTATTTGATATTAATATTTTGTGTTGTTTGTTTGTTGTTTTCTGAGACAGACTCTTGCCCTGTTGCTCAGGCTGGAGTGCAGTGGAGTGATCTTGGCTCACTGCAACTTCCACCTCCTGGGTTCAAGCGATTCTTCTCCCTCAACCTCTCAAGTAGCTGGAACTACAGATATGCACCACCACGCCTGGCTAATTTTTTTTTTTTTTTGTATTTTTAGTAGAGATAGGTTTTGCCATGTTGGCCAGGCTGGTCTTAAAATCCTGACCTCAGGTGATCTGCCCACCTTGGCCTTCCAAAGTGCTGGAATTACAGGTGTGAGTCACTACACCTAGCCTGATATTAATATTTTTGTGTGTACATGGAGACCTTCATATACAAAAAAAATGAGTATCCAAAGAAATTGTTAGGCATGAAAGCTTATATACCATTTTAACAATAAATTGTGGAGAACAGTCAAGACAAAGGAAAAAGGGTTTGGGCTAGGGGCAGTAAACTGGAAAAGTGACTAGGAAATATCTGGGGGCAACGAATAGAAAGCAAGGTTTATTTTAGTATATTTCTTTGTACAGATTCATCTTGCCATCTGCTCTTCATCTCCAGTGATGAGAATGTTCTCCTCTTCTTAGTACATTAAGGGCATTCCTCATGGGAAATTTATGCCCTGTTTTTAGGTAAGAAGGTCAGCACCTGCTGTTTCTCAACTGCCTTTGACTCAGGATGATCAATAGGCCTAAGTGGCACATTTGGGTCTGTTCTGATTTTTTCACAAGCAATGAGGAAACTGTCTGGTCCCAAGTGTATGGCTAAGGAAACATGGAGAGAGGCAGTCTGATATGTGCAGTGACTCACAGGAAGGAGGCCAGTATTAGCCTCCTTCAGCTGAATCCCTGCTCCAACATATTTGCTACATGACCTGGGAAATTTCCTTAGGCTTCTGGTGTTTCAGTTTTCTCAGTGATAAAACAGGAATAAAAATGGCATTTACTTAATATAATTGCTGTGAGGATTAAGTGAGTTAAGGGTATATAAAGTGCTTAGAAAAGTGTCTAGCACATATGAGATGAAGAATTAATATTAGGTAGTCCTATTTTTATTTGAACGGGGAGAAAACCTCCTTGTATTGTGAAGTTGAAGCAGAGAAGCAGATGTGGCTGAGAAGATAAACATGACCCCCTGATGGGGAATCTGATCTGGAAAAGTTGGCTGTCATCTTGGATGTTTTTCCTGGGCTGTGTAATTGTGGTGGGTTCAACAATCCCTTCCCTTCCTTCCACAGGTATCCACATCCTAATCCCCAGAACCTACGAGTACAGGGCAAAAGGAATTCCACAGATGTGGTTGAGTTAAGGGTCTTGCTATGAGGAGATAATCCTGGATTATCCAAGTGGGCCCACTCTAATCATAGGAGTCCTTAGAAGAGGGAGGCAGGAGAATTCAGAGTCAGGGAGGGAAAGGTGATTGAAGCAAATTGAAGGGATGCAGGGCCATGAGCCAGGGAATGCTGGCAGCATCTACAAGGTGGAAAAGTCAAGGAAACAGATTCTCTCTTAAAGTTTTTGGAAGGAAGGCAGCCCTGCCAACCCACTTTAGTCTTTTGACATCCAGAACTGTAAGTGAATACATTTGTGTTGAGCTACTAACTGTGTGGCACTTTTCCCCAGCAGCAATGGGGCACTAATACAGTGAGCACAGAGAAAAGTTAGGTTTAAGTCAGAAGTGGCAGAGGTCACCTGGGACCAGGAGGGGATGAGAGGGGACTGCCTGGGAAGGGACACAGAGAACCATCCCAAGAGGAGGAAACCTTCTATCTCCTGACTGTGGTAGTGCTTACTCAGGCATATGCCTCTGATGGAACTCATCCACTGCACTTAAAGTGGATGCATTCATATACGGGAATGATACCTCAATAAACTTGAAAGCAAGGGTTTTAAAAAAAAGCTATTTTCAACTTCTAAATTCTCTAATCCTCCCTATTAAAGAGAAAGGCAAGAATGCTAGATTTCCATTTTTATTAAGGAATCAGATCCAATGCCCTCATTTTATGGATCTGCAAATGTTACCAGAATGCCAGGGTTTCTGTCTAGGTCCCATTGCTCACTGCACAAAAAACCAATTACTGAGACAACAAGTATTGCCAGCTGGAGAAGACTTTAATCGCAAGCAGCAGGCAAGGAGAATGGGAGATCAGCCTCAAATCTGTCTCTCCAACAAACTAAAATTGGAGGGAAACTAAAATGGCAGGGAAGATGGGAAAACAGGAACTAGGGAGGAATAAGGAAGCAATCAGAATGGATAAGTGGCCTGGCATCTCATTATCTGGATGCAGTAATCTGATGAGTTTTAGTCCCTTGCTTGATGGTTGGTTTCTTGAGGAAGGAACTAAAATGAGACAAAGGGAAATTTCATATTTCAACAACAGGAGGGTCAATTTCTCTGTTTATTTAAAAAAAAACCCATAAATATTAGTTGTATGAGGAAATTGGGCCAGTTTCCAAAACACAGTCTCAGATAGATGAAGAGACTTGTCCCAAATCATACCTAGGTTCTGCCCTAACAGAGACAAGAGCTAAAGGATTTGACTCCCATCCAGGGCTCTTTCCCCACATGACTCTGCCTCTCTCTTTCATCTAATGCTGGGACTCCCAGAAAAGTACAGGGAGGTGAACCTGTAATGTCCTGCAGTGGCATCCTCCCCGCTATTCTGTGAAACCAGAATCTTCCTGGTCCACATGTTCTCTCCCAAAGTGGTGAGACAACCCCCGTTCTATTTCCAAAAAGAACAGGGATCAAAACAGCCCTTCCCTGTCTCCCTGATGTGATTGGGCTGTGTGCCCGCCCAAATCTCATCCTGAATTGTACTTCCAAAATTCCCAAGTGTTGTGGAAGCAACCCAGTGGGAGATAGTTTGAAGCATGGGGACGGATTCCCCCATGCTGTTATTGTGGTAGTGAATAAGTCTCACAAGATCTGATGATTTTATCAGGGGTTTCTGCCTTTGCATCTCCTCATTTTCTCTTGCCACCACCATGTAAGATGTGCCTTTTGCCTCCCGCCATGATTCTGAGGCCTCCCCAGCCATGTGGAACTGTAATTCCAATTAAACTTCTTTTTCTTTCCAGTCTCAGGTATGTCTTTATCAGCGCATGAAAACGGACTAATACACTCCCTACTGCCAAGCACTCTCAACATACAGCACCCAGCGGAGGGCAGAACAGTTACAAAGATCAAAGAGATTTCCCCTCGTAAAATTCCATTTTTCCCAAGTTAGGGAGGCGCCTTGCTTATCCCACCCCTGAGTACTTTACCCTTTACCCACTGACTCAGCTCCTGGCTGCAAAGGGATCCCACCAGCCACATTACTAGGTACATCTGGCCACCACCAAAGTCCTGGAAAGTCCTAACCTCTGGGAGGACTATTATTTCTGCCATCTGGAAAATTCCACCCACCCTCTCCTACTTTGCAGAGCCCACTTCACAGGAACCCAAAGCCCTTTCCTGTGTGCTATTCCACTTCCTCAAACAACAATCTCAAGAGGCAAACATCCACCTTTTAATTTTGCAGACAGACAGGGAAAGCTCGAAACAGAGAAGATGGAGATGGGAAGTCAGGTGATGGAGGACTTCCACAGGCCCAGACTCTGCAGGCCAAATACCCTACTCAGGTTCCCACAAAGCTCTGGCCACCCCGAGTGCTGTGCTAGAAGCTTGGAACCTTCCCAGCTTCCATGGAGAGAGGGATGGGAAGCCTGGATCCCCATTATTCTTGGGGCCTCACACTATGCAAATGAGACCTCCCAGAGCACACTGACATTTGTTGGCACATTTAGTGCCCTTGGCAAGGAAGGCATCTAGCATGCAATGAGGGCTGAATTGCTCTTGGATGATGATTTTCTCTATGTCAAGGTGATTTTCTCTATGTCAAGGTGATTTTCTCAGCAGAAGGCTATGAGCTTTCTCCAGGAAAGCAGACATGGCAGGTGGACAAAGATTACCTGGAAATAGAATTTAAAGGTTCTGATGTGTCTTTTTAACAGATTTCAGAAATTCCTAGAGTTGGAAGGGGTCTTAGTCATTCCTTAGACAAACTTCAGGTGCATCATACAAGGGTACTAAGGGGACATGGGCTATGTCCCTCAGAACCAATTCACGCAACCACCACCAAGATACTCCTCTGAGCAAATTCTAATGCAGTGACACCAGTGTGGAGGGAGACAGCCATTAAGCATCTCTGCTACTTGCAGGCTGATTCCAATCGACTGAATGAAATACGATTAACACCTTGAACTTTCTGGAGTCCAGATCCAAAGACCTTGAGTGCTCCTTGCAACTTTAAGAATATATGATATATTCTTAATGTATATATGATTATATTGCCCTTAGATACTGCCTATCCTTGTTACGGCGCCATCACACTCCTCAGCCTCCCATTCTCCAGAAGCCAGCTCACTGTCTTTTGGCTTCTAAGCAGCAAATCATTAAGTCAAAGGTCCAAAAGGAAGAGTTGTTGCCCAGAATCTTTAAAATATTTTTGACAAAGCAAAGGATGGGATTAGGAGTTAGGCAGCATCCAGAAATAAAACACAGTGCATTTTTTGTTTGTTTGTTTTTGCTTTGTGCTTGAAAGCAAGATTCCCAACTATGAGTTCCAGCATCAGGGCAGAATGCGTGAGACCTGTTCTCTAAGTGCTGTTACTCGCCACCAGGAGTCCGCACTGTGTGGTCTAATCACCTGGGAACTTGCTAGAAAGGCAATTTGTGGGGTCCCACTCCACTCCTACTGAATCGGAAACGTTGGGGGTGGGACCCAGCAATCTGCACTTTTTTTTTTAGATGGACTCTGTCGCCCAGACTGGAGTGCAGTGGCATGATCTCAGCTCACTGCAACCTCTGCCTCCTGGGTTCAAGTGATTCTCCTGTCTCAGCCTCCCGAGTAGCTGGGATTACAGGTACCCGCTACCATGCCCAGCTAATTTTTGTATTTTTAGTAGAGACAAAGTTTCACCATGTTGGCCAGGCTGGTCTGGAACTCCTGATGTCATGATCCACCCACCTTGACCTCCCAAAGTGCTGGGATTACAGGCATGAGCCACCGAGCCCAGCCACAATCTGCATTTTAACAAGCATTGGGGTACTCATTCAGTTTGAGAAACCCATTTTTCAGCCTTGCCTTTCCCCTTCCTGAGTTATAGGCCCTTTGAGAATCTGACTCAGGCTAGCAGCTCTCTCCAAGAAAAATGCACAAGCAAACACTTTTGCACACAATTTCTAGGGGGCTCAAAGACCACCATGAATTCAGCCCATTCAGAAAAAAGCCCTAAGGCTCTGGAGACCCTGGCTGAGAAGGCCCACTCTCACGATGGAATCATATATCCTTAATGTTGCAAGGAGCACTCAGAGTCTCCGGATCTGGACTCCAGACAGGTCAAGCTGGTAATCATATTTCATTCAATCGGTTGGAATCAGCCTGCAAGTTCACACCAGCAAAGCAGGTGCTCAAGCCCGTCACTGTCATCACCCCCCACGTCCCAAACAGCCTTCTCAACATCATCCCCATCCGCCCCAACTTCGATTTCACTGATTTCCGGAAAAGAAAGGCGAAAACCGCCATCAGGGTGGCACCCTAAACGTTTCATAACAATTTTTTTTTTTTTTTTTTTTTTTTTTTTTTTTTGGAAATCAAAAGCCAAATTTAAGAAGGGAGCAAGGAAGGAAGTTGGTTCCGGCTGCTGTTACAGAAAAACAGAGTGAAGGAACCCACATCCACCACTAGGTGGCGGACATGGACGCAAAGGCGCCATTAGGCCAGAGATCCCCAAGGGCCTAAATTTGCCTTCATGCCTAAGCTTTTTGGCCCATAAAGTGTTAGTAAATATTTTCAGGAAATTTCACATAAAATCTAGTTCTCAGCCTCCATTGCAAAACAGTCCCGAGATCTGACACTGTCTGAGCCTGCGTTTTACAGAGCCACTGTTGCCTGGCTCAAGACGGAGCACCACCCCCTCAGATGGAGCACAGAGACTTAGCTTGCTCTGATCCTCTGGATCACCCATCTTACCTTCCTGGCCACTGCAGGCCGTAGACTTTGCCACTCCAATAGCCCAGAGCCACTTAAGACATCTGCAGGTGAGGGATATGGGTGGTTTCTAGACAAAGATTGACTCAGAGCAGCAAAGTGAAAAGCAAGAGCTGCCTGCATGTATTTTTCTGCTCTAACATTTCCCCCTTGACTCTTGACTCTTTGCCCCTTCCCTCCTTGGTTTTATGGTATGCATCCTTGTTTCATCACTCACCCCCAAGCCTGGGTGAGGTACCTCTTCTGCGTGCCCCACACCACGCGATTGCTTCCCTAGCATAGGGCTTACCACGTGCCCAGTTTTTTTACTGTCTCTCCCATTGGTTTGTAAATTCTGTGAGGGCAGAAACCAAGATGATCTTGTCCACTATTGAAATGTTTAGCCCAGTACCTGGCTCTTCAACGGAATTCAATAAGAAAGAAAAGAAAAAAGGAAAAAAGAAAGGAAGGAGGAAGGAGTGGAGGGGAGAAGGGAGGGAAGGAGTGGGGTAGGAACAGAAGGAAGGAAGGAGGGAAGGGAAGGGAGGAAGACATTGCCAATCGAGCATAGCATTCTTGCTCTTGAGCCTGGACCCTGAGGCCTTCTCAAAACAATACTCCAAGCAGCTACCTCAGTCTGAGTTGGCACAGGAGATGCAAAATACTTTCTGCCTGATAGCCTGGGAAGAAGCTGTTTGGGAAGGGATTCCAGTAAGGAAATGACTGCCCTGCTTAAACCTTGGACCGGAGTGTGTCAGGGGAGATGGGCAAATCCGTGTTGTTCTGGCAGGAACCAAACCCAACAGAAAAGAGAAAGGAAGGAGAGGCAGCTATTCAGCAAACAGAACATAGGCTGTCACGAAAAGACTTGGTTAACTTCAGGCTATAGGCCACAGGGGTGCAGTTGACTGAGGGATTTTACGGATGTATCTAAGTAACGTATCTTAGAGAAGCTTTCTGAGAACAAAGCCCCATGCTGGTAGGAACCCTTCCCGCTCTTGGGCATCTCAACTGCAAACCAGATGGAGAGGTGGATTGGGGCACTCTTCACACATCTTAGCCCATGGAGGAAAAACATGAGTGTACACTGCCCCCTAGTGTTCATTGTTGGTAACACGATGAGGCTCGGGAAATCATAAAAACCATAAATGTCTAATGAACAGATGCAAGAGAAGATAAAAACTACATTGATTTTATTTTAGCTTTTTTCAGTTAACTGAAACACACACTCACACGCTTATGTATAAAACATTGAGAAAAAGCCATAGCCAAGGAGGAGAGTCAAATCTTTAAAGATCCCAAACCAGATACTGCTGGCCAAGAACGAATGGATGAATTGGGAATTCAATTCAGGCCCCTTGGATACCATCCAGATGTTCAAGCAGCTGGTCACACCAAGTCCCTTCCAGTCAATTACTTTTCTTGATGTTTCTAATCAACAGCATTATATATGTGATGCTATAAACTTTTATATTTAATATTAGCTCATAACTCAGGATCCCAAACCAGATGTTTTGGGTGAGAAAGAAATTGATGACTTATCAGGAGATTGAACCCAGGCCACTGGCTGCTCTCCAGGCATTCTACCAGCTGAGCTGCAAAGCAGGGTGGTTGCTACCAGCTCCCTTTAGTTATGAGGAGAGAGAGAGAGGAGTGGGTAGAATATGAACATAAAGCCGTATTCCAGAAAAGCTTCCATGAATTCTTTTTCTCTTATAAAACAGGAGCCTGTAGCATTGTCTTGAGTCAGTAATGGTCAGGTATATTCAAAGCTTTGAGCTCGTCTCCCTTCCTTTATGACATTATAGAGGCGCAGGGAAGCAGTGACGGAAGGGAAAAGAAAAGTAAAATACATGGCCAGGAAAAGGAGATGCGCTGACATGATCGATTGTCACCAATGAGGTGGGGTAATGTCTTTAAAAATATTAACCAACTTTTTCTTCCAGGAAAAGTCCCCCTGTGCCCTTCCCTCACCAAAGAGCTAGGCCCACTCTCTGGAGGAATTAGGCAGAAGAGAGAGCTGAGAACAAAGAAGTCTTCCAGGATTTGGTTTCAAAAGCCTAAGCCCCTGGGGACATGGAGAGGACAAAAGCTTCAAGCTAAGGAAGGAGAAGAGAAACTCCTGCTCGTTATCTCTCTTGAAAAACATTTCCCAATCTGTGGAGCAGGGATCGGAAAGATTGGTGGGTCCCAGAGACATGGGCCTTGTGTCCAGCCAACTTCCTGAGTTAGAGGCCTGAGGAGGTAGCTGACCCCAGGCAGGGAAAGCTGTGCATGGTGTCTGCCAGATGGAGCCAGAGTAATTCCAAACAAGATAAACCATGAAAAGCACCTAGCAGGATGCCTGGCACACAGTAAGTGCTCAGTAAATTGCAGCTGTTACTGCTTTTATGAGGGTACTCAGTTTTCCAGTGCCTTAAAAATCACCAAAGCCAAGTTCACCATGGCAGGCGGAGGTACGCTTCCTCAGCAACGGACAGCCAGCATCCACCACTCTTGTTCTTTCCACCCCTACCCCTCCTTCCGACATCAGACGAGACCACTTTTAACTCAGTTTCTTAGAAGTAACTAAGGTCAACCAATGTGTTATGGTTCATTTTGTGTGTCAACTTGGCTAGCTCATGGTAGCCAGGTATTTGGTCAAACATTACTCTAGATGTTTCTGTGAGAGATCTGTTAGGTGACATTAACATTTAAATCAGTGGACTTTGGGTAAAGCAGAGGACTCACTGTAGTGTGGATGGGCCCCATCCAATCAGCTGAAGGCCTTCAAGAAAAGACTGACTTTCCCAAAGAAAAAAGGAATGCTGACGGCAGGCTGTCCTCAGCCTTGAATAGCAACTCTTCACCGAGTCTCCAGCCTGCCAGCCTACCCTGCAGATTTTGAACTTGTCTGTCTCTACAATCACTGTAGCCAATTCCTTAAAATAATTATTAAAAGATTTATATCTATCTGGCCGGGCACAGTGGCTCATGCCTGTAATCCCAGCACTTTGAGAGGCTGAAGCAGGTGGATCACCTGAGATCAGGAGTTCAAGACCAGCCTGGCCAACACGGTGAAACCGCATCTCTACTAAAAATACAAAAATTAGCCGGGTGTGGTGGCATGTGTCTGTAGTCCTAGCTACTCAGGAGGCTGAGGCAGGAGAATAGCCAGAACCCAGGAGGCGGAGGTTGCAGTGAGCTGAGATCATGCCATTGCAGTGAGCCGAGATCGTGCCTTTGCACTCCAGCCTGGGCAACACAGCAAGACTCCATCTCAAAAACTGAATAAGCAGCAAATAAATAAATAAATAATAAAAGATTTATATTTATCTATCTATCATCTATGTTTCTAGGTATATTTATATCTATCTATCATCTATTTATCTATGTATCTATCGTTTCATCTTCACATCCTGTTTCTGTGGATAACCCTGACTAACAACACAAGGATGCCACAAAAAAGTCATAGAATCCACACAAATATGTCTTTCCTCATGACCCTATCACTACACTGCTAGACTGAAAGGTGAATACTGGATGTCTAGTGGTGAAGTATTGCCAAGGTAACTATCTCTCTGGGACGCAATGTCTTCATCTAGATAGCTGGGAAATAAGATTATATGAAGAATGGCAAATACATTTCATTTACCTGCCATCTTCAATCCATGAGTAGTGGTTTCCAGAAACACCATGTTGATTTCTTCCCCCACCGCCTATGGCAAAAATTAGAAATAAATAAATGGGCTGGGTGCAGTGGATCACATCTGTAATCCCAGCATTTTGGGAGGCCAAGGCAGGCAGATCACCTGAGGTCAGGAATTCAAGACCAGCCTGGCCAACATGGCGAAACCCTATCTTTACTAAAACTACAAAAATTAGTCAGGCGTGGTGGGGGCCGCCTGCCATCCCAGCTACTTGGGAGGCTGAGGCAGGAGAATGGCTTTAACCTGGGAGGTGGAGGGGGCAGTAAGCCAAGATCACGCCACTGGATTCCAGTCTGGGCAACAGAGCAAGACTCCATCTCAAAAATAAAATAAAATAAGAAAAAATAAGACTGTGTTGAGAAGGATGCTGAGGTGCTGTCTGAAGTGGGGATGGGTGTGGAGAAGGGTGCCATGACTGGTAGCTGAGCATGCAGAGTGGGGGTGATTTGCCCACCTGTGTTTGTATGAAATCTGACTTCTCAGCAGCGTTTGCCAGAATTTTCACTCTGTTTAAATGCTTTCATTTCTTCTTGTTGAGACTCCACGTGCTACTGGTTTTCCAATGACTCACTGGTGGCTCCTCCTTGGCCTCCTTTTCCAGGCTCCAACTCTTCTGCTTAAGTTTCAATATTGGGAATGCCACAGTCTCCGGGCTGGGCCTGGGACATGTCTTCTTCACTATATGAGATGACTCTCCCCAGGGGATCTCAGCTAGTCGCTTGGCTTTATACAACATCCGAATGTCAATGAACCACAATTTTATGTCCCCAGTCCTAAATTCTCCTAGAACTCCAGAGTCAGGGGTGGAACAGAGCACATGCTGGATCTACCTACAATTGGCAATCCAAATATGACATGTGGAAGACAGAACTCTTGCTTTTTACCCAAATCTGCTCCCCATCTGTCTTTTACTATCCCCACGAAGGCAACTTCATCAACCCGCTTGGCCAGGTCAAAACCTTGGAGCTCTCCTTGATTCCTGAATATTGTTTACCCCTGACTACACCCGTCATCCGTCAGCAGGCTCTGAGGGTTCCGTGTAAAACCAGGTCCTGATCTGTCCACTTCTCTTCATCTCTGCCATTCCCACCTCAGTCCAGGTTACAAGCCCGCCCCTACAGGCCCACTGTGCCCCTGGGTCCTCCCCCCCTCCTCTCCACACAGCGGCAAGAGCCAGCCTCTGAAAATGAAAACCTGATCAATTCCACTGTCCACTCATATACCCTCTGGGGGCTTCCTGTTCCCTTAGAATGATATACAAACTCCTTGTCACTTCCCCTATTGAAGCCTAGAAAGACATATAACAGTCTAGAAAGACATATAACAAGTAAATGATGACAATTTGGTGCGTTAACTGCCAGAAAAAGAAATGGGAAAGCATTCTGAACCTGGGGAGACTGAGAGAGACAGAGAGGGAAGGGGGAGAGAGAAGAGAAGAAAAGAGAGAGAAAGAGGAGGGGGAGAAAGAAAAATGGGAGACGAGGGAGCAAGGGAAAGAGAAAGAGGGGGAAAGAGAGAAAGGGGCCAGGCATGGTGGATCACGCCTGTAATCCCAGCACTTTGGGAGGCCGAGGTTGGCAGAACACTTGAGCCAAGGAGTTTGAAACCAGCCTGGCCAACGTGGCAAAACCTCATCTCTACTAAAAATACAAAAATTAGCTGGGCGTGGTGGTGCAAGCCTGTAGTCCCAGCTAATTGGGAGGCTGAGGTGGGAGGATCGCTTGAACTTGGGAGGCGGAGGTTGTAGTGAATCGAGATCTCGCCACTGCACTCCAGCCTGGACGACAGAGCGAGACCCTGTCTCGAAAGAAAGAAAGAAAGAAAGAAAGAAAGAAAGAAAGAAAGAAAGAAAGAAAGAAAGAAAGAAAGAAAGAAAGAAAGAGAGAGAAAGAAAGAAAGAGAGAAAGAGAGAAAGAGAGAGAGAGAAAGAAAGAGAGAGAGAGAGAAAAAGAAAGAAAGAGAGAGAGAGGGAGAGAAAGAAAGGAAGGAAGGGGCAAAGAGAAGGAGAAAATGGGAGAAAGGGATGGGGAGACAGAAAAGGGGAGGGAGAGTGAGGAAGAAAAAAAGGAGAGGGAGAGAAAGAGAAAGGAAAAAGAGGAAGGGAGGAAGAGAAAGGGAAGGAGAGAGTGAAAAGGAAAGAGAGAGGGAAGAGAGGGAGCAAGGGAGGGAGAGAGAGAAGGAAAGAAAGAACAGGAAGGAGAGAAAGGGAGGGGAAGAGAGAAAAGGGAAGAGAGAGAAGAAAGAGGAAGAATGAGGGAGAAAGAAGAGAGGGGGAGGAAGGAAGGGAGACAGAGAAAGGAGAGAGGAGAGAGGGAGGGAATGAGGTTGAGGGAGAGAGGGGGCTGGAAAGAGAGGGAGAGGATGGGGGAAAGGAGAAGGAGGGAGAGATGCCTATTCCTTCCCTCTGCTACCTCCTTTCATCCTCATGGCAATCCTGGAGAGCAAGGTGCAGAGTGGCTAAGACATTTGCCCAAGGTTACCTGGCTACTCTGGGTCAGGTTCAGCACCCCAAAGTCCATGAACCCCTGACTGCACCACACCGTCTCCACAGAAGCCAGCCGCACCACCCTCACCCTTCTCCCTGGACAGCTCCTGACACCCCGGGTTATTACTGTCTCCACACGGGACACCTTGACACACCTAGGCTCACCTCCTGGGATACCTCCAGGGAGCACAGGATCCTGCACCAGCATTGCTCAAATGCAAGTAACATAAAGAACCCAATTAAATGAAAGACACACACGTACACACACTCACACACACACACACACATGCTCACACACACACAGACACATACATACACACACATACACATACAAACATATATACACATGTACACGCAATCACACACATGCACAACCAACACATACACACACACACATACACACACATACACAGACACACACACACAGACACACACAACACATACAGAAACACACACCCCACACACATACACACACACAGACACGCATATACACACAACACACACACACACACGCACACATACACACATAACACATACACACAGGCGCGCACACACACGTTGAGGCCCCTGAGAACGTATCTCTGAGCTCCAGTTTGAGTGAAGAATTAAACAGTAAACTCTGGTCCTTTTGGGATCATCTGGCACCATTAGCGCCATAACCAGGAATGCAAATGTGGACACCGACTCGAGGGGCATTCCTAGTTATTTAAGGGTCCTCCTCAGCCCTGCAGTGATTGTGTGCATGATTTTAGAATACCTTCAGTGGAAAGTGCTAAACTGAAGAATTCTAGAATTCTCAGATCCCTGAGAATAAATCAACAAACTCGCAGGGATCTGAGATCCCTCCTCCTGGCTCCGCCTTCCCCAGGGCCTGCGCTTCTGCGCCCTCTAGTGACCAAGGGCGCGCATCGCACTCCTCTAGGACCTGATTCTGCGCCCCCTCCTCTGACCCGGGAGAACTGGAGGCAGGGCTGCAGGATGAAAGGATAAAAGGAAACCTCCAAGGCCCTTCATGTTGTGACTTTCGCCGACTGCCAGCCTCCTCGCCGACCCTCCTTCATCCTACTTCATCCTGAATGTATCCTACAGTAATAGCAACTGTTTGAGGCGAAATAGTGGCTTGGGAGGAACGTGAACTCAGGAACTAAGCAGCTAGGGTGTGCATGCTAGTTGCATTACTTAATTTTGTAATCTTCTGCAAATTAAGCCCTTTCAGCTTCAGTTTCCCATCTGTACAATGAGAATAGTAATAGGCTACACCTCACAAGAGCGCTAGGAGGAGCAGGTGATCTGGACACGTGTGTGGAAAGTGTGCCTATGATGAAGTGAACCCTCAGTGAACTGCTGTGTATCCTATCGCTTCTTGGCACACTCCTACCTTTCCTGTCTCCATGCTGCCCGCTCTGGATAGAATACCCTTCCTCATCTTGCCATCCTGGAAATCTCTCAATTTTTTCAAAATCCTAATCGTGCCATATGTTCTGTGAGAAGCCTTCTCTGACACCATTCTTTTTTTTTTTTTTTTTTTTTTAGACGGAGTCTCGCTCTGTCGCTCAGGCTGGAGTGCAGTGGCGTGATCCCAGCTCACTGCAACCTCCACCTCCCGAGTTCAAGCAATTCTCCTGCCTCAGCCTCCCCAGTAGCTGGGATTACAGGCACCCGCCACCACGCCTAATTTTTGAATTTTTAGTAGAGACGGGGTTTCACCATGTTGGCCAGGCTGGTCAAAACTCACTTGTTGAAGCCGTAACCCCCAGTACCTCAGGATGTCACTACATTTGGAGATAGGGCCTTTAAGGAGGTGATTAATTAAACGAGGCTGTTAGGGTAGATCCTAATCCAAGCTCACCGGTGTCCCTATAAGAAGAGGAGATTAGGACACACGAGACACACCAGGGCATGTGAGCACACAGGAAAGACCACATTAAGGTACCGCAAGAGGAAGGCCATTTGCAAGCCAAGGAGAGAGGCCTCAGGAGAGACCAGCCCTGCCCACACTTTGATCTTAGACTTTCAACCTCCAGAACTGAGAAAATTGAAGTCTTGGGGAAGCCACTCAGTCTGTGGTATTTTGGGATGGCAACCTGGGGCGACTCGGGCTGGGCAGATGCTCCATGCCCTCAGCACAGACTCGCTGAGCTCCACGAATTCCCGGGCACCGTGCTTGGCCCTGAGGATCTAAAGGTAATAAAGCTTGGGTGGCATTAATTATGGCAGAGCTGCAACCGCTCCAAGCCTGAGCCAGGCTGAGCTACTTTCCTTTCTTCTTTCTTTCTGGTTCCCGGTGTACAGTTATGCATCATTTAATGGCAAGGATACGTTCTGGGAAATGCCTTGTTAGGGAAATTTGTCATTGCGCAAACATCACAGAGGGCACAAACACAAACCTACATGGTACAGCCTACTGCACACCTGTGCTGTATGGTACAACCTACTGCGCCTAGGCTACAAACCAGGCTGCATGTGACTGTACTAAATACTGCAGGCAATTGCAACACAATGGCAAGTATTTGTGTCTAAATCTATCTAAACATGGAAAAGACACAGTGAAAATGTGGTATAAAAAATCAGCACCTGACCTGGGCGCTGTGGCTCACACCTGTGATCCCAGCACTTTGGGAGGCTGAGGTGGGTGGATCTCTTGAGGTCGGGAGTTCAAGGCTAGCCTGACCAACACGGAGAAACCCCATCTCTACTAAAAATACAAAAAAAACAGCCGGGTGTGATGGTGCATGCCTGTAATCCCAGCTACTCGGGAGGCTGAGGCAGGTGAATTGCTTGAACCCAGGAGGTGGAGGTTGTGGTGAGCCGAGATCGTGCCATTGCACTCCAGCCTGGGCAACAAGAGTGAAACTCCATCTCAAAAAAGAAAGAAAGAAAGAGAGAGAGAGAGAGAGAGAGAGAGAGAGAGAGACAGAAAGAAAGAAAGAAAGAAAGAAAGAAAGAAAGAAAGAAAGAAAGAAAGAAAGAAAGAAAGAAAGAGAGAAAGAAAGAAATTAGCACCTGAATAAGGCACTTACCATGAATGGAACTTGCAGGATTGTAAGTTGCCTGGGGTGCATCAGTGAGTGAATGTGAAGGTCTAGGACATTGCTGTACGTGACTGCAGACTTTTTTTTTTTTTTTGAGACTGAGTCTCGCTCTGTTGCCCAGGCTGGAGTGCAATGGCACGATCTTGGCTCACTGCAACCTCCGCCTCCCGGGTTCAAGTGATTCTCCTGCCTTAGCCTCCTGAGCAGCTGGGGTTACGGGTGCCCACCACCACGCCTAGCTAATTTTTGTATTTTTAGTGGAGACGGGGTTTCGCCATGTTGGCCAGGCTGGTCTCAAACTCCTGACCTCAAGTCATCCACCCGCCTGGGCCTCCCAAAGTGCTGGGATTACAGTTGTGAGCCATCGTGCCCAGCCCAAAGTAACTTTTGTTTCAAAAACCAATTATCCCTCTGATGCATTGTGGCCATCAAGTTTGGAGTTGTTGGGTTTCTAGGGCTCTAAACCAGAAACACCTCAGACCCAATGAAGACAAAAGCATCTATTATAATGTTTTCCTGTGTGCCCTGGGGCCCCATCCCTGTGCCCAAGACACCAACTTTCTGAGCTTTCTGAGAGCAAGACCTTGTTCATCTTTCTGTACACCAAGGTCTTAGTACAGCATCTAGAACCCTAGAAGAGTGTCTAGAAACTCGTGTGTGTGTGTGTGTGAGTGTACTGAATGAATCAATGAATGAATGTCTGTGTGGAGAAAGCCAGAGGGTATTTCAGACAGGGTCCCAAAGTATGTGTCCCTTGGTCAGATCACCAGATCTTGGGGATCGCAGGAACTGCCCCAGCTTTGTAGGTACAAAAGTCTGATTTATAAATATACCCAAGAGATGGCCACATATGAGTGGACTAGCTTATGGCAACCATACTTACAAGCGTGTACAGAAGAAAGTCAAGTTATAAATTATACCTTTGTAACTACAGGCATATGAAAATGTACTGCTCCCAGCATTCATTGGCCAGATTATTCTGCCTGGCAGCCATCTCTTCATAGGACCCCCCCGTAGGATAATCAGAGGGTTCCAAGAAAGCCTGGACTTTTCCACGTCAAGGGCTCTTTTGCAATGTGACTTTGATACTTCTCCCCTCAAGAGGTAGAATATAATTTTCCTCCCTTTGAATCTAGGTGGGTGCTGTCTGTGTCTTGCGTTGACTTCTGGGCCTAATTCTTCAGAAGCATTGCAATTTCATTTCATCCTTTTGGAGGCTGACCACCATTCAGAGAAGCTCAGCCTAACTACTGAATGTGGACAGTCTACATGGATGGAGAGGCAATGGGAAATGAACCAAAGCACCCCCAGCAGGGCCAGTACCCAGGACCCACACCTGTGAGTGTGAGGTTCCACTCCCATTGAGCCACCCAGCAGCCACTGCAAGGAGCAGAGACAGGCTATTCTTACTAAACACAACCGTGACCAACAAAAGGACTGAAAGTGATTTCAAGCCACAAGCTGCCCATATACAAAATGGATAACAAAAAGAGACTCAAAGCAAGAGGAAGTGGCTGTATTATATTAATTGTTAATATCACTGACTTCTGAAAGTCTGTCGCCTCGATTTCCACTTTCTCTGCTGTCCCGATGGTCAGGCTGCCTCTACTCCAGCAAGTCCAGAGACACTTTTCTGTTTCAGACTCTCTGAACTATCCTTTTGGAGGTACCAGTCACACCAATCCCCTTCAGAAAACACATACATTGTTGTCTTGATTCAATTTTAGGCCCTGCTTAGTTGTAAACTGAAAACCTCATTTAAGCTACTGGCTTGCTTCTAATTTCCTAGTATTTATTGTCTGCCACAAGCCAGACTCTGTCCTAGGAGCTAATGATACAGCAGAGGACCAGATAGACAAATCCCAGGCTCATGAAATTTACATTCCAGTATAACCTCAGATTGAAGAAGTACTAGCTATTGTCTTCATATACCAGGAATAAAAATATGACCCAAAGCATAAGTGCAGAAAGTACACTGGGCCCTAGAAACAACCTAAATAGCATCCAGCCCTCAGAATTTTATATAAGTCGATGACCAAAAGTGATTCCTCCTATAATTTTGAGATAAGTAGTTTGAGATTACCCAACAGATAGATATGCACATAGGGCACCAATAAAATAGAGGAACCAATGTATTTTTGTTTGTGAAATTTGATATATTTTTTAAAAGGATCAAAGCAGTCATCACAGGAAAAAAATCAGTATTTTATTTATTGCACTACACTTTTTAAAAGTAGTTTTAATGAATTAATTTTCTTTTTCTTTTTTTTTTTTTTTTTTTTTTGTAGAGAGTGTCTCACTCTGTCAGCCAGGCTGGAGTAAAGTGGTATGATCATAGCTCACTGCAGCCTCAAACCCCTGGGTTCATGTGATCCTCCTGTCTCAGCCTTCAGAGTAGCTGGGACAACAGGTGTGTGCCACCATGTCCAGCTAATTTTTACTTATTTTTAAATTTTTTAGTATTTTTTGGTAGAGATGAGGTCTCGCTTTGTTGCCAGAGCTGGTTTGTTTGTTTGTTTTTGAGATGGAATCTCCCTCTGTCACCCAGGCTGGAGTGCAATGGTGTGATCTTGGCTCACTGCAACCTCTGTCTCTGGGGTTCAAGTGATTCTCCTGCCTCAACCTCCCCAGTAGCTGGGATTACAGGCCCATGCAACCACTCCCGGCTAATTTTTGTGTTTTTAGTAGAGACGGGGTTTCATCATGTTGGCCAGGCTGGTCTCGAACTCCTGACCTCAGGTGATCCACCTGCCTCGGCCTCCCAAAGTGCTGGGATTACAGGCATAAGCCACCATGCCTGGCCACAGAGCAGGTTTTGAACTACTAGCCTGAAGCTATTCTCCCGCCTTGGCCTCCCAAAGTGCTGGGATTACAGATATGTGCCACGGTGCCCAGGCTTTAAGCAACTTTTAAAAACTATCATTTTTATTTCAAATACTTATGGAGATGGTGGTATGATAATCTTTTCAGTTTGTAACGCCCTCTAACTGTGTAAAGTAGATCTGAAGTGTTTTCCTGACCCTCACTGGGATGGTTATTTCAAGTACAAAACGTTTTCACACCGTGGGTGATAATCTTCCATAAAAAATTTCATATTTGAATGAAAACAGCTCAAGAAATACACTAATGAGCAAAAATATATGGGGAAAGAGGAACGTGTAGTTTTGACTTAACTGAAGAAACCAAGAGGAAACTGGTCTCCATATGAAAATGTGATCCTGGAAAGTCAGGTGTCAAGATTTTCGAGTAGGAATCTACATGACTTGAATCTCCCTTACTTCCTGAATAAAAGTGACATCTTTCAGTATTTATTTAAAAAAATCATATGTCAGTGGAGCTTCCAGGTAAATTATCTTTAAAAAATCATATTTGAGTGGAGCTTCCAGGTAAATTATCTTCCTCTTTTAAGGGAGCTCCCTGTATTTCTAGCGGCTTTAACTGATATCCCTTTCAGTGAGAAATCCTCATTAGCTACATAAGAGGGGACTGGGTGTTTTTTTCAAAAAGCTGGTATTGGGACATCTACCTCTGTGATGTCCCTGGTCAGCTATATTGTCTAGGAGTTGAAACATTTTGTATTAATTTTCTATCATTTACTGGGTGCCTCTTCTGTGACAGTGCCACTCAAAGGTCTATTGATATATTATCAGGTGACTGAATTCTATATTCTGAAGTAGGAGATACTGTTATTGCTGTTATTACATTTTACACATAAGAAAGCTGAGGCTCTGAGAGGTCAAGATCACGCAGCTAACAAATGAGCCAAGACTCTTGCTTTAGAGCTTGTCCTCTATTCTTGCTTTTCTTTCCAAAAAACACTACAATTTTTGTTTTGTTTTGTTTTGTTTTGAGACAGGGTCTCGAGGTGTCACCCAGGCTGGAGTGCAGTGGCGCGATTTCGACTCACCGCAACCTCCGCCTCCGCGCTTAAGCGATTCTCCTGCCTCAGCCTCCCAAGTAGCTGGGACTACAAGCTCGGGACACCACGTAAAAATGATCAAGTTCTAACATGTATGCATACGAATTACAATGGAAATAAAATTAGCAAAGCGCTTATGCTAATGCTCAATACAATTGATTTCCTCACATTTAATCCTCACAACCACTACAACCACCTCTAACTCAAGCTCTGAGGGACTGACGTGCCCGGAGGACACAGCTCTTATCTGGTGAGAACAGGAGCGTTTTAGCGAAACTCCAAACTCCTAGGTCCCGCCTTCCCCAGGAAGGCTTTTCCTGGCACTGTGCTTCCGGAAGTCCCGCCCCAGGAGAAAAACAGCTTCCGGAAAAAATTGCGGCCGGCAAACCGGAACAGAACTAGGGGCGGGGCCGCTTGAGACGCTCTAGTATTCCTCTACTCTATGGCCACTGTCAATTGACAAGTCCCGAGCGGTAAAGCTCCTTTCTATTGGATGAGCAGCCTCGCGTAGGCGGGAAGCTCGGTGCACGGCGCGCTGATTGGCTGGATCCGCCATGCGGAGCGGCTAGGTGGTGCACGGGAAACGCGGGCGTAGGTGACCGGCGGCTTTCTCAGTTTTGGTGGAGACGGGCGCATGTGGGCGCTTTGCTCGCTGCTGCGGTCCGCGGCCGGACGCACCATGTCGCAGGGACGCACCATATCGCAGGCACCCGCCCGCCGCGAGCGGCCGCGCAAGGACCCGCTGCGGCACCTGCGCACGCGAGAGAAGCGCGGACCGTCGGGGTGCTCCGGCGGCCCAAACACCGTGTACCTGCAGGTGGTGGCAGCGGGTAGCCGGGACTCGGGCGCCGCGCTCTACGTCTTCTCCGAGTTCAACCGGTCAGTCAACGAGCCACGCCCCGTCCCGCTGGGCCCTCAGTGCGGCGCAGCCTCTGAGCATCGGGGCACCTCCCAGGGCTTCGGCTTCCCTGCTTCACACATGTGGTTCACTGTTGCGGGGGTTCGTGGAGTTATGGTGGGTGGGAAATCCGAGATTCTTTGCATCCATGTGATTTCTGCGGATCTGTGAAGAACTTCAGGCCTGGGTCTGAGCGTCCTTTTCCCAACCCTTGGGCCCCGGCCTGGCTGTCAGCACTTTCGGAGCTCCACCCTCTTCCGTGCACCCCAAGGCCAGTGTGTCGTTGTTAGCGTGTGGGGTGGACAGATCTGGTGTGTAGCCGGTGGTGGAGAAAGGACTCATTTTGTCCTAGCACCCACACACACAGGCCCCCACTCCTCTCCACCTCTGCTAAGGAGGGCTCAAAACCCACCAGCATAAATGTGGCTCGGTAGTCCAACGTGGACTTTTAATTTTTTTTTCTTTTTTTTTTTTCCAGAGTCTACAATAAAACATCTAATTGGTGTCAGAGAGTTTACAGAATAAAACCTTCTGAATGTCTTGTGTAATGTTTGTCTTGTAGGTATCTCTTCAACTGTGGAGAAGGCGTTCAGAGACTCATGCAGGAGCACAAGTGAGTCAGTCTCTTGCTTTCGGAGGGGGAGTTGATTACGGGGCTTGAAAGCCGAAATGAGAGGCCAGTTGTTTTTTATAGCAAAAGTGGTCCTTGTTCTGTTCATGTTATCCTGTTTAAATGTTTTTTCATTCTTAGGTTAAAGGTTGCTCGCCTGGACAACATATTCCTGACACGAATGCACTGGTCTAATGTTGGGGGCTTAAGTGGTGAGTATATTCTTTGCAGTGTCAGAGGCTGGTGGGAAGTCTCTGGGATTTTAACCGGCTTTACCATTTTTCCAAGTCTGGGGTGGGCAGCTACTTTTTTTTTTTTTTTTTTTTTTGTCAGTGGCGTGATCTTGGCTCACTGCAACCTTTGCCTTCTGGGCTCAGGTGATCCCCTCACCTCAGCCTCCCAAATAGCTGGGACCACACGTGTGCCCCATCACACCTGGCTAATTTTTTTTGTATGTTTTGTAGCGACGGGGTTTTGCTATGTTGCCCAGGCTGGTCTCAAACTTCTGCGATCCTCCTGTCTCGGCCTCCCAGAGTGCTGGGATTACAGGCATGAGCCACCGCACCTGGCCTGGAATTCTTTTTATACCAGCCCAGTCAGCAGCAGCACAGAGCATTAAAAGCTGTGACTCAGGAGAACAGATTTTAATATGGATACCACCTCTTAAGTGTTACCATCCACTTAGTTTCTTGCGTTGCGGGGACAGAGATTTGTGGCAGTAAACTGGAGAGTCTAGCAGTGGTGATTACAGTTAATATGTTTACCGCAGACGCCATTGGCACATTGGCAGCCACACACATACCCACTGTCCAGATTACCCTGTCATTTATGTCTATCAACCGGAAGGTCAGGATTGTGTTGCAGCCAAATTGTGTGGGCTTGGTGGCATGGACCGGAAGGAGTGAAGTGTTAGACCAGTCTCCCTTCTCAGGGCTGAGACTAGGGTGAGGCACTTAGGGTGCCAGCCCTTCACTTGCATGATTCCTTACATTTTGCACACTGGGTGCCTTGCTGCTTCACCCTAGTGACAGCTCAGCCCATTCTAGAGGCATTTAAAGAATATTTGGTGTCTGTTACACCTCTAGCTGGCATCACTTCTGCTCTGTACATCTTCCCTGGTTGTACTTCCAAAGCTGGAAGGTGGAGATGTAGATAAATAGTTGGATTAGTACGGGGTGCTCCTCCTGTTAGTGACGACAGGTCAAATTGATGAGAGATCTGATTTTATGCATCCTTTTTAGGAATGATTCTTACTTTAAAGGAAACCGGGCTTCCAAAGTGTGTACTTTCTGGACCTCCACAACTGGTGAGTCTTTCCTGACACATCTTTCAAAAGCAATCTTTCCTTTTGTAATATCAGTAACAAGAATTTTCCTTTTTGCAAATCAGTCTTCTGCCCTCCAGAGATACCTGGTCGTTGAAACGCTTCCCCTTTCAAGTTAAAAAGACTTGAGTTCTGATTAACTATGTGACCTTGATCAAGTTACTTTACCTTTCTGAGCTTTAGTTTATTCATCTATAAGATGACTATCACGTTTCATAGAGTTGTTAAAGATTAAATGACGTAGCAGCACATATAAAGCACTAAATCACTTTATTAGATATATGTTTGGCACCAAGTAGGCACACAAGAAAGGGCAGCTTTTGTTTTTATTCAATAAATTTCTGACATCTTCTTACCTTTCAGTCCAGCTTATTACACTCTTGAGAAGGCGTGTGTGTGTTGTTGAATATAACAGTTCATTTTCCAGTCCTTAAGAAGAAAGTCACCAAGACCTGTTAAGTCTTTCCCCAAAATAACGTTTGAAATCCATCCATTTGTCTCTTATTGAGGCCTTCCTTATTTCTGTTTTCTATGCCTGTAAACTACAATAGCCTCCCATATTCATTCTCGCCTTCCTGTAATCCATCTGCCACACAGCAGCCAGAGAGGTCACTTCAAGACAGAAAAGTAGTGTGTCACTTGCCACCCTAAAGCCCTTCATGGGCTCCCCATTGCAATACAATCAAAACACCTTGATATGGCCTACAAGTCCTGTAGGCCCCGGCCGCTACCCACACTTCCATCTGTACCCATCGCTGAACTGCAGCTGCATGGGCTGACTCTTATGTCCCTCTAACTCCCTGGCCACTTCAGGACTTTCGCCCTTCCGCGGGTTCCCTCTGCCTCTTCTAATTGCTGCCTATATTGTTACTGAACCTTCAGGGCTCAGCTAGAGGGTCATTTACTCCAGAACTGCCTCTTCTTCTCTAGACAAGTTGGATCCCAGCCTTCTGTATTTTTCATTTTCCTTGCAGAGCACTTAGCATAATGCCACTAAGCTGTTTCTGTTATCGTGTTTCCTTTTGTCTCCTCCACTGGCCTGATTAGAGCAAGGCCTCCATCTCTTTTTCCTGCTATATCCTTGGCATCTGATATAATGGATACTCAGTAAATATTTGTAATAAATGATGTTCAAAATATTTACTAAGCTTTGTTTTATGTTGATACCTATTGGTAACCTTTTAAATACTTGAATAGTTGCTGTGTTCTACATTTGTTCAACCATAACTGCTCATTTCTTTGTTTTTCATTAGGAAAAATACCTCGAAGCAATCAAAATATTTTCTGGTCCATTGAAAGGAATAGAACTGGGTACGTCTTTGTCTGTGACTCATCCTCTGCTATTTCTAACTTATATATGCCCTGACCTCTCAAATTAGAATCCATTAAAAACATCAACATCAAACCTCAAAATCAAATGCTTCATCACCACGAGATTTTTTTTTTTTTTTTTTTTTTTGGATAGAGTCTTGCTTTCTTACCAGGCTGGAGTGCAGTGGCATGATCTCGGCTCACTGCAACCTCCACCTCCTGGGTTCAAGCCATTCTCCCACCTCAGCCTCCTGAGTAGCTAGGACTACAGGCGCATGCCATCACGCTCAGCTAATTTTTTGTATTTTTAGTAGAGACGGGGTTTCACCATGTTGGCCAGGATAGTCTCGATCTCTTGACCTTGTGATCTGCCCGCCTCAGCCTCCCAAAATGAGCTACCATGTGGCTGGAGATGGGATTTCTAAATAGTGACATTTTCTGTGTTCCCACCTCATGCTGTAAAAATAGGGGCCAGGTCGGCAGGAGTGATTGAACAGCTGATGCCTGCCTGTGTACATGCTGTGTGGCATTCTCCATCCAGACGGCAGGGCTCCTGCCTCAGTTCCAGAGGTGCTTCTCGTCGTTGAGTTGCTTTGAGTTGGGGGCGGGGGTGACAAGGGTTCCCTAGAGGTTTTGTGGCCAACTTTGTACATTGAAACGCAGCTCCAGCTGCGCAGGGGGGCTTACAGCCTCTTGATGGGAAGAGGCCTCACTGAGGATGCTAGTAGGGCTCTTGTCCTGGCACTGGTGTGTATCTGTGGCTTGTTAATACTCCTCTTTTATAGAAACACTAATACTTTGTTTCAAAATATACATCAGCTCTTCTGGTTTGCGATGATAGGTTCCCTGGCTTCACTATTCTGTTTGTTAACTTGGGTCTCTGAAAGTTGAGTACTAGTTTCTTGTTTTTCAATTTTTAACGGATAGTCACCAAAGATTATAATGTCTTTTCATCTGGCTGTAGTAAATATAAATGGCTGACCAAAATACACTTTTATTTATTTCCTAAAAATGGTAATCTCCTTAGAAAGTCTGGTTTTCGTGTCAGATTCCCACCATAATTCTGAGGCAATTCAGTTGCTCGTGGTTGGTGATCCTGAAGTTACTCTTCCCACACATCTTCACTAATGCAATCACTTTGCTGTTGTGTGGTTTTCTTGTAGCTGTGCGGCCCCACTCTGCCCCAGAATACGAGGATGAAACCATGACAGTTTACCAGATCCCCATACACAGTGAGTATGAAAGCCAGGTTTCCCAGGAGGAGGGTGTACGTCCTGAGTAAAGAAAACATGGATGAAAATAGAAACTGAACACTTGCTGTGGGCACCCTGTTTTGTGTTCTGAGCATGATTAGAAAATTTAGTTGAGGAATGAAGATATGGCTCCTGCCCTGGCTTATAAACTTACGGATGTCTGACTTATGCCTAATGATAGTGATTATGCTTTGGAATATTAGATAATCAAGCACTGTTGGTAAATAGATTGCATTCAAGTTTGCACATTCATTGCTTGGAGGTTTTTTCCCACAGGCGTAATACCCTCTTTTGATCAGACGATCATGAAGAGGTTTGCACAGATAGATTTTTTTAAATAAATAATGATTACAGCAACCTAAAAGAAGTGTTGTTGGGGGTTAGAAGCTCCTGCAAATTCCGAAGTATCAGGGCCAGATGATGTGGTCTTAGCTTAGGAAAAGAGTTAGTCTTGTCCTTGAACTTGGCTAAAGACATTCATGTCTGGTTTTACTTACATGTGAAGAGAGTACCAAGCAGTAGGGGTATTTCCTTGTTAGTACTAACTAATGTGATGCTTACTAAGTAGTGCTGATGGGTGACAGACCAGAGCACCCAGCAAAGGCCAGAGAAGTCCAGAACCTGGCGAGGAGATGAGGCTTACACTGACTGAAGGCAGAAGGCAGCAGGGAGGAGAGGAATGTGCCGGAGCAATGGCACAAGTGCTCCTAGGCCAGTGCTGTGATGAGCTGATCAGCACTCCCATTGCCTGGCTTGCTCCTCCTGCTCAGATGCCTTCTCTCACCTGACCCCTGCTGTAGCCACCCCCAGCCTGAGTTGCATCCACCTGTTTGTTGTCCATTTCCAGCACCCTGTTCTTCGCTCCATGGCATGTGACAGTTAACTTTCATATGTGATTTGCGTGATCGATGTTAACATGCTCAGTTTTGCCGATCACTGTTTTTTCAGTGTCCAGCGGCCCTCAGTGAGTGAACTTACGTTCATTCTCGTTGCAGCTGTGCTTTAGCTTCTTAGAGCAGCGAATTTTTTTCCCTTGATCTTGAGCCTTAACTAAATGTAAAATGAGGCTCCTTCTTGAGATAGGTACCCTTTGGGTCTATGTGTTTTAGCGGGAGTGATGATAATAAATAAGCATGTCTACAACCCACATGCTGTTTAGATAACACGTTGTTGAGTTGGTACTGTGGCCGAGGCTGTGAGCTAAGCAGAAACATAAACATTAATAGGACATAGGTGCAGCCCAGAAACCAGGTAGGAAGTTAACTAACTAGTTATTTCCTACTGTATAGTAAAAGGTGTGCTGATTTAATTGGCGTTCTGGCATTCCCATGTATGAACGTCTGGGCCTTGGCTGTCAGCTCACCTTGTGCAGTGTGTAATTTGGTGGTATCTGTACTGACCAGGTGAACAGAGGAGGGGAAAGCACCAACCATGGCAGAGTCCAGAAAGGCCTCTCAGCAGGCTCAGTCCAGAGCGATCTTCAGACTCCGAGTCGAATGAAAATGAGCCACACCTTCCACATGGTAATAGTATAAACAAAACAGAGCAGCAGAAAGGCTTGCGTTTTCTTAATTCTCTGCCTTGTAATGCTTGTAGAGAGTCATTATTGTAAGAAAGCCAGGTGTGTAAACAGATCCTTCTTCCTGGGCTTACTATAACTTGGCCCGTTGGGGGAATGAGAAGGGTTGTTGTAAAGGTGGCAGCCTGCAACTTTAATAATGACCAGTCCACAGTTTTGGCCACCCAGGGTCTGGGTAGGCCCAAAACTGTGTTCTGTTTTCCCAGAGGAGAACAGGGCCTGACAAACGGATTCATTTTGTATTTTTCATTAATGTAACATTTATGCAAATTTTCCATTAATGTGGAAACTATAACTGCTAAGCCAATGAGACAGTCAAATCAGTGAGAGGCTCTGCACGTCTTCCAGAATGACAGCCCACTGGGAAACGGAGTTAAAAGTCCAAGATGAGATGTAGCTCAGGAGTCAGGCCGCTTCGGGAGTTTGTTGTCCTTAACAGAAGGTCAGCGTTGGCAAAGCTCGGCAGCTCCTCTTTCTGTCCTGAGGTCTTGTCTAGTGACTGAGAACAGGCTGACCCCTATGTGCTGTCCTTGTTTGGATGGCACCGGGTAAAGACTGACACCAGCATTTTCTCTGCAGGCCTTTGAACTTTTGTGTTATTTCATATATTATATGTGTTATAAAGCACATTACAATATATTTTTCTCTGTCTTCTCCAGTCCTAGGTGAAATGTGTCATTTAAAAAAAATTTCACTTGCCATTCTAAAGTTTTTCTGGTGAGAGTTTTGTGTTTTTCATTTACGCAAACACATCTCCACATAAGTAGGGAAAAAAAGTCTTCTTGAGTATATTAGTGTCTTCAGCCTTTGTATTGGGACAGTAGCGTCCATTAATTTTTATGTGAAGTGAAATTAGGTATCGGGTCATAATCAGTCTGTGATGTCTTCACAGCTTTCACATTTACCTTGTGATAATCAAGTGTGTTTTTCCTCAGGTGTTAGCCAGAGAAGAGGGGTCAGGGACTCTTCCCTGGTCGTAGCTTTCATCTGTAAGGTAAGGAAGACTTTCCGGAGGGCTGTACATGACTGGGGTCTTGGTCAGCGACCTCTGGTTTGCACTTTTTCATTAATTTGAGGGTAGGCACTCCTGTTACCTGAGACAAGAAGAGATAGCAGATCTTCAGAAAAGCTGATGGAAGGCCGGGTGCAGTGGCTCACGCCTGTAATCCCAGCACTTTGGGAGTCCAAGGCAGGTGGATCACGAGGTCAGGAGTTTGAGAACAGCCTGACCAACGTGGTGAAACCCTGTCTGTACTAAAAATACAAAAATTAGCTGGGTGTGGTGGCGCATGCCTGTAATCCCAGCTACTTGAGAGGCCAAGGCAAGAGAATCGCTTGAACACAGGAGGCGGAGGTTGCAGTGAGTTGAGATTGCACCATTGCACTCCAGCCTGGGTGACAGAGCAAGACTCTCTCAAAGAAAAAAAAAATTCGATAGAAATGACACTGGCAATGAGCCTGCAACAAGTATTACTACTGACCTTTCATAATTGTCATCACTTGTAGGTTTCAGAGTTTAGATGCTCTGTTTCTCAAAATAACCCCATACTTTTATTTCCTTTTAAATTTTTTTCCAGTGCCCTGTCAGCCTCCGTACATTTTTTTTTTTTTTTTTTGAGACCATGTCTGTCTCCATCGCCTAGGCTGGAGTGTGCAGTGGCACAATCTCGGCTCACTGCAGCCTCCACCTCCCAGGTTCAAGTGATTCTCCTGCCTCAGCCTCCCAAGTAGCTAGGATTATAGGTGCGCGCCACCACACCCAGTTAATTTTTGTATTTTTAGTAGAGATGGGGTTTCACCATGTTGGCCAGGCTGGTTTCACTCCTGACCTCAGGTGATCCACCCACCTTGGCCTCCCAAAATGCTGGGATTACAGGCGTGAAGCACTGTGCCTGGTCCATATTCTTTTATATTTGCCAATGATTGGTCCTTTTAGAATTCAGAAATTATTGAAGGCAGCTGTGTTTGTTTTCCTTCAACTCCATCAGGCCTTTATTCAAAGTCTTTTAACTCTGTTTTACTTTATTTCATTCCCCTGCAATAGCTAAGGTCTAACACCAGATTAATTGGAATATTAGCTAGCATTCACAAAGGCCTAGATCTGTAACTCTGAAATTGGTCAAATTCCATTAAAAATTTTTGTTACAATAAGCTGTTTGTAAGATCTGACTAGTGGCTTATTTTTAATAGAATTTTGCATTAAAATTTTATCAATACAATTTGCAACAAATTTGTCTAAATATGTGAAAAGATTTCATTGCCTTTTTGTGGGCTTAGATTATTTTTTAATGTTGATTTTGAAATATATTTGGAATTGTTATCTAAATTCTAAAAGCTACAAGTGAAAATAATAATGAAAGTAAGTAGTTAATATTAGTGGCAAGATCATTGCCAGTATCATTTCTATCGATTTATTTGAATAATGTGATTTTCATAAAAGTTAAGTACTACTGTTAACAGGCTTATTACTTGTATGTTTCTGAGTTTTAGATAGCAAAATCATTTTTTAAAGTTTTAAAAATATTTTATTTTTGATAATCTATATTTATATTGTCTGATTTTTAAACTGTTTTCTATGGTAATCTTTAAATCGTATTCCTGCTTTCCGGAATAGGTAACAGTGAGCATGATGAAAAGTGACAAGCTCACTTTTACACACTCGGGCAGTTGCCCTATTATCAGGCAGCCGTTCCTGGGGGCTGCCAGCTGCCTGCCCTGGCTTTTCCATCTCCTTCCTTGCTGTCTTCTGCGGCTCCTTCTGAGGGCTGCTGTCACTGGATTAGCCTATAACGCCTTTCCCCTCTTCTAATTAATTTGCTGCTCTCAGGTGAGGTTTTGGAAAGCAATAAAGCTGAGCTAGGTCAAGTTCCAGGAGTCTCTTGGCATGAGGACCTGAAAAACTCATCTGTTGGAAGACCTCGGCTTTGGGCAGCTGGTGCACTGTTGGGGCGTTATTGGCTGCGTTCTGGCTCTCATCAGTCTTCCAGATACTCTGCATTCCTCAGAGAGGAACATATCTCCATGGGTTGAGTTCAGCTCCCAGGGAGATGGGTTTCCCTGCCTTAAGTCGGCAAGTACCTTTTTTTTTCTTTTTTTGAGACAGAGTCTCGCTCTGTCACCAGGCTGGAGTGCAGTGGTGCGATCTTGGCTCACTGCAACCTCTGCCTCCCAGGGTCAAGCAGTTCTCCTGCCTCAGCCTCCCGAGTAGCTGGGACTACAGGAGCGCACCACCATGCCCAGCTAATTTTTGTATTTTTTTAGTAGAGACGGGGTTTCACCATGTTGGCCAGGATGGTCTGGATCTCTTGATTTCCTGATCCGCCTGCCTTGGCCTCCCAAAGTGCTGGGATTACAGGCGTGAGCCATCATGACCAGCCTTTATGTTTCTTTGTTTGTTTTGTTTTTCTGAGATGGAGTCTCGCTCTGTTGCCCAGGCTGGAGTGCAGTGTTGCCATCTCGACTTACTGCAACCTCTGCCTTCCAGGTTCAAGTGATTCCTTGCCTCAGCCTCCCGTGTAGCTGGGATCACAGGTGCCTGCCACCATGCCCGGCTAATTTTTGTATTGTTAGTAGACACAGGGTTTCGCCATGTTGGCCAGGCTAGTCTCGAACTCCTGACCTCAAGTGATCTGCCTTCCTCAGCCTCCTAAAGTGCTGGGGTTACAGGAGTGAACCACCATGCCCAGCCTTCAATTACCTTTTATTTATTTTATTTATTTATTTATTTTTGAGACGGAGTCTTTCTGTGTTGCCCAGGCTGGAGTGCGGTGGCGCAATCTTAGCTCACTGCAACCTCCTCCTCCCAGGCTCAAGTGATTCTCATGCATCAGCTTCCCGAGTAGCTGGGACTTCAGGTGCCCGCCACCACACTTGGCTAATTTTTGTGTTTTTAGTAGAGACGGGGTTTCACCATGTTGGCCAGGCTGGTCTTGAATTTCTGACCTCAAATGATCCTCCTGCTTCAGCCTCCCAAAGTGCTGGGATTACAGGCGTGAGCCACTGCCCCCAACAGCAAGTACCTTTTAAACATTAGAGACATTTAGTTGCCATCCTCAAACCCGTTTGGGTGTGTGGAGAGAATGTTGGGTCGTGACATGGTTGTTAGTTATCTAAAGATGTCAGCCATCAATCATCACTGTGTGATGTGCACACTGAAGCTGTAATCCTTCATCTAGGATGATATTTTTTAAGATGGAAAATTCTACAACCCTGAGAATAAGGATTTCAGATCCAAATTTGAGACTCAGCCCTACGAGTAACTCTTTAACTTCAGAGAGTTAAAAGAAGATGCACAGTTGATGAAGATTTAAAGGAGAAAATGGAAATCAAATGTCATTTAGCACTCAAAGGCCTACATGTCATTTCTGACATTTTTCTGTTTGTGTGAAATTTTTTTTTTCCTATAAAATGATTGTGAAGTTTTCTGGTAGAATTATTGTTTGCCTTTCTAATGTAATAGCATATTAGGGTTTTTTTTTTTTTCTTTTTCTTTTTTTGAGACAGAGTCTCACTCTGTCGCCCAGGCTGGAGTGCAGTGGCACGATCTCGGGTCACTGCAATCTTCCGCCTCCTGGGTTCCTGCCTCAGCCTCCCGAGTAGCTGGGACTACAGGCGCACGTCACCACACCCGGCTAATTTTTTGTATTTTTAGTAGTGACAGGGATTCACCGTCTTAGCCAGGGTGGTCTTGATCTCCTGACCTCATGATCTACCCGCCTCGGCTTCCCAAAGTGCTGGGATTACAGGCATGAGCCGCTGTGCCTGGCTATTAGAGATTTTTTATTATAATTTATCTCCAAGATAAAAGCAGTGACATTATATTGCCACATAATTGAAAAATACAAGAGAAATAAAAATCATCCATGCTTTTGTTAGCCTATCACTGTCATTGAAATATTATGTTACATGGCAGTTTGCTTGCTGGTTGCTCTGTTAGGCAACGCTCTGGTGACATTCCTTTAGCTATTAATTGAGGAATGTAGAATGACAGAACAGTGTTTCTCCTCAATGATACTTGAAGGATATTTATTAACTTTCATATTGAATTACATTTTATTAAATTTATAATGAGTTAATGCTGGGAAATAAAACACTGATTTAAGTCATTTTGGCTTTTAGTACTAAAGCATTTGACAATAAATGACTTCTTCAGAATATGGTATACCTTCTGAAAGCAATAAACGCATTTTAATGAATTGTAAGGAAACAACATCATTTTATTTTTTATTTTTTTTTTTGAGACAGACTTTCGCTTTTGTTGCCTAGGCTGGAGTGCAATGGCGCGATCTCGGCTCACTGCAACATCCGCCTCTGGGTTCAAGCGATTCTCCTGCCTCAGCTTCCTGAGTTGCTGGGATTACAGGCACGTGCCACCACGCCTGGCCAATTTTGTATTTTTAGTAGAGACGGGGTTTCTCCACGTTGGTCAGGCTGGTCTCAAACTCCTGACCTCAGGTGATCTGCCCGCCTCAGCCTCCGAAAGTACTGGAATTACAGGCGTGAGCCACCGTGCCTGGCCAACATTATTATTTTTTTTTAATCTAGAAAAATACACTTCTAAGAAAATTGATTAAAACCAACCTTCTTCATTAGCCCCTAAGATCACATCTATGTTCTCTTTGTTGCAGCTTCACTTAAAGAGAGGAAACTTCTTGGTGCTCAAAGCAAAGGAGATGGGCCTCCCAGTGTGAGTGTGGGGGGTAAGGCTTCTGGGGACTCACTGGGTACACCTGTCCACTTAAGGAAATCACATTTCACAGAGGCCTTGCCTCTTCATTTCAGTGGGACAGCTGCCATCGCTCCCATCATTGCTGCTGTCAAGGACGGGAAAAGCATCACTCATGAAGGAAGAGAGGTGAGATGCCTGGTTTTCTTGATTCAGCAGTTACAGGTAGGGTCTGAAATGCTGGGCAGAGTCTGTCTTCTTCAGGCCCTACAGACACCACTTTTGAAGGACGTGGAACAGTTTGGACATCACTCAGCTAAGTGATAAAATGGCCTCTTTTATCTGTGTTTGTCCCGCATGTCAACACGGCTGCATTCGAGCATTTTTGTAGATTGTCCATTTAGGATCTAGTCACCGTCCTCCTTAAAGGGTGCATGCTTTCCTTGGTACTTGAGCTCAGGACAGTGTCTAACAACAGACCCCATATGGATGGGCCTGGGGTTTATGGTCCAGAGGAATGCCACAGTATTCTATGTCAAGATATTTCCTCTGACTTCTGAGGACATTAGGACCAGTGGCCACAGACTGAAGAAAACCTTAATGCCAAGCCTCCTTTCCTGGCCAGTGTAGGCCTGAAGTGCCTCAACCTGACAGTTACCTGTTTAGGTATCCACAAAGAGACCAGAAGGGTGTTGATGGTGATGTGTAAAGTTGGTTTTGTGCTTTGTTTACCTCTCAGCTCACTGGATAGGATATGTCATGTTAGCAGTTGCCTTGAAGGCAGTTCAGTTTGGTGGCTGAGCTGTGACCCCCAGTGGGCGGGCTTATTTGGTTTTGCAGATTTTGGCTGAAGAGCTGTGTACTCCTCCAGATCCTGGTGCTGCTTTTGTGGTGGTAGAATGTCCAGATGAAAGCTTCATTCAACCCATCTGTGAGAATGCCACCTTTCAGAGGTAATGAGGGGTCTCTAGGGTGGGAGAAGTGAGAGCTGAAACCCAGCCCAGCATCGACATGGGCATCTTGTGGCAAGAGCTGTGTTTCTGGGAAGACCACTATCTGGGTTTACAGTTCAGAGGCCGGCACTCCTGCCTTAAGTCACTGTTGGTAGTTGGTGGGCTCCGGTGTACACAGCCTCAAAGTGAAATTAGAAAAGATTGAAAACTAGAAACAACTGAGGACTAGAAATTCAACTAGAACTCTTACAGCTCTTATACCAGAAGAAATTCTAGAACTTTTTTGAATTCTAACTAATGCCCCAGATTATCATTTGGATTATTTTGAACTGAATTAATTTTCTTCCATTACCTGCATTGAAACAAATGAGGTGGGTCAGAGTGTGTGAGACTGTCGTGGTCAAGAGTCCGTGTTATGGGATGGACTCACAGCTGGGGAATGTCTTTTGGGCTAACTGCCACTCTGTTGTTGTCCTCTATCGAAGTTAACCAGTTTTGCGGTTCAGCTTTCATTCCAGATGGAATCATCTTTGACCCACCTATCTGAGTTTGAATCTTTTCCCCCACTCTTAATGGTTTACCTGTATTTTTCCTGTTCCTAGTTTGTATCTATCTGTATTTTTTCACTTGTTTTTTTCTACTTACCACAACAAATCCTTTTGGGCTGCTGTACCCCTTCCGAGTCAGAGCGTTAGGAGTTGTTTCATGGTCTGCTTTATTCTCTGTGGGTGAATTTGGATGCGCTGGTAGCCCCGGCTTTGTATTTTAATCCAGTTTTGGGCAGCAAAACCTCTTCAATGAATCAGGTGTCATTTGAGAGCCATGTGTGGATGTGTGATGATGCTGGGATAGATAAAAATAGCTACTGTGTATATTTCTTTTTAAAGGGAACTGGAGGGAAACACATCAGCATGTTAGTAAGTGGTCTGTTGTCCAGGTGGTGAAATTTCAGATGATTTTCATTTCTCGTGCCTGTGTCTCAGGTCCTCTGGAAGGCAGACACCAGGGTGGCATTGGAGGTGCAGGAGGTTTATTCGAGGAAATTTGACTGTGAGAGAGGAAGGAGAGAGGGAGCAGGAGGAGGCAGGGAGAGCCTGGGTCTGGCTTTGCAGGTTGGACCCGTATGAGTGGAGAGGGTAGGAAGGAAGTGCAGTGCTGAGAAAGGATCAGCCAGGCCTACTGGAAAGCCCAGAGCAGAGCTTGCCAGATACAGGAATCCCACGTCCATTGGAAATGGCCCAGCACCGGGGTCTGCCGTGAGCAGCCTGCTGTGAGAGCATGGCCTGGGCGTGGAGGCTGTCAGCTCACTGCAGTGCTGCAGAGGGCCGCACGATACCCCTCCCTGGCTGCGTGGTCCCTGTCTTGGTGTGTCCTGAGTCTGCATCACTTTGTAAAGCCCCACTCTTCTGCCCAGGTACCAAGGAAAGGCAGATGCCCCCGTGGCCTTGGTGGTTCACATGGCCCCAGCATCTGTGCTTGTGGACAGCAGGTACCAGCAGTGGATGGAGAGGTATGGAGCCCAGCCCAGCGGCACTTGGGGTAACTCTTCTGGGCAGTGGTGGATTCCCCTTTCCTCCCCTCGTGCTCTTTCCAGCGCTACCTACCCTTCTGCACCTGCCTAAACTTTCTGTGGGATTCCTGCCTTCCCAGAATTCTAGGCTTCCCAGATCTGTGCTACACTCGTGAAGAAAATGCACCGCTAGGTGGCGCAGTGTCCACACGATTCCATTTATTTTACACCCTCCACACTCTTCAGGGTGTCTGAACAAATACTGCCGTTTGGTTGAGGATTCCATAAGTGAATTCCAAAGAAGAGATTGCAGCTATAAAATGATAGCTTCCATTTACTGAATGCCCACTTTGTGGGAGGCAGTGTGTGAAATACCCTTCATTTCACTTCATTTCCTCTAGGGTCGTCGCCAGCAGCCCTGGGAGGTAGATGTTTAGTCACTGGAAGGCATCTTTTTCCTCGGGGCATCGCTGGCCAGGGCCAGGTGGAGGAGTATGAGTTGAGCTCGGGTGCGGGGTGACCTTGGGCTGCTTTTTGGCCCCTGCCCGTATCTCCCCACATGGCCCGTTTACCTGCCCCTCACTCCATGGCCTGCTCTCCTGCTGTCTCTTTCATTCCTCAGGGTTTGGGTCCCCTATTTGTATGCCCTGGACATCTTCTTTTTCTTGTTTTTCCTCTCACTCTTCCCAGCACACCTGAAAGGCAGCTGAGCTAGGGAACACCGGGCTTTGAGACAGCAGGAGTGGGACCATGTTTGGCCATGTAGTAACACTGCTTGGGGCAAGTCACTGAACTGTTTGAACACCTCATCCTCATTACCACTCCTGAGCTCAGCACCACTCCTCAGGGGGAGCTGCCTCCTAACAGACGCTGCAAATGCCGGGTCTGTTTCTTCACAGGTTTGGGCCTGACACCCAGCACTTGGTCCTGAATGAGAACTGTGCCTCAGTTCACAACCTTCGCAGCCACAAGATTCAAACCCAGCTCAACCTCATCCACCCGGACATCTTCCCCCTGCTCACCAGTTTCCGCTGTAAGGTAGTGTCTCAGACCGGCCCCTTGTCGGCCCAGCTCTCGTCCCCTCTCTTTCTCTCCATGAATGTGTTTTGTCTCTTTCAGAAGGAGGGCCCCACCCTCAGTGTGCCCATGGTTCAGGGTGAATGCCTCCTCAAGTACCAGCTCCGTCCCAGGAGGGAGTGGCAGAGGTCTGTGCCATCTTGAACTAATGGAATCGTCTCAGTCGAGTTGGGAAACATTTCTGTAAATAGCCACATAGTAAATGTTCCAGGAGGCTCTCCAGACCATATGGTCTCTGTTGTAACTATTCAACTCCGCTTTGAGCACAAAAGAAACACGGACAATAAGCTAATGAATGGGCTTGGCTGTGTGCCAGCGTGAATTTATTTAGAAAAGCAGCCTACTCCAGGCTGGGTTGAGGTGGGCGGATTGGGGCCAGTAGTTCTCCTTTTCCAAAATTGCCTTGCATGGGAATAGCAGTGATAGAGCTCGTGTGTTTCACAGTATAGAAAATAGGAAATGTGTGATGAACAAAGTCACCCATAATCCTGTTGCCCAGAGATAATGATTGATAACATTTTGTGTTTCTTGATTTGTGTATGTGGGTTTATATTGTCAGTCTTTTCCTGTATCACTAAACAGTCTTAAGTAACAAGATTTTTATTGGTATTCCAAATAGGGATGTTTACTCATTTGGGATGTTTCCAATTTTTTGTTGTTTTTAATGAATGAAACAATAAATGTCTTATATATAAATCTTTGATGGGAACTCTGTTCCCTTCAAGTCATTCCTAAATGTGGGATTACTGGCCCAGAGTGTGAGACTTGTTAAGGTACTTGATAAATGTAAGATGCCATCTTGAAAGCCTCTTCCAGTACAATCCAACCAGGAAAGTGAACAGCCTTACTGCCCCACATCTTTATTTTAATTAATTAATTTATTTATTTTATTTATTTATTTATTTTTTTGAGACGGAGTTTCACTCTTGTTGCCCAGGCTGGAGTGCAATGGCGTGATCTCAGCTCACTGCAACCTCCGCCTCCCGGGTTCAAGCATTTCTCCTGCCCCAGCCTCCCGAATAGCTGGAATTACAGGCGCCTGCTACCACGCCCGGCTAATTTTTTGTAATTTTAGCAGAGACGGGTTTCACCATGTTGGCAGGCTGGTCTCGAACTCCTGACCTCAGGTGATCCACCCACCTCAGCCTCCCAAAGTGTTGGGATTACAGGCGTGAGCCGTGCCCGGCCTGTTTTAATTTTTAAGGATCTGAACCTTGATTTTAAGTTTCCTGCCCACTCCACAGTATTTGTATTAGAATAGAGCATGTGCTGGATTATGACTGGATGCTGTGTGCTGTTGAGGTTGGGTAGTTGGGGCCCTTTAAGAGACTATACTAGCAAGACTCGGGCCCACAGGCAACATCACGGGGTTGAAGAACCTGGTGTCCCTTTGTTGGCATCTGCGCAGGCTCTTAACACACAGCAGCGATACACAGCCCTAGCCGACATTCAGATTTACCTTGTGCTTGTGAAAAATATTGCACAGGGCCTGCCCTAGACCTAGTGAATTAGAATCTTGAGAGTTAGGCTTGGGACTCACAAGCTCCCAGATGATTTTAATGCTCAGCGAGGTTGAAGAGCCGCCTGTCCAAGGAGTTGCCACTCCGTGTGATCTGGGGCTTGCTAGGAAAGTGGGATCTCAGGCCTCACTGCAGAGCTGCCGAACTGGCTTCTGCGTTTTGCCAAGGTTCCTGGGTGTGAACATGAGTTTCAGAGTCACTCCTCTAGGGCCCCTGCTTCTCAGCTCGGACCATTGACCCCTCAGAGGACATTTGGCAACATCTGGAAACGTTCTTGGTTGTCACAGCCTAGGAGGTGGGTAGTGGTGCTGCTAGTGGGTAGAGGTCAGGGGTACTGCACCAGGACAGCAGCACTGGCCACAGAAAAAAACTGTCTTGCCCTGAGCATCAGTAGTTCCCCGTTGACTGGCCCTGAGGCAGAGCGATGCAGCATCCAAAAGGCGGTGGAGCAGACCTGCCCCAGATCCTAGTCACTTAACCTTCAGTGTTGATCTGAAGGAACTTCCTGCAGATTGTCCCCCTGAATTTATTCTGGACATCCCCAATGGGGTCTGCTGAGGCCATATACCCTGTCCGTCACCTGAGATGCTTCTCTCTCTTCCTGCAGGGATGCCATTATTACTTGCAATCCTGAGGAATTCATAGTTGAGGCGCTGCAGCTTCCCAACTTCCAGCAGAGCGTGCAGGAGTACAGGAGGAGTGCGCAGGACGGCCCAGCCCCAGCAGGTGAGTGGGAGCCCACAGAGCAGCCTTTCTTTCCTGGGCTCTGCCCCTGCTGCTGTTTTCCTAGCATTAAGTGGAGTGCTGGTGGGGCGCATTCTAACCTGGCTTTTCAGTCTAATCCAGGGCTTCTCTACTCAGCTCTACATTAGAATTATAGTCATTGGAGGAGGGGGCTTTGGGGAGTTTAAGAATCCCAATTCCTGGCTGGGCGCGGTGGCTCACACCTGTAATCCCAGCACTTCGGGAGGCCGAGGCAGGTGGATCGCGAGGTCGGGAGATCGAGACCATCCTGGCTAACATGATGAAACCCCGTCTCTACTAAAAATACAAAAATTAGCTGGGCGTGGCGGCGGGCGCCTGTAGTCCCAGCTACTCGGGAGACTGAGGCAGGAGAATGGCGAGAACCCGGGAGGCGGAGCTTGCAGTGAGCCAAGGTCGTGCCACTGCGCTCCAGCCTGGACGACAGAGTGAGACTCCGTCTCAAAAAAAAAAATCCCAATTCCTGTGCCCCATCCCACCCAATCAGAGCATTTGGCGATGGCACCCAGGCATTCTTGGCAAGGCACGCACTGAGTGAAACGTTTTAGTGAACACCTGTGGAAAGAGCTCTGAGCAGGGACTTGGCTGGCAGAGATCTAGTCCTGGCTTTGCGGATGCAAATCCATGGAGGATCTTGGCCACGTCACTCAACTGAGGCTGAGGGCCGGGCACAGGCTTTGGAACCATCGGGTCTCCCTGGATTTGAATCCTGACCCTGCCTCTTACCATCTTCACTGGAGACCTGGGCGTCTGAGCCTGTTTCCCCCTTGGGAAGCAGAGCATTTCCTACCTGGTAGGGCTGGGAGGATGCGACCGAAGTGCATGGTCTTGCAGTGAGAGCTGGATGCAAGGCACACACTGTTCTCTTGAAATAAATGACAGTTCCCAGCATAAAGAAATGTCATTTTTTAAATGTAAAAGAATTACAGCAATTCTTTTGAAGAAAGGACTGGAGAATTTATTTGTTCTTCTTAGCCTTTTGGTGACAGATAGCCTGTGGGTCCCACACTGGTGCGAAGTCCTTTGTTTCAGAGCGGTTGCCAGGGGCCTGCCAGTCCCCCTCCTGGGAAGCTGGATAGAACTATGTTGCTTACCCATCTGTCTTAGTCTGTGTTTTGTTATTATAAAAGAATATGTGAGACTGGGTAATTTATCAAGAAAAGAGGTGTATTTAGTTCACGGTTCTGCGGGCTGAGAATTGAAGGTCACGGCCCTAGCTTCCAGTGAAGGCTTCCATGCTGCATCATAACGTGGCAGAGGAGCGCAAGTAGGAAGTGGACGCTTGTGAAGACGGGATAACCTGAGCTGCACTCTGGCTTTATAACAACCCCCCTCTCCTGGGAACAAATCCATTCCCTTGAGAAGTAATGCAGTCTCCTGAGAGCCAGTACTTACTACTGCAGCTCCAAGCCACTCAGGAGGGTCCGTCCCTGTAGCCCAAACGCCTTCCACTAGGCCCCGCCTCCCAAAACCGCCATACTAGGGAGCACGTTTCCACATGAGGTCTGGGGACAAACCAATGACACTCAAACCATTGCACCTTCTCATGGCTGCATGCTGGCTCACTTTTGACCCAAAGGAATGGATTGTTTCACATGGATTTTTTCACAGAGAAAAGAAGTCAGTACCCAGAAATCATCTTCCTTGGAACAGGGTCTGCCATCCCGATGAAGATTCGAAATGTCAGTGCCACACTTGTCAACATAAGGTATGCTGCTTTCCCAGGAAGCATCCTTCCATCAAGGGCACGTTTACTTTTTAAACAAAAGTCCTGCTGTACTCACCAGTCGATTTGAAATGCGGTATCAAGCCCTGTCACTTGTCATGTCGACTGGAGTGTCCAGGAGAGGAGCGTGGCCTTACTGCATTTTATAGCCTCAGTAGCAAACTTTACCCTGGGAATCACCAAAATTCATCCCATGATGTCTTTTAATAAACAGCTGATTTTACTGTGGGCAGTACACCTAGCTAAGAAATTAGCTCCTTTAATTTTTACATTAATCCTATGAAGTGGTGAATAACTACCCATTTTGTTGATGAGTGACCTGATATTCAGAGAGGTGACTTGCTATGGTTCCTACAGCTGGTAAGTGGGGCATCTGAAGTTTGAGCGGGGACTTGGGGTCTTGATTGCTACATGGTATTGTCCCCCAGCCATTTGTTGGTAGTATGTTAAAAAGCTTTAGGGTTTTGCACATTTGTGTTCAGAACCTTTATTGGATTCCCCTTGACATGTTTTTTAGTTGATTCTCTTGGGTTTGCCTGGGGTCATCAGCAGAGAGATTAGTCAAATGCGTTGTGACATGTACACGTTATCTCTACAGATAGTATGTGAAGAAAATAAGATTGTGAATTACCAGGTTTGTTTTAAATTTTGCTCTGCCATCTTACATGCTAGTGGTGGATGATAAACAACCAAATAGTGCATTAAATATATACAGCAGTGACGAGATGTGCCCTGACATCAGAAATATACAATCTGGGGTGTGTTTCTCTGTGGATGAGGACATGCAATAAAGCAGCTTGGAGTGAGCCGGCCTCTCCCGGGGGCTGAGATCCTGGGGGAAGAAGGGCTTTTTGAGTTTGACCTGACACCCTGCGAGCAGCTTTTGAACCAGCTGAAGCTAATGGGAAGGTGCTATTGCCACCTTGCCTCCGCCTCCCGACTCCTTTTTCCCCCAGAAGGTAATGTCTTAGCACCGGGGCTTCTCTCTGCAAAATGGGTGCAGCCCTCTCAGTGTTCGTGGCTCCTCCCAGAGAATGAAGGAGGCCAGAGCGGGTCAGCACTCTCTCTGCCTTGGAGCAGAGCTTCTGAAATGGACTGCACAGCAGAATAGCCCAAGAAGTTTGTCAGAATCCAGACTTCCAGAGCCCTGCCTAAAACCAAGTCAGAAACCCCGAGTGACACCTGGGAGTCTGCGTTAACTGGCTCCCTGAATGAAGCACCTGCAGCCCGCCCTGCACCAGGTGTCTTTGAGGACATGAGCTGAGGAAACCCCGACCACTTGCAAAGGGGGAAAAGTCCGATGGCAGCTGGACCTAGAAAGAGTCTCATATGGCCCAGTGCCTGTCCTGGTATTTTCAACAGAGGCTGTGGCCACAGTCAATCTGCATGGTCAGATTCATTGTTAGGACTAAATGCTTTAAGCCTCCTATAAACTTTTTTTTTTTTTTTTTGATGCCCAGCCTTTGTGTAAGTCTACTTGAAAGGGTTTCAGGGTTCCATGGATACTTCTTTGCTATAAAGAGGATGACACATGTAAAATCACCTTTATGGTTAAATTAATTGGCTTTTATATTAGCTCCTCAAAGCAAAGCAGGAGAGACAGAAATTTCTGCAGTTGCTTCTTGGTCCTGTCCAAAGCAGACATCAGCCTCTGAACCATCAGCAGTCTTCCTAGTGGCAGTGACTCTCTTCCTCTTCTCTTCTGCAGCCCCGACACGTCTCTGCTACTGGACTGTGGTGAGGGCACATTTGGGCAGCTGTGCCGTCATTACGGAGACCAGGTGGACAGGGTCCTGGGCACCCTGGCTGCTGTGTTTGTGTCCCACCTGCACGCAGATCACCACACGGTGAGTGTTGGGCTGGACCACAAAGCTGGAGCCTGGAGGAGGCACTGCCACGTTGAGTTGGCCCTTTGGCTGCGTCTTTTCCTCCGCTTCCAAACTTGCCCAGAGCTTTTGTTACTCATCTCTGGCTAGGAAATGGTTTTTTGCAAAACTCAACATAGTCCTTCTGCGCCACAAGAATGTCTTCTCTTCCTGTTCAGTTCCTTTCCTGCAGCAGGACAGGTTTGAGTTTACCCAGCCTTCCTTGAGTCTTGAATCTCACACGGCCTGCTCAGCGGAAGCTTTGACCGGATGCAGGAGGTGTGGCTATGAGACCCTCACCTTGGTCTCCTGGGGTGCCGGGCCCTGGGCCGTTGCCCTCTTCCCAGCACGGGTCGTGTCGCTTTCTGCCTGTGACATTTCAGGGCCATGGCGCAGGGGGCTCGGCCTGTGCCACCCCCACTGCGGCTGTGTTAGAGGCTGGTGGGTGACGTCGGGCTGGCAACTCCTGCAAGAGAGAGGGCTGCAGACCCTAACCCGGAGGGGATGGCCCTGGGGCCTGGCTGACGCATGTCTCCTGTTTCCTTGCCAGGGCTTGCCAAGTATCTTGCTGCAGAGAGAACGCGCCTTGGTAAGTGTGGCACTTGATGGGCGTTCTGAGTTTCAGCGGTTTACACATCATCCGCCATGCCTCTTGGCACTCCAGTTTTTATTGAGATGTTCTGTCGTCGAGTCGGCACTTGCATTTTTTGTTCCAGGCATCTTTGGGAAAGCCGCTTCACCCTTTGCTGGTGGTTGCCCCCAACCAGCTCAAAGCCTGGCTCCAGCAGTACCACAACCAGTGCCAGGAGGTCCTGCACCACATCAGGTGAGCATCCAGGGCAGCCTGGCCCGCTGGGCTGTTGCTTGCTGCCGTCTCCTTCAGAAGCTCAAGGTGGACACTGGGGTAGTTACCAATATCCCCCAGCAGCCTTGCCCTTGACATGGTCCCAGATGGCAGAAGCAGGGGAGAAGTGCATTGGCTGAAGGACAGAAACCATTAGATAGTTCCCATGTAATGCTTATTTTCTTAGAAGCATTTCTTCCCAGTCCTCATTTGAGTTCTGAGCTGCTTTCTAAACTTCGAGCAGCTTTTCTTGATGAGACAGTTCCAGAGCCAAGCACCCAAATAGTGGCTAGCACAGAGAATGTCCATAGCAGGTGTGTGGCTAGCTGGCAGGTGGCACCATCCTCACCCCAAGGGGAAGGAGTCCCCTCTGCTGGAGCCATCCGTGGCCCGTGCTGCCTGAGCCGGAGGCAGCATTCACCTGCTGGGTTTCTCCCAGTGGCCTAGAGGCTTTGGTTTGGCTCTTTATATTTGACTGCTGTTTCCTCATCATAGTGACTATGATTTAACTCATGTTTTCTCCTAAGAATGATTTTGGGGTTCTCCAGCCAAAGACTTAAACTTTGGTTCCAGATGTCCAAGAAACGTTTATTATCATTTTAAATGTTTTGTCTTTTTACAGTATGATTCCTGCCAAATGCCTTCAGGAAGGGGCTGAGATCTCCAGTCCTGCAGTGGAAAGATTGATCAGTTCGCTGTTGCGAACATGTGATTTGGAAGAGGTAAGGGGCACAGCCGCAGGCATCATGGGGGCGAGGTGGGGAGCAGAGCTGCAGAGCCCTCCAGCCCCACCCTTTCAGTTTCAGACCTGTCTGGTGCGGCACTGCAAGCATGCGTTTGGCTGTGCGCTGGTGCACACCTCTGGCTGGAAAGTGGTCTATTCCGGGGACACCATGCCCTGCGAGGCTCTGGTCCGGATGGGTGAGTAGAGGAAGAAGCAAGCCACCCTGAGGTTGCTCTGGGGTTTGTGTAGCTGGAGGTGAATGCAGGTGGGCTTGCAGGGAAACGTCAGCAGAGGCAGGAGACTCAGGTCCCCACCCTCAGAGTCTCTGGTTGTCATCCTAGTAGGCAGACCCAGGGCCAGGGGAGCTGAGTGTTGAGACCAGGAAACAGCACGTGACTGAGGCCTGTGTGCCGCTCTCGCAGAGAACTCTGCCCTGATCCTTGTGCTGCTTCTCCAGGGAAAGATGCCACCCTCCTGATACATGAAGCCACCCTGGAAGATGGTTTGGAAGAGGAAGCAGTGGAAAAGACACACAGGTAGCAAAGGCCGGTCAGTCCTTGTCGCCCACATCCTCTCCCTCCCCCACTACGTGACACTGAGCAGCCGTCGTTTGTCTCCACTGATGTGGGGCTGCCCTGCTTCCTATCAAGGGCTATGGGGGCTTCCTTGACCTGTGGCAGTGCTCACAGGCTCTTGGCCTTTATTTTTGCAGAATTTTCTAAGCAAGATTCTAGAGTGAGGCACAGTTTTTTGAAAGCATCTAGAAATCGGCTGAATAAACTATAAGCCATGTCAGGGAATTGCCAGGGGAAGGCGGGGGCTGGGGGACTGAATTTTTGGCTGCTAATTTCAACGAAAGAGTGCATTACCCCAGGTGGGCCCTGTGGTTTCTCTTGGGTGCCCTCATGGACAGATTTGGCAGCCAGCACAGAGGGTGGGCTTCATCCAGGGGTGTGTGCGAAGGCTCTGGCCCTCAGGGGAGATTGTGCTGGCTACGGAGGTGCCCGTTAAGAAAACCCACCAGCTTCCCCGGGTGCCCTGGCAGTTGATGGCCAGGGTCTGTGCCACTGTCTGCTTTGCAGTCTTGCAGTTGAGTTCAGCTTCAGTCTGCTCTGTCCTTCACCTGCAGCACAACGTCCCAAGCCATCAGCGTGGGGATGCGGATGAACGCGGAGTTCATTATGCTGAACCACTTCAGCCAGCGCTATGCCAAGGTCCCCCTCTTCAGCCCCAACTTCAGCGAGAAAGTGGGAGTTGCCTTTGACCACATGAAGGTCTGTATGTCACACGGACAGCACAGGGCGGGGACGGGGCAGGGAGACAGGACTCTACACACTGAGTAGGACGGTCAGCTGGAGTTTGCTTTCTTATTTGGGGCCACCGTGGGAAAAGGTTATCTACCCATCACTAACCAGGTCGAACCACCCTGGGTTTGCTGGTGAGACCCACCTCCTGCAGGGGCCAACTAGTCTTCAGTCTCAGTTCACTGGAAATTTCTGAGAATCCTTTTAGGCCTGGACTGCTCACACAGTCATGGCATTTGAGCCTCAGCACAGACCTGTGAGACAGGTGGTTGCCTCTTGTGAGTGGGAAAGCCAGGCCTGACCCTTGGCCTTCCGGAATGAAGGGGCAGAGCCGGAGCCAGGCCTCGTTTTTCAGGAGCTTGATTTTGAGAGCATCTGGACTGCTCTCCCTTCCCTCTCCGGAGGCCCTTAGCCAGGCCTGGGGAGCCTCTGCCCCTTTAGAGGGTTCCCTCCATGCCATTCTTTTTTCCATTTCAGCTGTGGCCTGTTGGCTTGTGCCAAGGAAGGGGCGTTGGCGCTGCTGTGTGAGCACATGACTGCATCCCTTCCAGCTCCTGTCCCCCACCCCTGCCCCTCTGAGACATGTCCTTGTCTTCTATTGTGTCTTCTAGGTCTGCTTTGGAGACTTTCCAACAATGCCCAAGCTGATTCCCCCACTGAAAGCCCTGTTTGCTGGCGACATCGAGGAGATGGAGGAGCGCAGGGAGAAGCGGGAGCTGCGGCAGGTGCGGGCGGCCCTCCTGTCCAGGGAGCTGGCAGGCGGCCTGGAGGATGGGGAGCCTCAGCAGAAGCGGGCCCACACAGAGGAGCCACAGGCCAAGAAGGTCAGAGCCCAGTGAAGATCTGGGAGACCCTGAACTCAGAAGGCTGTGTGTCTTCTGCCCCACGCACGCACCCGTATCTGCCCTCCTTGCTGGTAGAAGCTGAAGAGCACGGTCCCCCAGGAGGCAGCTCAGGATAGGTGGTATGGAGCTGTGCCGAGGCTTGGGCTCCCACATAAGCACTAGTCTATAGATGCCTCTTAGGACTGGTGCCTGGCACAGCCGCGGGCCAGGAGGCTGCCACACGGAAGCAAGCAGATGAACTAATTTCATTTCAAGGCAGTTTTTAAAGAAGTCTTGGAAACAGACGGCGGCACCTTTCCTCTAATCCAGCAAAGTGATTCCCTGCACACCAGAGACAAGCAGAGTAACAGGATCAGTGGGTCTAAGTGTCCGAGACTTAACGAAAATAGTATTTCAGCTGCAATAAAGATTGAGTTTGCAATTGTGAGTTCTTTTGCTTCCTCCTGCTGCTGCTACAGAGCAGGGTCTGCTGTGCACCACCTTGGAGAAGGCTCTCTGTGCTGTAGTGTGGCAGCTGCCTGGTACCCGGGTGGCTTGGAAGAAGTCAGCTCCCGTCGTAGTGAGCACCTCTGGAACCTGTCCTCAGAGAGCCACCCTTATTCGCCAAGTCTTTTTGACAACTCGAGCTGTGCCAGCTCACAGCAGGGCGTGCTTTCTCTATCAATCAATCAATCAATCAATCAAATCAATCAGTGAGAGCCTGGCTGGGCTGGTGTCATTGGTCAGGGAAATGCAAGTCTTCTGGTGGTTCTGGGTAAAAGTGGAGACAATAGATTTGCTGTGTTGTTGCTTCCATACTGAGAGGAGTGAGGATCACTTTGCCCTCGAAGGTTTTGAGAAATGGCACACGGGGCTGGTTTCCATTGTCCTCCTTGCGGGATTTACAGACGTGGATTAGTGCTCGACAAATGGAGAGCATTTTCCAAGGAAGTAAGTAAGTAAAGTAAGTAAGTAAGTAAGTAAGTTGAATCTAGTATTTATTGTGTATATTCCCTACCCAGGAGAATGTAAAAAGAAGAGCTTTAAAAACTCAAAAGACAAGCAAGCGAGAGATCAGCCAGGGACCTGGCTTTACACAGGTGGTGACCTTCAGGCTCCATCCCGGTGTGCATTTGAGATTGACGGCCATGTCCCCGCAGGTTTATTAAAGCAAGAACAGATGCCAAGCTCAGGGATAATAAATCTATTTTAATAACGTTACTTTTGACAACGATTTGTACATGTATTTAAAGATAACAACTTTCAACCCCCACCCTTACCCCAGACTCCCATTACAAATTGAGGCATGACCTGCCCTTGCCAGGAAGTGAGCAAAGCTGCAACATCAAAACTCTGCACATCCCACTCTCAGAGGAGGGTGACTTTACACTGTGTTGGGAAAAATAACTAAGCATTTAAATTTTTCATTGTACACCTGTACATTGGTTTAGATTGAATGGCTCAAATTAAACAAATATAGAGAGATTTCATATATACAAATATTATATCATGTATAGGTATATTATATCATCTATTTGAAAAGGATAAAATTTTAAACTTTGACTTTGCATGCATGGCCCAAATCTTTTCTCACTCCCCTAATCCCCAAGTGTGAAAAGGCTACCCGGTGCCCTCCCGGCCCTCGTCCCCATGACCAGATGGGACTTCATGAGAAGGAAATGAGCGGCTGACGCTGGTGAGCAAAGCAGGCCACACCGCAGGCCGAGCCCGTGGGCCAGCGTCTCCGTGGCTGGTTTCACTTTTCCTCCACATGCTTTGGGTAACGTAATTATTGCTATTCAGTTTGAACCTCCAGAAAGAAGAGACAGGCTCCAGGACCCCACAGACTAGTGAACTGGGTGCCTTTAGGTACGTAGAGGGGTAAAATTACTCTCATATAGCCAATATATTTGGGGACAGGGAGGCCACCTTTGGCTCCTCCAGACACTGTCAGGCTTGTTTGTTTTGTTTTATAGATTCAGAAATATAAAATGATATAGGAGCTTTCAGTCACACAGTGGAAAAAGGAAAACTGTTAGGAAGTGAAACATTTTTGTTTTCAGCCATTTACTTTGGAGCCCACTGATGGGGGCGGCCTGAAAGGTTTTCCAGTGGCAAGCCCTCCCCCAGGTAGCTGGCAAAGGTCAGTGCCCCAGGACTGCTAGAATCCTGGACCTGGTCCAGTTGTGGGTGAGAGGGGCCCTGCTGTCCTGCTTCCTTTCTGTGGCCATTAAACTGATCCTGCAAGACCTGACATGAGCCGTCCAAGGAAAAGGTAGCAGCCCTTGGGTCTAACCAGGCAAAGTGAGCCTCTCCCGCACCACCCCGACCCTGCAAAGGACGTTCCTGACCAGCCTTGGATGGAGAGGTGGGTGTTTTCTGGCATGGAGGCTGAAAGTGGATCAAAAGAGGCACAAAGTCAAAAGGCAAAGGTCAAACAAAAGGCCGAAGTCACCACCCGAAAGGAACAAACAAAACCTGCACCACCAGCATCACCACACGGACTGGAGATCACAATTTTCTGCCAAATTCCAACCTCGTGTTGGCAGTGGCAGGAAAGAGCCAGCAGAGAACACTTGGCAAGCTCATGGACGCTGCTCCTGGCGGCGTTCCTAGGGCCCGTGATGTATGTACACGCGAGGCAGGATGGGCGGTGTCATGTCAGAGGGCGGTGCTCTCAGACTCCTCCTCCGAGTCCCTCTTGTCAGTTACTGAGTGTCGCCGCATGTGCTCCAGGGGACTCAGGCGGAGCGTCGACCCGAGCTCTATGTGGATCGAGGGAATATCAAAGTGGACAAGATCTGGAAGGCGGCAGAGAGAGAGGTGGTTGAAAGGAGGCTTCCCGGCAAATGAGAACCTAGTTGTAGGCAAATAATGTCAGCCTTAGGAGGCAGGGGTGCTGCTATTCTAGGGATAGATCATTTGGAGGTTGGTTTAAGCATTGTGTTGCACAGTCGATCAGGTTGTGCTCATGCCTGCTTTGCTTCTACCCCATAAGTTCGTAGAACCAAAGCACCCAGGATACGCCACTGTGGTTCAGAGGAAGGCCAGAACAGCACTCCCCTGCCAAGCCACAGGGTCCTTTATTCTTGATAAGAAGGATGCTGAGTAGGTCTCAATGACACCTTTTTGGGGATCTATATCAGACGACTGCATTTCATTCCCCAGAATCTGCAGGGACAGGACGTGAGACAGTGGACCCCTTTCTCCTCTCAAGCCTGTGAGAGAATGGGGAACCCTGAGCCAGTGTCCTCACTCTAAGAAACAGCTGCATTTTGGATGGCTGACATGGGTGGAGTAGAAGGTCTCCCTCAGGACCCTGGTTGTCATTGGTGCCAACTGTCCCTGACTGCAGGACAACCCCCACCTCTGGTTACATCCTTATTTATTAGGAGCATTAAAAGGTCATTTTTCCCGGCAAGATGAACAGGAGAAATGTACTTGAAATAACAGCTCAGTGTCTGGACGTCTCTGAGTCGGCAAAGACGACAGAAGTCCTTAGACTGGCAGCTGAGTGGACACGAAGCCTCTTTGCCACACCACGTTAAAAAAAATCCCCTTGCTGCTGCAGCCGCCGCCCTGGGGGACACTGACGAGGCTGTGCTTGCTGACTCCTCCAGGATGTGCTACAGCCAGAGAGCCAGAAAACCACAGATCCCCTGGGTCCTTTACTCTCGTCATGCTGTCCCCTTCCTCCGCCTGCTTAGTTTTTTTTTTTTTTTTTTTTTTTTGGGGGGGGTGGAGTTTCGCTCTTGTCACACAGACTGGAGTGCAATGGCACAATCTCGGCTCACTGCAACCTCTGCCTCCTGGGTTCAAGCGATTCTCCTGCCTCAGCCTCCCGAGTAGCTGGGATTACAGGCACCCACCACCATGCCCGGCTAATTTTTTTTTTTTTTTTTTTTTTGGTGTTTTTAGTAGAGATTGGGTTTCACCATGTTGGCCAGGCTGGTCTCGAACTCATGACCTCAGGTGATTCACCCACTTCAGCCTCCCAAAGTTTTGGGATTACAGGCGTGAGCAACCACGCCCGGCCTGCCTGCTTAGTTTCTGGCCGTCACTTAGCTTTGCAAGGCTGGGAGCAGCACTCCAGGAGGCAGAGGAAGGGAACACATGTTCAGACTGGGGAATACCATACTAAGTGTACAGACATACATTTGGACACTGTCCTGAAAGACATCATACAAACATGGAAGCTCTTGAACAAAGGTCCTCCCTTGCCCCAACCCCCAGGCAGCCCTCACGTCCTTCCAGTCTTTGTTTTGCTGCCTGATGGAGAAGCAGAGATTTGGGGCGTGGGGCTGGAGGAACAGCCAGTGCCACTTGTTCCTCTGAAGCAGGTGGCCTCAGACCCACCTCTGCCCTTCCCCAGCTACTTGGGTCATGTCTCTACACAGGTGTGAGGCTGAGTGGCCCGGGGCCCACCTCACTGTGCAGGGTTCGCTATCAGGTAAGAGCACCAAGCTCCCCTGCTTAGATTCAAAAATCCCAAATATGTCAGGCAGGAAGAGCATGACCTTGGACAAGTTTCCTACCTTCCCTGTGCCTCAGCAGTCAAATGGGAATAATACAGGGCGGTGATGAATTTAGACAGGCCCAGAACAAGCACTTGTGTGAGCTGTCATACCTTTATCCTTGCTGCTCCCTTAAAGACACCCCCAAGGGAGGAGTCACTATGCAAGGGAATGGGATTCAGGGGCAGAAGCCCTCATCAGCATTCCTGGGAAAAGGGACACAGTGGCTGCTTGTCTCCAGGACACTCGGGAAGCACCCGCCAGGAGACCTGTCTGTGAGCACCAGATATCCTGGTGCGCCTCGGTAGTCTCTGCAGGACCATGGGCCAAATCGGGGAGAAGACCTGGTTTGCTTTGGCCACCCCTACTTACTGAGGCAAATACACCAAAGTCCTTCTGGCTTCCTTCGTGCCTTTCCCTCAGTTATGCTTTGAGGATTTACTCTTTATAGGAGGAGGAGACCAAATAGATACTGATATAAATGCTCCCCCAAATTTTATTGAGTTGGATAGAAAGGATCTGTCTGGCCATATCCACTTGGGATGAGGGAGAAGGGGAGCGGGATGAGCTCCGATATGGATTCTTTAGGATTTGCCAGCAGTCTCAGCCTGGAGGAAGCCAGACGTTAGGATCTAAGTCTGGAAGGGGAGATCTGCTGGTGCAAACTCGGGGCCACAGAAAATGGGGTCCAAGCTGTGGTGTGGACCCTGTGCTGGGCTGCACCTGGTATGACCTCCCCTCAGGACGCCTTCCTAAACAAAGGTGAGCAGGTGCATGTCCCCCAGGGTGCTGGGCACAAGCGTCTCCAGCACAAAAGTCTCACACGAAGAACAGATCTGTTACAGCTCCACGGTCTAAGCCTGAGGGAGGGCGGAGGGGGAGGAGCTGCAGATGTGATTCCAGTGAAAGAGAAGGTGGGGGAAAGGGGCTGGCTGGGTTCTCCCCCAGCTCCTCCTAATGAAAAGAAAGAAAAGGAGGCCAGGGATGCCCCAAAGCCAAATAAGCTCATGGATCAACTCATCCTTGCTGAGGCCGGGGAAGGCTGGAGAGTGAAGCTGCCATGCAAATGGTCTGAGCCACATGCAGAGACGAGGAGCGGAGGGGAGGAGCGGGCAGCTGGCCTGGCTAGCTAGCGGGGTGGAGGGGCGAGGCCGGGGCCAGCTTACCCTGAAAATCCCCCTCACACGTATCCAAAACTGCGCCACTCATGTCACACAGCTGCAAGAACACAATGATAGGATTCGGAGAAAGGAATCAACACGACAAAACATGAACGTCACAAAAAAAAAAAAAAAAAGCTATGCCAATATCACAGTCCCAGACGGGCCACATCAAACCATGATGGATTCTACACTGGCTCAGAGACCTGAACGTATGGGACAAAACAACAGTCTGCTGCCAAAAGGACATTAAAATAGGGTCCGCACAGGGCGAGGGACATTATGAATCCTGAAGGTCAGGAGTTCTTAAACCTGCAAGATGGAACATGAGCCACTCCGCTTCTTAGAGCCCTGGGGGTGCTGTCCTCCCAGGCCTTCTGTTGCCCACTTTTGTTCCCCAATTTCTCCTCTCCTTCTGCTCTTTTCTGCTTCTCCATTGATATCTTCTGCTCATTCTTTTTTTTTTTTTTTTTTTTTTTTTTTTTGAGATGGAGTCTCGCTCTGTTGCCAGGCTGGAATGCAGTGGCACAATCTCGGCTCCACCTCCCAGGTTCAAGCAATTCTCCTACCTCAGCCTCCCAAGTAGCTGGGACTAGTGGCACGTGCCACCATGCCCAACTAATTCTCCTCGGCCTCCCAAAGTGCTGGGATTACAGGCGTGAGCCACCGTGCCTGGCCATCTTCTGCTCATTCTATTGCTTATGTATTGACACTACCTTGTGTCCCTTCCCTGGGGTGGCTGGAAGAGTCACCAGATGTGACACACTGGGAGGAGCAGCCCTGGAGACCTGGCTCGGGTGACCTTCAGCTCCTCCGCAGCTGTGACCTTCCCCGAGGGCAGCAAGCCTGTGCCCTCCTATCATGGGCTCCTTCAGGAGACACCTCAGCACCAAGACCCACCAAGATGGGCGTGGTGCTACTGCATTTTCCAGGGAGAAATTTGCCTAATTTTTAATAAGCCTCGGGGTAGATGACAGCAGCTGTACCTTCAACATTAATCACATCCAAAAATAAAGAAGCCGAATCACCAGATGGCTCTTCCCCGTAATATTTAAATCTGACCCAGTACAAACACTTGCAAATTGGACTAGCCTTTTCAAAGGCAGCACGGAGCTGAACCCCACAGGGTCACTGCTTCCGTCTAATCACGGAAGAAATAAATCACTCTTTTGGAGAAGGACGTGGAGGGAAAAGTGCATTATCACAAAAAGTCCCAGTGCATCCTAGGACAGCACTGTTCTTTGAAATGGGTGAGTGGGTGTGTGTGTATGTGGTGTGTGTGTTCCAACCCAAGCTGCCTCACCTTCTGCTACTTGGGACAACACTAGGTACACATATGCTCCAGCTCACCGCCATGCTACTGCACTTTACTAAGTGGGTTGGCTCTAGCCCAAGACACAGCTCAACCCTGTGCCTGTCTCCCTGAACAAGGAAAATGCTCAAATGACTTTAGCAGCCACCACAAATAGGCCCCTGACTTTATAATCTTATGTGGTTGAAGTGTCTGGGGAGATGTTCCAAAAACATCCCGTTCCTTCCAGCCAATGAATGGTTTTGGCTAAACGTGGTGTGTGTTTGCGATTTTGTGCTTACAGATTTTTCTGGGGGAAGAGAGCTCCGTCTTTGTTTCTAAATTTAAGCCCAAACTAAATTAAGTCGTTGTGGGTTTGTCCAATTAGCTCCTCAGGGAATTGGCCAGGGAGGGGAGTCTGGTGGAGGAGAATGGAGACATGCATGTTTTCTGAAATTCACCCCTCTCTAAATATCTATCTGGAAGTATATTTTTCTAGCAAGGCTTATTTTAGTAATAGTAAAAAACATCTTGGGTTCTTAGCCCCTGTTCTCCAGATAAGCATTTATACCTGTCAGTTGCTTGGGCTCTATCCAGGAAATACCTGAGTTTTGATGCTGTTTTGTGATCATAACCAGCTTCCAGCCTCTCCTGAGGCCCCACTCCAAATGACTCAGTGTCTTCAACCCCCGATAATAAGAGCAAAAACAGAACCCCAGGCTGGTGGGCTTAGACCGAGAGAGATCCCATAAGAAGCCCCTGTGTGGGACACATGGATTCCAGGGTTGCTTTCCATTGGTGGGCTTCTAAGGAGATCTTATGAGCTACCCCTGGTGCCAGCCCAGTCATCCCAAAGCACGCAGGAATGTGTTCACTGGCAGTAACACTAGCAATCCCTCCCCTAGGCACATTTCACTAAAGTTCATAAAAAAAAGTGAGGGAGCCTGTGGCTTGGTTACCTGTAGACATGCTTTCCCCAGGGGACATGCCATCTAGCATGGGGGCCTCCGTGGACTGTGGACTAGAGGCCGAGAGGTTTACTGTGGGAGGCTGAGGAGGCGGCAGAGTAGGTCTCTGTCGCGGCTTAGGAGTGGGCCGCGATTTGCTCAAAGTGCTTGTAAAGACAGAAGGAGAGGCCAGGGGAGGAGCTGCAGCTGGGGAGAGCTGGCCCGAGGCCAAGGAGTACCCCTGAGGGTAGCTCAGTCCATAGGGTGACGGGGTGCTGGGCGGGGTGGGGGACAGGCTGACTGGGGACGGCTGGCCAGCGGACTGGTCTGCCATAGCCCCCGGCTGGCCAAAGGGGACCTTGGGTGGAATCGGTGCCAGCTTCTTTGAAACTGAAAGAGAAAACACAACACAACAACAAAACACAAAGTTGTTGAATGAAGCCACTTGTGGGGCCTGTTCACACACCCTTCAGCGTTCAAAGCTGTCCCCACCTCCTGCCCCTCGCCACCCACCCACACCTCCCTGCCCTGCCCCCCGGCCTCTTGCCACATTGACAGCAGCCAATACAATTTTTAAAAATTAACCGAGAACTGCAAGTTTTCCTATCTTCCCATCTGTTAACTAATTTTTCCTCCTCTTTTCTGGATTTCTGCCCTGATCTACACACGCACACCCAGCCAAACTAGAGAACAAATTTCCCATCCACAGGAGTGGGCTGCCTTCCCAGTGGTGAGAGGCATCGCTGCTACTCTCTGAGCAAGAGTGAGTCAGTGGGGCAGGGTCCAGCAGAGGATGACTCCAGTTCAATTTGCTGTAATGGACAGAGGAGCCCTGACACAGGGGCAGGTCCTCGGGATAGAAAACTGACTTTTGGCTGAACCTGTCCAGTGGCTTCTGGCTCCCCTAACAGTGATATGTGAGCAAATCCTCCGGCCACAGAACCCCTGTTCCTTCATTACTTTATATGCTGTGCCTCAATCCTGCATCCCTGCTGCTGAGGCTTTCTTCTCATTCTTGTTTCTTCCTAGAATTGTACCCGCTGGTCTAAGCATGTATGGATCGACTGCATTTTTCGTTGTTTTTCTGGGGTTTTTTTGTTGTTTTTTTTTCTTTTGGAGACGGAGCTTTGCTTTTGTCGCCCAGGCTGGAGTGCAATGGCGCGATCGCCGCTCACCACAACCTCCGCCTCCCAGGTTCAAGCAATTCTCCTGCCTCAGCCTCCTGAGTAGCTGGGATTACAGGCGCCCACCACCACGCCTGGCTAATTTTGTGTTTTTAGTAGACACAGGGTTTCTCCATGTTGGTCAGGCTGGTCTTGAACTCCCAACCTCAGGTGATCCGCCCGCCTCGGCCTCCCAAAGTGCTGGGATTACAGGCGTAAGCCACCACGCCCGGCCAATCAACCGCATTTTTCAAAGTACATTATTGCCCTGACCTCCTTTGCCTTACCTTCATTATCCTTTTCCCAATCTCCCTATAGGATGACAAATCCATTATACCTTTAATTGAAAATGAATTGGTAAAGACAATAAATTCAAACGTCCAGGAGATACTTGATGGGCAAATATCTTGAGAGAGTGATCACTAACCTGTTAGGCTTAAGTGAGGACTGGCTGTGTGTGGGTCTGATTCCTTTTTTTTTTTTTTTTTTTTTTAAGATGGAGTCTCGCTCTGTCACCCAGGCTGGAGTGCAGTGGCGCGATCTCGGCTCTCTGCAAACTCCGCCTCCCGGGTTCATGCCATTCTCCTGCCTCAGCCTCCCAAGTAGCTGGGACTACAGGCGCCTGCCACCATGCCCAGCTAATTTTTTGTATTTTTGGTAGAGATGGGGTTTCACTGTGTTAGCCAGGATGGTCTCGATCTCCTGACTTCATGATCCACCTGCCTTGGCCTTCCAAAGTGCTTGGATTACAGGCGTGAGCCACGGTGCCCAGCCATGTGTGTGGGTCTGATTCTAGAAGGAATTATCTTGTAAGTCCTAAGGGAGAGGTCAGAAGCTCTTCCTTCTCCCCACCCCACCCCCACTCCCTCCAAGGAACAAGGTCTGTTAGGAGGACACCTCATGTATTCTCTGGGTGTGTCAGTCTGCAGTGTGGACAGAAGGACATGCCCTTCAGAATCCTACCAACGTGGGCTCAAATTTCTATCCTGCCACTTACCCGCTGTATTCCCTGGGTCAACTTATTCAAACATCTTCTATGCAATTGGAGGAAAAAGATTTTCTCTGCAGCAGTGTAATAATTAAATGAGATCATACATGTCAAGTACCACATAATCATGACATAATAAAACCACTTAACTTTCCAATTTCACTTTTCAACTCTACTTCCTGAGTACAGGGGAAGTGCTTCCAGCAGCTGCTACTGCAGCTCATGGCAGCCACGTGGTCATGGGTGACAGACGCAGGGGTACCCCTGGATGAGAAGCAGGTGGAGACCCTAGGTATCAATGCTTGCACATGCCTTCTCACGAAGGAGCTGGGGGACAGAGGATGCATCACCATGTCTGTGATGACATTTACCACTTCCGGTGGTGACAGGAATAGGATGTGAAATTGTCGGCACGCTGTCAGAAGACTGAGGTGTCAAAAAAAAAAAAATTAAAAAAAAAGACCTGCTAAGTGTGCCATCTGTGGGCATGATGGGGAGTAGAGAAGAAATGTATACCTTTCAAAAGATGGGTCTGAGCTATTGAAGGTCACTTGGGAAAGGGACCTGAGTCACTCTAGGCTACACTGGCTGCCTAGGTCCAATGTGCTGCAAAAACGAAAAGGGTCAACCTGTCACTGGCATTAGGAGGCTGGGTGGCTGCTACAGGAGCCCTGGCTCTCCCACTGGACGAGACAATGACTTAGCCATCACCCCTGTATTGTAGTGCTGTGGGGAAAGTTAAAGGACTCTTTTTTTTTGGAGACAGAGTTTTGCTTTGCTGCCCAAGCTGGAAGGCAGTGGCACGATCTTGGCTCAGTGCAACCTCCACCTCCCAGGTTCAAGCAATTCTTGTGCCTCAGCCTCCTGAGTAGCTGGGATTACAGACGCCCACCACCACGCCCAGCTGATTTTTTTATATTTTAGTAGAGACGGGTTTCACCACGTTGTCCAGTCTGGTCTCAAACTCCTGAGCTCAGGCAATCTGCCCATCTCAGCCTCCCAAAGTGCTAGGATTACAGGCAGGGGCCACTGCGTCCGGCCAGTTAAAGGACTCTAAAACAAAGAGGTGCCTGGCCGGGTACAGTGGCTCACGCCTGTAATCCCAGCACTTTGGGAGGCCGAGGTGGGCAGATCACCTGAGGTCAGGAGTTCGAGACCAGTCTGGCCAACATGGTGAAACCCCATCTCTACTGAAAATACAAAAATTAGCCAGGTGTGGTGGTAGACGCCTTTAATTTCAGCTACTTGGGAGGCTGAGGCAGGAGAATCGCTTGAACCCAGGAGGCGGAGGTTGCAGTGAGCCGAGATTGTGCCATTGCACTCCAGCCTGGGGCACAAGAGCAAGACTTCGTCTCAAAAAAAAAAAAAAGACATAACCAAGAATATGGCATCTAGACCAAGGAGAAACCATTGGTGCTGGAGAAATGCTCTGAGATGCTGAAATCTCACGCCGGCACTTTGGCCCAACTCCTATTCAACCTTCACGATGTCGTTTCCGCTGGGCCACCTGTCCTAACTCCTGAGTCGAGAAAGCATGCTCCCAGGTGTCCTTACAGTACCCTGAGTGTCTCCCAGCACAGTGCCAACACCTTTGCCTTATCATTGCCTTCCTCTCTGGAAAGCACAGAGCTCTGTACATAGCAGGATTTAATAAATTTGTGTAGAATGCAAAAGGAATGAGTAGGGATCGAATAAGATCCACGGGCTTGGTGAGGGCAGACAAAGAGAATGAAACTGCCACTGCAGATCGGAACTAAGGGGGCTGGAAAAGGGCCTGTCATGAAGGCACATGTGGATGAGCTAAATCCGGGCCCTATTCGACAAATCCAGGAGTTAAAAGCCGCTCCTAGAAGTGCGAGTGGTCTGAAATTAGAACACACAGGATGATGTATTATTTTAGACGAGTGAAAGACTCTGCAAAGAGATGACACAGGTAAGAACAAACCAAAAAGGTTCAGATAAGTACGCTCAGTACAGCTCCCCATTTATGAAATGTCACATGGAGCATACCTTTAGCTTTTGGAAGTGATTATCTGAAGAGATAATAACTGGTCAGTGTGGCCATTCTTGGGCCATTCAGAGCTGAGACTCAGGTACTACAGAAGCTATCCTGACTCCCTCCTGTCACCCTGTACGAGTGATCTAGGGGTAGGCAGCTGTGCCAGGCTGCCCTGCGGGGAAGGAGACTCCTGTAGATGACCCTATACAGCTTTTCAAATGACAGAGGTAGGGCCCGGCAGGTCTCTGGAAAACACACATCATTGTGGACAATGAATTTTGCCCTGGTGGCATCATTTGGTGTATGGGAAGCACTGGCCTCTATACGCCCCTAATGAGCCCACCTGTCAAATAAGTAAACTGAGGAATAATAGAGAAAGGATCCCTTTTAACTTCCAAAGCTCTAATGTCCAGATGGGAATTAGTCACTAAACCACACAGTTTCTCAATATCCAAGTTCATAGAGGAAAACGAGCCTTCAGGGAATGTCACAGCCACCTCCGGCCTGAGACCAAGGAGAAGGGAAGCAGGGCCATACCTTTCCGGAGGGTGTGAGGACTCTGGTCTGCAGGCGGCTGGCTGGGGCTGGGGCTGGCGCCCGGCTGAGCTCCAGGTTGAGCCCCTGGTTGAGTCCCTGCACAGGCTGTGCCCTGGCTGGAGCCTGGACTTCCTTTCTGTGCAGAGCCTGGAGAAAGTTCCTTGCTTTTTGTTGTGCTGAAACGAAAGCACATGAGACAAAAGAAAAGCCCTGAACTCAGTGAGCGGCAGCACCAGCCTTGCCGATGGCCACCCTGTGTGTCCTTCTGGGCCCCGTGCAAGTCTGTCCCAGCTCTGGTCTGTCTTGGCCCCTTCCTAAAACCTTCGCAGGTGCCCCTTGGGGTGACTGCCCTTCCTGGAGCTCTGATGGCCTGGGTTCTGCCCCCATCTCTGTGGCACTTGGCACTCACTGCCAATGCCCTTTTCATGCCTCTGCCCTCCTCTCTTCAAGGAGACCGTGAGCAATGTGAGGGCAGGGGCCTGAGCACCTCTACCGTATCCTGCCATCAACCCAGGAATTCTAGAACATTCTCAAACTGGAACACCAAAGTGCTTTTCCTACTGTAGCCAAGAGGACTTCTCAGGGCCACTGTGCCCAACGAGTGCTGATGACACGGACTCCTGCTGCCAAGCTTGTGGCCCAGCTCTCCAGCTGTTTGCCCTGAGCCTCCAGCCACCCCCCAGGCAGGAGGGATTCTAGGACTCATCCTCAAACTCAATACCCATTCCAGCAGAAGCTAGGGTGGACAGAAATCCAGGCCATGCCCTTAAATGTGGGCCAGTTTGAGTCCCAGTCCCAGGCTTCAAGAGAGGTGAAGGTCGATGGCAGTGAGGGCTCTGGCCTCTGACCTCTGGAATTGACAATGAGGCACCCTAGGTCACCAGGTTTCCTAAAGAGGATTCATCGTTACTGCAAGGCTGTTCCTCAGCCTTCTTCTGAGGATGAAGCACGTATTAGAAGACACCTCACTCTACACCACAAACCAGGGATTTGTCATCCTGATACGCTGATGGTAGATATTACTAATTGATCTCCACACTTCCCCCACAGTGTTCTCAATCCTTTCCAAGAAAATTCTCCAGGTGGCCTTTAGTGAATCAGGGGAGATGCCCCACAGTTGGGAGCCATCTGTCATCCGTGCTAGAACCTACCTGGATTCTGATGCCCACAGGTGGGGCATGAAGAGTCTGGGAACCCAAATCCTCTGCAATGGCTGTTTCTATCCCACAAGAGCAGGCACAACCTGGGCCGGGCATGGTGGCTCATGCCTGTAATCCAGCACTTTGGGAGGCCGAGGCAGGCAGGTCACCTGAGGTCAGGAGTTTGAGACCAGCCTGGCCAACATGGCGAAACCCTGTCTACACTAAAAATGCAAAAATTAGCTGGGCGTGGTGACATGTGCCTGTAATCCCAGCCACTCGGGAGGCTGAGGCAGGAGGATGGCTTGAACCCGGGAGATGGAGGTTGCAGTGAGCTGAGATCGTGCCACTGCACTCCAGCCTGGGCAACAGAGGGAGACCCTGTCAAAAAAAAAAAGAAAAAAGAAAAAAGAAAAGAAAAAAAAAAGGCAGGCACAGCCTATTTCTTTCCTAAACTGATCTAGAAACTCCAGGTGTTAATTTGGAGAAAATTCCAATAGGAATAGAGCACTCTCGTCCACTGAGGTGAGAAAGACTGGGAGCAGGGAGCTGGGCCGGGGAAGCCCATAGCGTCAAAGCACAGGTCATTTTCCTCATGCAAAGAAATAAAAGGAAGATCACATTCAATGTGGAGGCACATTCTCTCCCACTTGGGATGAGTCTTACACACTATACCTAGTTCCCCAAGGGGCAAAAACCATTTTATTCAGAGGAACCAAAAGAGCAGTAATTCCTTTCTCTATTCTGTTCATGAAAAACAGAAACAGAAAACCCTTGCCTCACTCAGGCTGGACAAGGACCTCAGGCTGCAGGTTACCAGGTACCCGGGCATCAATGCCAAATATCTACCTACCCTTCCATCTATCTCTGCCACTATCAAGAGGAAGGCCAGTCAACCAATCAAAAACATCTCATAATCAGCAAACTAAAAAATTGCTTCTTGTGGGTGGGTAGACTCTTCTTCCTTCCTTTGGACACACATCTATCCAAGGAATCTAGGAATGAGCTCTTCCTTCTGTTCCCTGCCACGAAACACACTTTTTTTTTTTTTTTTTTTTGAGATGGAGTCTTGCTCTGTTGCCCAGCTGGAGTATAGTGCCATGATCTCAGCTCACTGTCATCTCTGCCTCCCAGGTTCAAGCGATTCTCCTTCCTCAGCCTCCCAAGTAGCTAGGATTAAAGGCATGTGCCACCACACCCAGCTAATTTTTGTATTTATAGTACAGACGGGGTTTCACCATGTTGGCCAGGATGGCCTCGATCTCCTGACCTCAGGATCCACCCCCCTCGGCCACCCAAAGTGCTGGGATTGCAGGCGTGAGCTACCACGCCCGGCCCGGACACACTTCCTCCAGCACAGAAACAAGTATTTACCCACTTAGCCTTGTCCTCTTTCTCCAGCATAGGTGCAGCTGACCCAGTGGGGAGAGGTGGGGCGTAGGGCGGCTACTAGGGGCGCTACCTGAACAAGGCATGTTTAAGGCACGTTTGAGGACAAGTTAGCTCTGAAGATGCATGACTCAGCCCATGACCTTGGTGCCAAGAAGCAGGAAGGAGAATTTTGGGGTTAGCATTCATGCTAAGCAGTTGGGCGGGATGTGGAGGCAGAGCCTGGCTGGACAGAGCCAGGGAAAGAACTGAAGGTGGGGCCTGGGGTAGGGAGTGGGAAGGTGGGAACCAGTCAGAGGCAAGGAAGGGCCTGCCATCAGGGGAGGGGGAGCCAGAACGAGAATCCGGCCACTCGAGGGAACATCATCTGGGCTGCAAACATCCAGGAAACAGAAACAAACAACACAAACAAAAACAATGGAACACCTGTTTGTACTGGGAGAAACCCATGCGGGGAGAGAACAAAAAGTGGTGTAAAACACAAAACACTAACATCCAAAGAAAAGTTACTAAACCGGTCAGCCCGGGCAAAGGGGAAAGACATTTGGCTATAGAGCAATGTGAGTTGGCTTTAAAATAATCGAAACCAGAGGGTGCCATTGCCTGCCCACAAGTAACTCTGCAAGGTCACCCACCGAGAATGTTCCTGGAATGCCTTCAGAGCCTGGGGGAATCCATCTTCAAGGAGCACTTTTTAGAAATATCATTTATATGCCAAATACCATATGGCACTGAGTCCCCTTTCTAAGATGGGAAACTAGGATGAAGCTGAGGAGTGTCCAAAAAGGAAGCAGTCCCAGCCCATCTCCCGCCTGTGGGTCCGTTTCCTCCTGGTCGGCCTCACCTGGCCCACCACTCTCAGACTCTGCTTCTCCAATGAACTCACTGTGCCCGCATCTGCATCTCTCAGGTCCATCTGTGGCCTAGCAATTACACAGCCAGGACCGAGCATCCTCTGAGTTGAAGTCATCAACAGCAACCCAGCATGCCCAGGGTCAGGTGCCCCCTCCTATGCTCTAAGACTATCTAACCCCCTGTCCCTTTGTCATTTCCTGGTTTTACAGTGAAAATACTTTTTTTTTTTTTTTTTTTTGACACAGAGTCTCGCTCTGTCACCCAGGTTGGAGTGCAGTGGCACCATCTCGGCTCACTGCAACCTCCGCCTCCTGGGTTCAAGCGATTCTCCTGCCTCAGCCTCCTGAGTAGCTGGGACTATAGACATATACCACTGCACCCAGCTAATTTTTGTATTTTTAGTAGAGATGGGGTTTCACCATGTTGGCCAGGCTGGTCACGAGCTCCTGACCTCAGGTGATCCGCCCGCCTCAGCCTCCCAAAGTGCTGGGATTACAGGTGTGAGCCACCGTGCCCGGCCGTGAAAATACTTTTTACTCATTAAACAAAATAAAACAAAAAAGCCTGGAAGCCTCTCATGTAGGGGGTTGGTGTGGGTGTGGGTGTGTGTTTGTGTGCTGGTGGTGATGGTGTGTGAGGATGAGTGTCCATGTGTATGCATGTGTGTTTGGAGAAAGATTTGGGTTAGAAGATTCAGCTTCCCAAAGTCTCCAAAACTTTTCTGGCAGTGGTCATGGAGGAATGCCATGTCTTCTAACAGGAGACACGGTGGCATGTGATTTCATATTGCTTTTCTGGTGTTCTAAATTGCTGTTTGAGAAAAGATAGAAACAAACAGCAAAGCTGTTTCATGGTGCAATTCTCACATCCAGAATCTGCCTCCCCTGATCATGCCCCTTTCAAGGAAGGGCCAGGTACTGTCTCCTCCCCTGCCACCCTGGGTATGCATAACCAAGTGCTGTCATTATTTGTCAGGGCCTGTTTGCTCACTGGAACGTGAACTTTTTAAGGGCAGCAATCATGTCTTTTTTTCTTTTTTTTTTTTTTTTTTTTTTGAGACGGAGTCACGCTGTCACCCAGGCTGGAGTGCAGTGGCGCGATCCGGGCTCACTGCAAGCTCCGCCTCCTGGGTTCACGCCATTCTCCTGCCTCAGCCTCCCCAGTAGCTGGGACTACAGGCGCCCGCCACCACGCCCAGCTAATTTTTTGTATTTTTAGTAGAGGTGGGGTTTCACCGTGTTAGCCAGGATGGTCTCGATCTCCTGACCTCGTGATCCACCCGCCTCGGCCTCCCAAAGTGCTGGGATTACAGGCGTGAGCCACCGTGCCCGGCCATCTTTTTATCTTTAAAAAGAGAAAGTTATCAGTTAATATTCATCAAGCTACCCATGGAATGAATTCCTGTCTTTTTCCTTCCCCTAAAATAATGGCAATTCAACCATGTGGCAAGCTGCAAAGGTCATCAGGCCCAGTACAACCGCCACCTCCATTCATTCCCTGACTTGCACCCATTTTAGCGGCATCAAAAGAAAAAAAAAAGTGGCTGCTATGACTATAAAGAGAAGGAGAAACACAGAAATTGTAAACTTCAAAATAGGATACAGTAGTCCCCCTTATCCGTGGTTTTACTTTCTGTAGTTTCAGTTACCTGTGGTCAACTGTGGTCCAAATAGGTGCGTACAGTTCAATAAAATATTTTCAGGCTAGGCATGGTGGCTCAGGCCTGTAATCCCAGCAGTTTGGGAGGCCGAGGCGGGTGGATCACTTAAAGTCAGGAGTTTGAGACCAGCCTGGCCAGCATAGTGAAACCCCATCTCTACTAAAAATACAAAAATTAGCCAAGCATGGTGGCACATGCCTGTAATCCCAGCTACTTGGGAGGCTGAGGCAGGAGAATCGCTTGAGCCTGTAAGGCGGAGGTTGCAGTGAGTCGAGATCGCGCCTCTGCACTCCAGCCTGGGCGACCAACCGAGACTCCATCTCGAAAAAAAAAAAAAATTGAGAGACACCACATTCACATAATTTTATTACAGCATATGCTTATAATTCTTCTATTTTATTACCAGTTATTGCTTATGTCCTACTGTGCCTAATTTATAAATTAAAACTTTATCACAGGTATGTGTGTATAAGAAAAAATAACAGTATATATAGGGCTTGGGACTATCAGCTGTTTCAGATATGCGCTGGGGGTCTTGGCATGTATCTCCCACGGATATGGGGGGCCACTGTAACGACAAAGACAGAGGAAGGGGAAAACAGAGTTGGGGAACCTAAGACTCTTCACCCTGCCTTCGCAAGCTGCCACCTTCTGCTTGCTTGCGATGTTATGCTGGGGAAGACTGGACTTCGTGTGATAATCCAGGCAGCTGTGGATGACTGACTTGGTGCCAGCGCGACGCAGAAGCCAAATATGAATGCTTAGAAATGGGGGCGGGGGCATGGGAAACGACGAAATCCAAGAGGCCTCCAGTGCGGCCAACCCAGACACCCCCTGCACCGCACACCAGCCCGCCCGGACGGCAGTGGCCCGCGCTTACCTGGTGCGCTCGGGCCCAGGCTGGAGGCCCAGGCCGGATGGAGAGAGCGCGGGGGCCGCGGGGCTGTCCAGGGGCTGCTCCGGCAGCGGCGAAGGCAGGGGCGCAGCCAGCTCGGCGGGCGGGGCGGGAGGCTGCATGGAGGGCGGGGCGCAGGACACTTTCCGACCGGCCGAGGAGCCTCTTCGAGCCACCCAGTTTGTGTCCATGACCCTCACACCCATGCTGGCGAGGGACACAAAGACACCGCTTACCCACGCGTAACAGATGACAGGAGACAGGCTCCCTCCCCCACATTCAAGCAGGTCCGCGTTGGGAGAAGAGCAGCGCAGCTTTAGCACCCCGGGGGCCCGGGAAGCGATGCATTGGGGGCTGTGCTCCCAGCACCCTGGCTGCTCCCGGCGGCCAAGACACAGCCCTGGGCAGCCCAGTCCTGGCAAGAGCGGCCCCCTCACTGAGGCAAGGAGCAGGGCACAGTCGGCAGCGCTGGCGGCCACAAGCTGTGCTTCAACCCTCTGCCAAAGCCAGCTCAGGATGATGGCCCGGCAAGCTCCCTGGGTGTAAACTGCCAGCCTTCCTCACAGCGGTGTGTGGCCTAACTGGGGGGGCAGGGACACTCACTCCTCCCAAGTGCAAGACGAGGTGGGAGGGGCAGCGAAGGGGGGAGCGTGGAACTGACAGCAGGAGACATCTAAATATGAATCCTTCTTTTTGTAACTTGGAGTCTAGCCCCAGCTCCACCACTGCTGGGACCCTGGCCAAGGCACACCTCTGCAGGCCACTCCCACTTGTCTACACAGCAGGGAAGGGGCTGCTTGTGCCTATGGTCCCTCTGGGCTCTGATTCTATTTTAATGATGGGCACACAGCTTCAAATAAGTCGGCCAAGCAACCAGACGCGGCGCATTCACCCTCTGGTGGAACTCACTACGATGCATAGGTGGCTCAGTTGAAGAGACTGAGCATGGCCTCATAGCTACCAGAGGATACCATACCTTTGGATTTTCCTAAGGCTGCAGGGACAGAAACATACAGATATTAGTTTCAAAAAATCTAGGCCTTCCTTTGGACATAAAGGTTGTCTTTCTGTAAGGGGTCTCTCTCCATGGTCCAGGGTCTTGGGGTGGGATTTTTATTGTGCTATAAAATTATTACAATTTAGTTGGTCTCTCTAAAGTGACTCTCCTATTTGTGTAAGTGTAAGTCATACCCTACCATGCACACAGGTAAAGAGAGCAGCTGAAGAGTTGATATTGGTGTGGCATGGGGAAGAAAGAGGCAGAAGGAAGAAAGAAACTGGTAAAAGTAGTCATCTGCTCACTTCTTTTTTTAAAAAAACATTTTACTTATTTATGACCAGGCGCCATGGCTCACATCTGTAATCCCAGCACTTTGGGAGGCCGAGGCTGGTGGATCATGAGGTCAGGAGATTGAGACCATCCTGGCTAACATGGTGAAACCCCATCTCTACTAAAAATACAAAAAATTAGCCGGGAGTGGTGGCAGGCACCTGTAGTCCCAGCTATTCGGGAGGCTGAGGCAGGAGAATGGCATGAACCCAGGAGGTGGAGCTTGCAGTGAGCCGAGACTGCGACGGTGCACTCCAGCCTGGGTGACAGAGTGAGACTCCGTCTCAAAAAAAAAAAAAATATTTATTTATTTATTTGAGACAGAGTTTCGCTCTTGTCACCCAGGCTGGAGTGCAATGGTGCGATCTCCACTCACTGCAACCTCTGCCTCCTGGGTTCAAGCAATTCTCCTGCCTCAGCCTCCCGAGTAGCTGGGATTACAGGCACCCGCCACCACACCCAGCTAATTTTTGTATTTTTAGTAGAGACAGGGTTTAACCATCTTGGCCAGGCTGGTCTCAAACTCCTGACCTCAGGTGATCCATTCGCCTCAGCCTCCCAAAGTGCTGGGATTACAGGTGTGAGCCACCACGCCTGGCCTTATCCACTGACTTCTAAGTTACATAGACTAGCAGGTGGTTAGTTCCCTTTCCTCTGGTCTAGGAGGTACTGCTGCTGTCATCTCAGCCAAGGTTTCATTGACTCATTGACTAAGGTAAGGGCTCACATTTCTAGCATTAAGGGAGAAACATTCATTCATTCAGGGAGAAAACATATACTCCCAACCAGCATTTGTCTCTATCACGTATCTGCACAGAGAGATAGGTGTATGAGGACTATGATGTGCTCACTTTCACCTCCTCCCTGCCAAATGGTCACCTACACTAGTCAGAAGCACAAAACTATTACACCATGAAATCCTGCTCACCTAGAAAGGTCATATTTACCTTGTAGAGGTACAGCAAGATTTAATAACAGAAAAAGTTCAAGTATGGAGATTTGGTTGCAGAAGGTGGGATGGTGGGATTTAGCTGTTTTAAGGAAATATGGGGAGTGATGCTGAAACCAAGCACACACTGGCATGGGAGGGCTTCCTGATCCCCTTCCTTCCATCACCAGAGGCCTTCTCATGTCTAGTACGATTGCTGGTATTTCTCATCTCCGCTGGATGGCTTCAAGGAGGCACCAGGGATGGAGGGAAAGGGGAGGGATGTCTCTTTCCTGGACCCAATAGTTTCCAAAGTCATCTGGGGTCTGAGAACCTTCTACCAATAAACAAACACTTCCTATACGATACCCAGAAATGCTTTTGGAGGCCACTTGAAACTCTGGGACACAGTCTGGTTACATCCCCTGGTATTTACAGCGGGCTGCCGAAGATCATCGAACTGTGGTCTGCAGGCTTCAGAATGTATCAGGATGAAAAGAACAAAGAGCTTAACATTCCTCTTAGGGAACGGAACTGATACCACTTAGTTGCAATGGTTGGTGAGGATTTCGGGCATGTGAGATGTTTCACATGGTGACCAGCACAAGGAGTCCTAAAAATCTAAGTCCTACCCCACCTTCTCTTCCTTGCCCCTTTCTCTTCTACTTGAAAAAGGCTTTCCCACCTGGTGAGAAGGTCTGGGCCAAAGCTGGTGGGGGATGCCTTCTATTTCCCCAACAGTACCTTCTAGCATCAGGAATCTCAGACACCAGCCTCCTTGGTGATCTTCTGGTTTACCAAGGGAAGGTGTCAGCTTGGGCATGGGGTAGGTACTGGGCGAGACTTGCTAAATAACACTGGCAAACTTCGGCAACTGAGAAATATGGGTTCAACGTGCTACTTCTCCTCTTGTAAAGAGGCTACAGTGCCATATGCAATCACGACTTTCCCAGCTGAAATGACTTTCTCATAAGAGGGAGCATCACATGTTCCACTGTGAATTCACATCAAATGTTCACTGACATTTTCAAACAGTAATATAAATCTTTACACAGTAAATCAATCACAACGGCAGCAGCAATGCTGTTGGAAGCCTAAAAGTGCATTTACCTTCCAAAGCAAGATGGTATATGTAAATGTTCAAATGTCTAGATAAAACTCAACCTGAAGACAGAAATAATAAAATTGCTCAGTATGCTGCCAAGAAGGGGAATCTATTCACAGATCGGGGATCCAACTAGAAGGTTATATCAGCAGTTCACAAGCTTCTGTTCATTGTTTTATTGCATAAAGAAACAGTAGCTGGAATCAAGGCACTGCTGCTGTTTCTTAAGAAAGGAGCAATAAAGAAGTGGAATTAATAAAACATATCTGACTCCAGCAGACATCCCTGCATGGATACCTAAGGACAATCTAGATGGCAAAGATTTCCCAGGCTTCTGCTGAAAACTGAAAACAATTTGGCTTTTAGATCCCTTTATAGTTGAATCAAGGTGAAAGCAAGAAGTCAGAGGCCAGCAAGAATCTATGTGAAGCAAAGGGCTTAGAAATCACTAAGCAGGAGGTAGGGAGCCTACAGAATCTGGGGAGTGGAACCTGAGGTGATTCTCTCCACTGCTTCTTTTTTCTTTTCTCTTCTCTTCTTTTTCTTTTTTTTTTTTTTTTTTTTTTTGAGACAGGGTCTTGCTCTGTCGCCCAGGCTGGACTGCAGTGACATAATCATGGCTCACTGCAGCCCCAACTTCTCGGGTTCAAGTGATCTTCTCATCTCAGCCTCCTGAGTAGCTTGGAATACAGGCACATGCCACCACATCTGGCTAATTTTCATAATTTTTTTAGAGATGAGTTTCACCATGTTACCCAGGCTGGACCACTGCTCTCTCTCAGAGTAAGAAGACAAGGGGCAGGGAATCCAGAATTGACACTGCTCATCATTGAGATGCACAGGATGGGAGTCAGGTGATAAGTCCTCATTTTGGCAAGGTAGACCCACTGAAGAACAATCTTCCCTGCCTGCCAGCATCTTATATTTGCATAGGATTTATCATAATGGAAACGTGGGTATTTTTCATGAGATGGTATCATGGAATAGGTTCTAGAACGACCCAGGCCTCTAGTCCCAGTTAACCATTTGCTGACTCAGTAGAGCTCTCTCTTCACCCATAGAATGGAGCTAATACCTCCCTTCCTGTTTCCGGCATTTCCATGAAGATAGTTTATCAATTATTGAGTGCTGAGATGTATTTAGCATGTCCTTGCACCATGACCTGGTGGCAGAAGCTGAGCGGTCATACAGTGGGTTGTAGTAGGGTCTAGCTAGCTAAGCCAATGGTGTTTTATGATGTGGACAAGCTGGAGATGCAGAGCATCAGACAACACCTTGATGGACGGAATATAAAGGCCTAGTATCTGGCTTGTGTTTTTTGGGTATAACGTGGTGACTCCACAGCCTCTCCAGCTCAGGACAGCAGGGCTTTGAAAGCAGAGAATTTGGGTATGAATCCTAGATTTTCCAATGACTAACTCTATAATATGGAGGAGTTCTATCTGATTATCCTCGAATCATCCTTTGTAAAATGGAATAATATGCTTCTCTTCCTTCGATTTGTTGTAAGGAGCCAATGAAACTGTGGCCATAAAGCCCTTAGCTCTTACTAAGAAATCAGTAAGATGTAGTGTCAATGAGAATGCTTTGTGCTTATAGGTGCCAAGCGCATATGACTTGTTTTTGAAAATCTCCTCAGAGAAAGAAAGAGAATGAACGCAGGTCTAAAATATGTTGATAAAGGGGGGAAAAGGATACTCTACTGCTGACATCAGGCACAGCATGATAGAGATGCTAGGAAGACCCCATCTGGCCCATGTCACCTGGGTTTATCAGGTTTCTCATCAGATTTCTTCCCTTCCTAACAGTGACCCTAAACATCAAAAGATTTTGGGGTGAGTTCTCTGATAGAAATAGACAGGGAGGCCAGGTGCAGTGGCTCACACCTATAATCCCAACACTTTGGGAAGCCAAGGTGGGCGGATCATGAAGTCAGGAGATCGAGACCATCCTGGCTAACACTGTGAAACCCCATCTCTACTAAAAATACAAACAATTAGCCGGGCGTGGTGGTGGGTGCCCGTAATCCCAGCTACTCAGGAGGCTGAGGCAGGAGAATGGCGTGAACCCGGGAGGCGGAGCTTGCAGTGAGCTGAGATGGCGCCACTGCACTCCAACCTGGGCGACAGTGTGAGACTCTGTATCAAAAAAAAAAAAAAAGAAAAGAAATAAAAGAAAAAGAAAAAGAAATAGAACAGGGAACAAAAAATGGGGACTGGAAAAAAATGAGGACTGGAGTTTATTATCAGTCCCATTTCCCTAGGTTTCTTAGTCTCGCGGGGCTCTGCTGAGTTGGATGACCCAATTTGGGTTTCAGAATAGGGGCTTGCTAAAATGCTACTTAGATGATTCCAAGCTTAAGGAACAAACAAATAAAGAGGGGATGCCTGCAAACCCTTCTAAGTCTTACTGCCCAACCCAGGTCATTGGGGCAGTAAAGGAGGCAGGAGTCAGAAGGGTCATCTTGTCTGAAAGGTTCTTTGGAAAACAAAATACACTAGGGCGCAGGAGGCTCAGCCTGGAATGGTCACAGCACTTCCTGCTTACACAGGGTTTTCCACGTCCTGGGGAGCCTCCTGCAACCGTCAGCTGTCCTTGGCTGTTAGGATATTTCGTGCTTTGTCACGAAGCCCTTGGTGTTTGTATATCTCTTGCTTGTAGAATTAGCTCAATTGCTCGTGGTAAGGTGGAGACAGATAAAAACATTCAAGCACCCGAGGTGGCAAGGAAAGGGCTGGATCGGGACGCCTCATCAGTGGGAAAGTGGGCCCCGCCACGTTGCCCCCTTAAAAACATGAGGATGTCACTCAAAAATCTGGTTCCTGTACTAAGAACAGCTAACATTTACCATGTGCTGAGCTTTGCTCTAAACACTTTGTAAGCAATATTTCGTTCAATGCTCAGAATGATTCAAGTCGGTGCTTACCATGATTTCCCCATTTTGCATATGAAGAAACTGAGGCATTCAGAGTTCAGTAACCAGGATTTGAACTCAGAGGGAGCCTGATTCCAAAGCTCAAGACTCTGCATGCAGGGCTATTTATAGGGTTATGACTTTCACACCGTGTAAGCAGGGAGAAGTAGAAAGAGAAGAACTATAAATGGCTCGTTGATGCTGGAGATGAAATGGCATGCTTCTTTTAAAGTCTGCAACCTGGTAGACCATACAGGGAGAGGATTAGGCCCAGGACCAGTGGAACGACGGCTCAGGGTTCAAGAGGGAAGCAATGAAGTGATGTGTTGGTGAGGAGGTGCTCAGCGATCACCTAGAGCAGCTAAGGGTAAACCAGTAGAAGATGTTGTCTGCTCACTTCTAAGCCCCCTGAACTTAGAAAATGGGTCATTCCTTTTACTCGAAGTGAGAAGGTCACTGGTATTGTGATGGGGCAAGCAAGGAAACCATGTGAGAAAAATGCCTTCCCGGGCACTCCATGATGGCAGGGTTCAGAATAAGCCTGTCTTTGTTGAGGAATTGAGGCAGGAGGGGAGCGTGGACAAATTCAGTTCCAGACATTGCAACCACAGTGTACAATATTCTATTGTGTATCTGCCCACTAAAAGTTATGGGCCATGCTATTTGGGAGGCTGAGGTGGGAGGATCATTGAGCCCAGGAGTTTGAGACCAGCCTGGGCAACAGAGCAAGACTGTATCTCAGGAAAAAAAAAAAAAAAAAAAAAAAAAAGCAAAAAGAGTTGTGGATCAGGATCTTCTGATTCACACCCCGAAGTTTAACCCTGGCCAGTGTCCAGGCATTGACACACCCTGGATGGAGACCTTACAAAAATTAAAGAGAAACAAAGACCTGCCCCAGCAAAACAAAAAAAAAAAAATGAGGAAGAAGGGTGCTGGGGTTGGGGCAGGGGAAGGAGGAGGAGAAGGAAGAAGAGGGGGAGAAAAAAGGAGAAAAAAAAGCCAAAATATAAAATTTGGAAGATCCCAGCTCCAAGAAGAATAGGTATCTATAGGTAGAATACACTTATCACCGGGCAGAATTTTGCTGTGGACCATTCTAGCTGAGTTGTCTGGGGTTAGCAGAACGGACCTCTGAAGATCAGACATCTGCAGTGCTGTTTTTGACTCCTGGTCAGGAAGAATCCTAGCCAGGGGAGGTGTCAGCCAATACATGGCTGTGAAGTGTTCAAGTCTATAGAGATTTGGAAGGTTTTGGTTTTTGTTCTAGAGATCAGTTACATTTGGCAAAGGCCAGCCAAGAAAGAGGGGGCAGGGAAACCTGGTAGCTTCCCAAATATCCACAGAAGCTTCCCAAACACCCACTGTAGGCGTGCACATTCAGGGACTGTAAGATGAACTGTGGCAGGGAGCCACAGGGTCAGCAGATGATGTCCCGGACAGCAAAGGTGAGTGAAAAGGGGACCCAAAGCTCCTAAGACTTAGCCTGGCCTACACACACCCAGTGAGGCCTGAATTCGGTATTTTCCAGCTTTTCTGGAAGTAACTCCTCTCTTCAGTAAGTAGCGACGAAGCACCTTAACCTCTCCAGTACACATAAAGGCCAAGTCCTCTGACAACATTTCAGACTTGGTCCCAGCATCCAACAATGTCTAAGTCCAGGGGAGGAGGCTGATAAGGGGCCTGGACCAAAACATCCCTCTCCATGTAGACAACCCTAAACCAAAATAGGAGTCACATTTTCCATCCATACGCAGAAGACTTTCTAGGTAAGTTTGTCTTATCATAGGTTCAAGCTCTGAAGTAAAATTACTGCATCACTTATCCATGACATAATCTCTTTCAAGGATTTTTTTTTTTTTTTTTGAGACAGCGTGTCACTATGTCATCCATGCTGGAGTGCAGTGACACTATCACAGCTCTCTACAGCCTCCACCTCCCAGGCTCAAGGGGTTCACCCGTCTCAGCCTTCTGACTAAGCTGGGACTATAGGTGTGTGCCACCATGCCTGGCTAATTTTTAAAAATTGTTTGTATAGATGATGTCTCACTGGGTTGCTCAGATTGGTCTTGAGCTCCTGGCCTCAAGCAGTCCTCCTGCCTCAGCCTCCCATAGTGCTGGGATTACAGGTGTGAGTCACTGCACCTGGCCTCAGGGATTTTAATGTGCTGTTCAACCCTCCACCACAGGATCTACAGAGGACATCCACATCTGCAATTACAAAAACAAGTCCCTTGGGGCACTGGTTCAATTTATCTCAGGTGTTGTGATATACTAAATTTGGGAAATGATACATGCTACAGCCCCCTGTGGAGGTCTGTGCCTTGTAACAGCATGTTAAAGACTCTAAGAAGTCATACACTAAAGAAACTGGTTTCAATGTGTTGATCATGTGCTTCAGGAACTTATTAGACATCAGAGTCCACCCTCCTCCCCATTCATAATATAACCAACTACCAGTGGAAACTGGTATACCATAGGGCACAGTTCGAATTATTCTAGAACCCTCTCAATCAAGTGTGCCTTTTCCAAATTACTGAACATCTAGATTAAAGTCCACAGGGGTGGGACAAGCCCTTTGCAGTGCAGCTCTCAAGCACAGGTTGAGAATGGGTCACCCACTAAACAGAGCTCAAGGGAGGCTGCTGGCCCTGATGTAAATATCCCATAGACCATTCGGGTTGCTGTCACCTGGCTCTGGTAGAGAACCCCTGAGGATCAGACCACGGTGGAGCAAGTGTAATGACAGTAGGTGCGTCGGGTTTCAGGCCTGCAAAGAGGAGCTGTATGTTGGTCTTCTGAGAATCACGGCCTGAGGTAGCTGGATCTCCGTGGCAGATCGCCGGCCCATCGGGATCCAAGGACGTTTTGATGGGGTCTGTGGGGCAGCTTCATAGATGCTGTCAGGGCCTTGACATCCGTGGGTTTCAGGCTACGAGAGGCTAGAACTAAGCAGGGGCAACAGAACAGATGGACAAGCCAGCAGGCAAGTGCAGGGAGCAGGGGCCAGAGCCAGAAGAAAGAAAAGAGGCAGTAGGGAGGAAGGTACTGAGGAAACACAGAGGTAGGGAGTGGGCAGTGGTCTACTGAAGTCTCAGATGGGCATCTTGCAGGTCGTGGAGACAGAGAGGAGAGAAGGGGAAGATGGCAGTTATCTGATAGCTATCTGGAAGGGAGGGACGTGATGCTAGGAAGGAGGTCACATTACCCATGTCGCTTCTATTCTGTTTTTTTTGAGACAGAGTCTCACTCTGTCGCCCAGGCTGGACTGCAGTGGTGCGATCTTGGCTCACTGCAACCTCCTCTGCCTCCTGGATTCAAGCAATTCTCCTGCCTCAGCCTCCCGAGTAACTGGGATTATAGGCGTCTGCCACCACGCCCAGCTCATTTCTTTGGTATTTTTAGTAGAGATGAGGTTTCACCATGTTGGCCAGACTGGTCTAGAACTCCTGACCTCAAGTGATCCGCCCACCTTGGCCTCCCGAAGTGCAGGGATTACAGGTGTGAGCCACTGCGCCCAGCCTGTCGCTTCTATTCTTGCCTCTGGGCTTCTCCACAGGTCCTTCAACAGTCCTGGCCCAGCTTGTCCAGGCTCAGTCGGGGATGTAGCCAGTGGAGGCATCTGACAAATGCTTGGAGTCCAAAGCCCAATGCTGGCTCCATGGGTGCTCCCTGACCAACCAGCAAGAGTGCAGACACTTTGGCAAACTCTTCTGAAGGCAGTAGAAAAAAAAATTGATTTGACCAGGAAGTCTGGCACTGTCAGAGAAATAGAAGGGACTGTAGATTTACTTTCATTTATTATTTAGGACTAATGACCTAACACACAAATTTCACTATTCTATAAAACAGTAAAACAACCCAAACAAAAAAGACACTAAAAACATAATCTGCACCCAAAACTTTCTAAGAAAGAGCTTAAAAAGTACAGAAAACAATAGTGTGATTTATTTAATACTTTGTTGCTCAGAGTGTTGGTGGAGTTAGGACACCCTATATATCACACCAATACTCAATGGCTAAAGTAGGAAAGTTTTGATAAATTAAAAAAAATGTAGCATTGCCAAATTCTTCATTCAGAGTGGCAAAATTATTCAGTAGTTCCCAACCCCAGCACATTAGAATCACATACTTATCCCAGGCCAGGCCATTTAAATCAGATGGGTAGATTTGGGACAGGTTGAAGGATTTTTTTTTTTAAGCTTGTTCTGGCTCTTTGTTATGTAACAAACTACCCTAAAACTTAGCATGGTTATCTGGGTCACCAATCTAGAGTTCTGGCAGGGCTTCGCAAGGCCGGCCTGTCTGCACACACGGCACTGGTGCATGGCCGGCCTGTCTGCTCACACGGCACTGGTGCAAGGCCGACCTGTCTACACACACAGCATTGGTGCAAAGCCAGCCTGTCTGCACACACAGCATTGGTGCAAGGCCGGCCTGTCTGCACACACAGCATTGATGCAAGGCTGGCCTGTCTGCACACACAGCATTGGCAGAGGTGGTCTGACTTGGGTTGAAGACTCCAGAATGACTCCTTCTCAGAGCTTGGAGCTGTGCTGGCTGTCAGGACAGTGCTCAGCTGGGCTTGAGGGCTGGGGACTTCCATTTCTCTCCAAGGAGCTGCTTGGATTTCCATGTAGGATGGTACTGGGCTCCAAGAGTGACTGTCTCCAGAGACCCAGGAAGAATCTACAAGGCTTCTTCTGACCTGGCCTCAGCAGTCCCAGAACATCACCTCTCCCACATCCTACTAGGTCAAGTAACTCACTAGAGCAACTCAGACTCGAAGGGAAAGCAATCAGATTCCAACACTCCCTGGGAGGACAAGCAAAGCATCTGCTGCCATCTTTATCAAAGCTCTTGGTGTGGAGCTGCAGTGGATGATTGTATTGGCTTCCTATGGCTGCTGTCATGAGTACCAACCACAAGGTTGGTGAACAACAGAAATTGCTTTTTTTTTTTTTTTTTTTTTTTTGAGATGGTGTTTCACTCCTGTTGCCCAGGCTGGAGTGCAATGGCACTATCTCGGCTCACTGCAACCTCCGCCTCCCTGGGTTCAAGCGATTCTCCTGCCTCAGCCTCCCAAGTAGCTGGGATTACAGGCATGCGCCACGATGCCTGGCCAATTTTGTATTTTTAGTAGAGACAGGGTTTCTCCATGTTGTTCAGGCTGGTCTTGAACTCTCGGCCTCAGGTGATCCACCCAACTCGGCCACCCAAAGTGCTGGGCTTACAGGCATGAGCCACCGCGCCTGACCCAGAAATTGATTTTCTAAATAAATTAGAATCAGTATTACCAGGTGGAAATCAAGGAGGGAGCAAGGCTTTGCTCTCTCTTCTAGCTTCTGGTGGCTGTTGGCAATCTCTGGCTTGTGGCCATCTCTTCAAATTTCTCTCTGTTCCATCTTCACATTTCCTCTGTGTGTGTAGTAAAATCTCTCTCTGCCTCCCTCTTAATAAGGATGCACATGATGTCATGTAGAGCCCACCTTGATAATCCAAAATAATCAATCTCCTTATTTCGAGATCCTTATTTTAATCACATATTCAAAGACCTTTTTCCAAAATAAGGAAATATGGATAGTTTCCAGGTCTTTAGATCTATTTTTCTTTGGTGGATGGGCATTATTTTACCTACCACAATGATGAAAAATGTATATGTAAGCTCCTGAACTGGTCACCAAGCCCTGCTAAAGAAACCCAGCTTCCTGCATCATTTCAAATCAGAAAGGCATCAGGACCAAAGCCCAGAGTCGCGAGGGAAGTAAGAAGCTTTGTATGACATCTAGGACATAACAGCCATCAGCCTAGGAAAGTGTCACTGACACAAATCGGTAACTTACCATTTCTTTGCAATTTTACCCAGTTTTTCTGCCCCTCAATTTTCTTCTTTTTAAATAAGTATCTGCTTTATTGATATATAATTCATATATATATATATTTTTTTTTAACTTGGCCAAAAACCTTCAATAACATGAGCTTTAATTTGTCAGGGTTTCAATGAGCAGTGTGAAGACTTTAAAATGTATCTCATAGATTTCAAAAGATCAGAAATGGGGCCAATATAGAGAACTGGCCTAATGTTACTAAGATAACATAGGGACTCAAGAGATGCAAATTTCTCTCCTCTCTCCAAAAACACCCACTCTTTAAGGTCAGGTAAGAACTGATCTTCTACAATTCACTACACTTCCTTAAAACGTACGCACAGATGCTCTACCTCAGACAACTCAGGGAGAGCCACCCTAAACCGGTAAGACCTTCATTGAATTTAACTTTTTTTTTTTGGAGACAGAGTTTTGCTCTTGTTGCCCAGGCTGCCATGCATGGCGTGATCTTGACTCACCACAACCTCCACCTCCCAGGTTCAAGCAATTTTCCTGCCTCAGCCTTCCGAGTAGCTGGGATTACAGGCATGCGCCATCATACCGGGCTAATTTTGTATTTTTAGTAGAGACGGGGTTTCTGCCTGTTGGTCAGGCTGGTCTCGAACTCCCAAGCTCAGGTGATCCACCTGCCTTGGCCTCCCAAAGTGCTGGGATTACAGGTGTGAGCCACCACGCCCGGCCTGAATTTAACATTTAATACACATTTTGAAACATTTATTTTATGTACAACAATACATTATGTAATAAATTTCCTATACTCTTAAAGTAGATGGTGGCAGTTTCAACTTCAAATAAGAATAGTATACAGAGTGGACATATCATTTAGAAAATTCTTAAGCAGGAGAGCTTTATCAGAGATAAGGTATCTGCTCAAGATATTGCTCAAGCTTCTGCATCTGCCTGCAGATAGTGGGCCAGTGAACTCTGAGTACTCCAATGCATCTGCAGTGGTAACTCTCTCTCAGAGGCCATTTGGAGTGCGCCCAGGAGGCACTGGAATCAAACCAGATCTGGCAGAGAGGATGGAGGAGGGATGGAGGGGCACACTTTGGGGTAGAAACACCTGGGAAGGAATATCAGGAGTGCTGTATCACCCAACCAGGACCAGAATTTACCCTCAGGAGCATCCCTTCAGCTTACAGAGATTTCACATAGGAACTGCGTTAATAAGATTTAAAAACAAGTTCCAATGCACTGTCTAGTTTTCTCTGTCTCTGACTCGCAGATTCTAAGTATGTTCTTTTTTATAGATTAAAGAAATTTTTTCTGAGGCCAGGCACAGTGGCTCACACTTGTAATCCCAGTACTTTGGGAGGCCAAGGCGGGAGGAACACTTAAGGTCAGGAGTTCGAGACCAGCCTGGCCAACATGGTAAAACCCCATCTCTACTAAAAATACAAAAATTAGCCAGGCATGGTGGCTCCTGCCTGTAATCCCAGCTACTCGGGAGGCTGAGGCCTGAGAATTATTACTTGAAACCGGGATGCAGAGGTTGCAGTGAGCCAAGATTGCACCACCACACTCCAGCCCGGGTGACAGAGCGAGACTCTCTTTCTTTTTTTTTCTTTGAGATGGAGTCTTGCTCTGTCGCCCAGGCTGGAGTGCAATGGCACGATCTCAGCTCACTGCAACCTCCACCTCCCAGGTTCAAGTGATTCTCCTGCCTCAGCCTCCTGAGTAGCTGGGATTACAAGTGCGTGCCACCACTCCCGGCTGGTTTTTGTATTTTTAGTAGAGATGGGGTTTCACCATGTTGGTCAGGCTGGTCTCGAACACCTGACCTTGTGATCCACCCACCTCAGCCTCCCAGTGTTGGGATTATAGGCGTGAGCCACCGCGCCCAGCTGAGACTGTCTTAAAACAAAACAAAACAAAAAAGAAAGACATTTTTTCATACTCATTTGAATTTCTAAGAATTTCCTTTTTTTTTCTTTCTCCACTAAGTGGAGAACAATAAACACCAGCATAGCGCACACAAACAACTCCCATCTGCCACATACAAATTGTCTCTGATAGGTGAAGTAACAAAGAAGAGATACTGGCCATTGTGAAAGCTTGACCGTCATCCCAGGAAACAAGCCTAGGTCTCCTCTGCCAACTTTAGTTCTCCAATACCAACTCCCATTCAGAAAGAAGTGGGGTGAAAAGTAAGATTCACACACCTCTAACAGTTCTTGGATTTTCAACCTTCCCTCCTGCACCGCTTTAGGCCATGGGCCTTTTCAAGCATATCTTTCTGGCTGCCCAGTGGTCTGTCCGGAAAGGGGAAGGTTCTAGCTAGGTTACTTCCTGTTGTCTGCATTTCCGATACTCCCATTCAATGCTTTATGCTCTCATCTATCCTAAAGGAGCACTTGCTACATTTTATTTTACAGTAGTAATTTTTAATTTCTAACCAAAGTTCACTGAACTGACTTGCCTGACCAACCAAGACGATCCCCTCCTGTAAGAGGTATTCGTGGATGCCTGCAGCTTGCTGAACACGCTCATTAGTCCACGTCCTCTGGTTGCCATGGCTGAGCCGGTGCTCACCGTGAGTCAGCTGTGCTTGTTACGAAACCTGTTTATGCCCATCTTACTTGCTATGGGAATCATTATGTAGTTCAATATTATATAAACTAATTTAACATGAGTGTGGACAGGGTTGTTGCTGAGCAAACTAAATTGAATGTACTTACAAGCCTCTTAATAACTGCATTGAAGTAGTTATGGATGTTAATAATAAAAGATAGGAAAACATCTTAAAAACCTAGAAGGATTTTACGCTCAGGCTGTTTCAAGTTTTAGGCTGAAACTGGGAACGTTAAACTGTACATTAAAGGTATTGTTTGTGCCAGGATGCTTCTGAAGAATGCAATGAGCCCATTCATAATCAAAGTAAAGCCACTACAAATTCTGGAATTGATCTACTTGTATACATTTTGATTCCAAATAAAGTGCGTATGTATTTTTTTTAATTGCACTCAGTGACTACTTTTTCTTTCTTTTGATGAGAACTAATTAATACTGATCACAACTGTGTCAGCTAAGAAGGCTACACTGACCTCTGGTCTAAAGGGCGGCAAGCCAAAGAAACTCATCCCAGACACAGCAGATACAGTTTAATTGCTACGAGTCACCTAAACTGCTGAGAGTCAGTGCAGCCTTCCCGTAATTGTATTTTTCTTATGCGTCACCCATCCACCCCCACCACCTCCCCTAATCCCCAGTGCTGAGAAAGAGACACCAGTTCATACCCATCCTTTTTGTAAAACTCCAGCATCATATTATCCGTGGCGACGCTGAGGGGCCGGCGGGCCTGCTCGGGCTGGCGCCGGTCAGCAGGGTCCATGTCTGGGGAGGGCATTGAGCTGTAGTTGGCATTATGGTTCACGTGTACTGGACTCCCATAATTGCCAGTAATGTTGAACTCTATCTCTGCGGGGAAGAAAGAATTGGTACATGTGAACTCTTGGTCTGCCACACCCTTCCTGGGCAGGGGAGGAATGAGTCCAGACACCCACTCCCTCGTATGTCATCCCTAGAAAATTTCATCCCATGGTTCACCTTATTAATATAATGCATCACATTAACAGGCCAAAAAGGGGGACACATGTGATCACCTATATAGGCATTTAATAAAGCAATGTCAATTTGTGAAAAAAAAAAAAAGTTTGTAAAAACAGGAACGGATACTTTCTGAAATATATGAAATCATCTTTCTAAAACCTCATGCTTAAGACTGAAAGCCGACAGCTGTCCTAAACTAATCAGGAGAAATGGCAATGCTCACTACCACTACCATTACTTAACACCATTTGAGAAACACTAGCCAATGGAATTAGTCAAGAAAATAAAATAAGAGGCAATATTAATATTTATAGATGATGACACTGCCTTTCTGGAAAACCATAGAGAATAAATTCAAGATATTAGAAATATAGATTTCATTAAAGTTGTTTTTTGGCTGTCAAAGAGATATACAGAAGTACTCATCCCATCCTTTCCCAGTCAATGAGAATAAATTAGCTCTGCACAATTCTGTCTGTGTGCAGTGGTAATGAATTAGCTCAGCCGCAGAACCTATAGGATTACTGTCTTGACTCCTACCTCCTTTATTTCTTTATCTTGATTTCCCACACCCACCCAACTCTGTTATCAACGCAACTCTTAGGGAGTCAGCAGTTCGACCTTAAAACACATGAAGCAAAAGAAAGACAATCAAACTTCTTCAATGTTAGAACAGCATTAATTGATTTAATTGATTACCTCTAATGGGCAGAGCATAGAATTACTAACCTATCCTCACATGCCTTAACAGCTGTTGCAGCACAGCAAAAAGCATTCCCTTAATGTCTACCAAACATACGGTACAGTACCAATTATTATGTTTTTAAGCAGATGCCGAATTTAGTGTAACAACTGCTATCTCTTCAAAGCTGTCACCATTGAGAGTCATCTACTTATGGAGTGAGGCTTCTGTGGCTCAGAACATCTCTGAAACTCCCTCTTAGGAAGTTATCTTCAGAGCCTAATTTTGAAGCAGGCATTAAAAAAAAGAATCTCATTGCCTTTGAGATTGAGCCCCACCTTCACATGCTGAGGGACAACTCAAAGGGCACAACCTAGGGTAGCAAAAGGTGGGTCTGTAAGGCATCCAGGTGATCTGCAAGTCCTGAATAAAAGTCCCCATCCATCTCAGGAACCTGTCTCCCCCTCTGCATCTACAAAGTGAAGGATTTGGGGCAGAGGATCTTTCCTTCCTGCACAAGCATTCTAAGATTTGCAGATTTGAAGAAACTATGGTATGGATATTAGACCAGTAAAATCCACGGACATGGTTAGTACAGACAGTGGACACCTTCAGGCCAGAGTGTCCCTTGAAATAGAGATTACAGGCCGGGCACAGTGGCTGACGCCTGTAATCCCAGCACTTTGGGAGGATGAGGCAGGCAGATCACCTGAGGTCAGGAGTTCAAGACCAGCCTGAGCGACATGGAGAAACCCCGTCTCTACTAAAAATACAAAATTAGTCGGGCGTGGTGGTGCATGCCTGTAATCCCAGCTACTCAGTGGGTAGAGGGGGTGAGGCAGGAGAATTGCTTGAACCTAGGAGGCAGAGGATGCGATGAGCCGGATCGGACCATTGCAATCCAGCCTGGGCAACAAGAGCAAAACTCCATCTCAAAAAATATAGAGATTACAGAACAGGAAGCTGCCATGACTCCACCCTGATACGTGTGTGCCTTTGTGCATGTCTGCATGCGTGTGTGTGTGTGTGTGTGTGTTTATAGGGGAATCAAAAAAAAAAGCCTGTGGGCAGTGGTACTTGGCTTCAAAGGCTCAGAACTCGCAGTGATACTCCTGTTCCCTGCCTCTTGCCCCCACACCTAGGTGCTGTCACCTACCCCCAGGGAAGAACCAGTCTGCATGCTGGATGATAGGTTCAATGATCCCAACAATTTGCAGCGACACTGTGGTCATCATCTCTGTAATGTTCCTGTAAGCAGAGAGCAGAGGCAAACAGGGTGGAGTTAGCAGCTGAGGCAAGCTTTGAGGCCCATGGTCCTCTGGCTGCAGAGCCCAGGAAGGGGCCCTGGACTGGAACCCCACAGACAGAGGTTTGAGAGCAGACTTTCTCTTGGGAGGGAATCTTCACCTTTCTGAACTTCTCTTTTTCCATCTGCAGAATGGAGATAAACCCGAGGCACATGAACAATCCCTACAAAGCCACTTTCAACGTGAGGTGTGATTCTCCTCCCTCCCGTCCCTGTGATTCTCATCCTCTTTCCAACACTGCTATCTCTGGAGACAGCCTTCTATCCCTCCGAATCCTGAGGCTGGGATGTGTCCTCTTATGACAGAGTCTAAGAGCTTGCCTGACCTGTGCCACCATGTCCTACGCCCTCCTTTCCCCTCATCCCAATGCTGACTTAATTAGCTCAGAGAAGACCCTGACTTCAGACCTGTAGCTCTGGGACCATCAACAAAAAGAAAGATCTGCAGAATTCTGTGCCTCCTCCTCAGCCTAAAAGAGGAGCAGGCCAACAAAGAAATAGGGTTTGGAAAATACATGAGGCTGGTGCTCAGCTAGGCCCCAGCTGTCCTGCCCACCCTGCTCAGGCCCTGCAGTCCCACCTGATCACCCACATTACTTCTCCGCCCTGTACTTACCCTTCTGCTTGTGGCCATAGGAGGTTGGGTCCTAAAACAATTGCCATATTACTGGGAGTCATCTTGTTTACATCTTGATATTCTGACAGCTTGGATAAAAATTTTATCAAGTATCTAAAAGAAAATTAGAAGGGCCAGGTTTAACCAAGGCTCAACACCAGCCATGTCCCCCGGGGACTGGACAGAAGCTTCTCTCATGTCACATATCTCACTGACTAGGAGACTCGTGCACCTGCAATGTAATGAACATGCGTCACGTGTCAGGAAATGGAAATTCTGCATCCTCTTTCCAAAAACAGGCAGGCTCAGATCTCACTGGGTCAGGTGTCGACATCTGCTTCAACTAACACTGGCCAGAAAGTCTCCTTCTTTCCTTCTGACTCAGTATATAATGACCTGAAGTGCCTCACTTTTTACAAACCCCATTACTTCTTGCCATGTTCCCTGTGTGCAGGAGTGATAAGCAGTATGTCTAAGTACCATTGGCAGGAACATCTACATGCTAGGGGTGGTGTTTCTTGGAGTTACCCTCAGTTGGGTGCTCTGGAAAGATCTAATAAAGAAAAAGTCCAACACAGACTTAGTATATGATCCAGCAATTCTACTCCTAGGGATAATACCCAAAAGAAAGCTGTCCACACACAAATTTGTACATGAATGTTCATGGAATCATAATTATTAATAATAGCCGAAGGGTGGAAATGACCCAAATGTCCATAAAGGGATGAACCAATAAATTAAATGTGGTATGTCCATATAATGAAATATTATTCATCCATAAAAAGGAATGAAGTGTTGGGACATCCTGCAACATGGATACTCCTGAAAACATTATGCTACGTGAAAGAAGCCAGACACAACAGGCCACATATTATAGTATTCCACTTATATGAAATGCCTAGAATAGGCAGATCTATGGAGCCAGAAAGTACATTAGTGGTTGCTTAGGGGCATGGTTGGGGAAAATAAGGAGTGCTTATCGGAAGGGGATTTCTTTTTTGGGGTAAGGGAAATGTTCTAAAATGAGACACCAGTAATAGTTGCAAAACTATATGAACACACTAAAACCTACTACACTGCACATGTTAAAAAGGTTCAATGGTATGAAAATCATAGCTTAATAAAGTTATTTTATAAAAAGAGCCAACAAAGAAGCTATATAGAAATAAAACAAATACAATGAAGAAGCTACGTGCAAATTCAAAAAAAACAGCTCTGGCAAACCACACTAAAAATCTGCCAGAACCTGACAAGAGGCCCCAGGACCCCGAGAAGACATGTTTTCTCTGGCCTCTCAGTTACAATAGGCTGTGGTCCTAACCCCATTTTGCTTGGATCATAGTGAAGCGACTCATTCGGGATTTTCTGCTCACCTTCGTGAGCCCGGTAGAAAGTCCAGCAGACTCATGTCCTACCATGTAATCACTTAGCTGTCACTGTGACAACTCCACGCACGGCCTCTCCTGGCCATGCCCCACCCTCCAAGAGGCCACACAGGTCTGGACCAGGATGTGGGACCTAAGCTGAGAGCTTAGGCCAACCCATGGGCTGGCCAGCGGCCTAGGGCTGTGGTCAGCAACATGCCATAAGTTGAAACCACCCGATTCCCGCTCTTCGGATCTGATTTGTAATATACGTACAATTTACTACTTTAGCCATTTTTAGACGTACAATTTGGTGGCATTAAGTACATTCACAGTGTTATGAACCTGTCACCACCATCCGTTTCCTGAATGTTTTCATCTTCCCTAGCTAAACCTTGTCCCGATTAAACAATAATCTCAGCCAGGCGCCGTGGCTCATGCCTGTAATCTCAGGGCTTTGGGAGGCCGAGGCGGGCGGATCACCTGTGGCCAGGAGTTTGAGACCAGCCTGGCTAACATGGTGAAACCCCGTCTCTACTAAAAAAAAAAAAAAACACAAAAATTAGCCAGGCATGGTGGCGCATGCACATAGTCCCAGCTACTCAGGAGGCTGAGGCAGGAGAATCACTCGAATCCCAGGTGGTGGGGGTTGCAGTGAGCCGAGATTGCACCACTGGACTCCAGCCTGGGAGATAGAGTGAGACTCTGTCTCAAGAAAAACAAAACAAAACAAAAAACAATAATCTCCTGTCTCCTAGCCCCTGGCAACCATCCCCTAGCCCTGGCAACCACCATCCCATTTTGTTTCTCTATGAGTTTGACCACTCCAGGTACTTCATATAAGTGGAATCATATACTGCATTTGTCCTTTTGTGTTTGGCTTCTTTCACATAGCATAACGTCCTCAAGGTTCATCCACGTGATGACAAGAATCAGAATGGCATCCGTTACATGAACATACCACATTTTGTTTATCCACTTATCTGTAGACGGACATTTGGCTTTTCACCTTTTACCTACCATGAACACTGCTGCTACGAATACGAGTGTGAAAATATTAAGTCCCTGCTTTCGATTCTTTTAGGTACATACCCAGAAGTGGAATTGCTGGATCCTACAGTAATTCTGTGTTTAATTGTTTGAGGAACTGCCATCCCATCATTCTGGGGATTTTTAACAGGAAAACAGAAATAACCAGGCAGATGGCAGTAGGTGCTGATGCTGAAAATCTGCCTCCTAAGAAGCTGGGAGGAAAGGCGGCAGGGCCGGGATGGGTGCTGGCAAGACAAAGCGGTAAAGAAGCAGAGTGTGAAGCAGCAGGAGCCAGGCGTGGAGAAGGATCTGCAGCGCGCCGGAAGTGGAAGCTCGGGTGGTAGCAAGAAAAGCGAGAGGCAGACGTGGAACACAGCTAGGGCTCGGGAATGGGGGAGCACTGGAGAACACGCTCCCTCATCTCTCCTTCCTGTGAACTTGCTCAAGGACACTTCTGCCTCCCCCAGCTCCCATGTAGGTCAGCTTCTCCCAGGTGTCCACCAACACCTACCTGTCTTTACCACAAATCCCCAATATCTTAAGATAGCTTGCATTCATCTTTGCTCCTTTAACTGAATTAGCCAATGGTTCGCTTCTTTGAGTCCATTTCCTTATCTAAAAAATGGCAACAATTATTCCTGCCTTCCCTCACAGGGTGGCTTGGGACCTGTGGTGGTGCCACCACACACAGAGACCACGCGTGGTGGTGGGTGCCTATAGCTACTCGGGAGGCTGAGGCAGGAGAATGGTGTGAACCTGGGAGGCGGAGCTTGCAGTGAGCTGAGATCATCCCACTGTACTCCAGCCTGGGCGACACAGTGAGACTCTGTCTCAAAAAAAAAAAAAAAAAAAAAAAAAAAAAGAGACCATGCATGTTAATAATACCTTGGACATCATAAAATGCTATGCATGGTAGTTACCATGACTTTTACCCGGGCAGTTGTATCTCTGAGGCTTACATAAGCCCAAGCCATGTGTCTATACTTGGTAAGTATCCACTTACCGGATGTTGTTGTGATTGGCCTTGGGCAACTTTTCACAAGCATTCCATAGAGCCTGAAGCTTCTTGTCTTGCTCCTGGACACTGAGAAATTGATAGGAAAGGTCATTGGTTGAGCACGAATCAATAAAGTCTCATCGGAAATCATATTAACCAATCATTGTAATATTTGATACCAACCACTGTAACTGACCATATCAGCAAGCTAGTATTTAAAAATTTGGTTGTTATTATTTACCCCTCTATGTTCTCCTTCTGTCTTGTCCTGTGCGATTTTAACAGTGCTTCCTCCACACACCTCAGAGGCCCCAAGTGAATATGTGCCAGAGCCAGAGACCTGCTCTGGTGTGGCAGGGCTATGGGGCTGCAGGAGGACACAGATGCCAGTCAGGGAGCTCAGCCCATGGGCTATTCTGAGCCTGTATTCTGCATGACTCCAGCGTGGAAACAGATCATGTAAATGGCTTGCAAGGATGTGTCCTTTTTGAGTTTCCGGCTATCTTGCACTGTCCTGGTAATCCCTAACTTCAGCCCTTGCTTCCCTGGCTCCTCCTGTGGCCCCCGGATGTCCCATCTTATGGCAGATCTGTCTGTGTCCTGCTGAGTTGGCCTGAAGTGCAATGTCTTATTAAGGTTAGTGTTGGCCTCTGATGAAACTCAGCTTCATCAGAGGTTCATAGGTTATCAACCCAATAGCCTTGGGAGCTTTGAATCACAGAACCCAGCCCAATTCAATCGAAGTCTCTGAAAAAAGGGTTCACGCATTAGTATCTTTAAAAAGCTTCCCAGGACATAATGATGCACACAGAGGGTTGGAAATCACTGTTCTAGGCAAAATTACTTGGTTTAGATGAAGTGATCTTAGGTACTACATGCATGTCATCCAGTGGTAGAAACAGGTTCTTGTTTTTCCCTGGTTCAAAGACACTGACCTCTTTGAGTCATCTGGATCATTTCTATTTCTTAATGGAGACCCACATTTGCAAATGAAGTGGGAACAGGAGTATCTCTGGATAGGTCCTGAAGCACTAAGCTATCCTGCCTTTATCTAACTGTATATCATCAAGATCACTTATATATCCAATAAATAATAAGAGTGACAGTTTCCATCAAAGGATATGTTCTCACTTGGCTTCATCCCTAGGACCACATTCTTGTCCTAGAGAGGCAAAAAGTGCTGTGGTTAAGTGTAAAGGCCCTGAAACCGGACTCCTTGGATTCAAGTTCCCCTTCTGCCACTTATTAGCCAGCAGGTAACCTGTAGTTACATACCTGTTCAATACCTCAAATTCCTCAAATGTAAAATAGGAGAAACAGCACACCCCACTTCATAGGGTTCTTGTCAAAATTACAGGAGTTAAAAACACACAATGAGCTTAAAACAATGTCAAGTCTCTAATAAGCACTCAATAAATGGTAACGTTGTAATTATTAATGTCATGAAACCCAGCACTCCCTTTTCACAATGAGATAAAAGAGAACCATATATTCAGCCAGCCTTTTGAAGTGCATAATCTCCATTCTGCTTTGGAAATAAAATACCATTATGCAACTTGATTGGAGTTGGCTTTTCTCACTCTACACATTTGAGCCTGGCTTCCCTTCCAGGTCAGGTGGGTCTCTTTCAGGCCCAGTTCTTCAAAAAGTAGAAGGAGCAGCATCAGACACATATTTCACTGTTGTTCCTGACAGGTAATGAGAAACAACACCTGTTCCTCATGGTGTTGTTGAGAAACACACCAACAACTAAATCCTATGACTAGAAATCTCTAGAAATCATTTCCTTTCACAGGCCCCTGGCTAAGGTGGCTATTTGCTCTAGTCCTGCTCTCAGAAAACATTCTTCTCCCTCCTTCATCTCCCACCTAGACTATCTCTACCCTCGTCTCCATCATCTTTGTGCTGGTAGCAATTCTCCCACCCTGCTGTTGTGTGGGGGTCCATTCGCTCAGTAAAAGTACATTCCTCCAAACAATACTATTTACTTAAGACAGCTCTTACCTATGCCCAAAAGAACATACAATGCCATCCTAATGCACGCATAACCGAGGAAATAAGCCAGGACTCAAAAACCATGCGTGGGAGCCAGAGCATGCATCAGGGCTGGGCTAGTGGCTTTGCCTGCTCCATGCAGCTGTACTCTTCCCGACACACTGCTACAGCCCTGCGCCTGGCTTTGGGCTGCGGCCTCTCCCTTGGGCGCATCTTCAGGAGGGGAGAGAGAGGCTGCTGCTGCCCACGTGTCATGACACGTGACCTCCCTTTAAGTTCATTATTACTTATTGTTAAAATATATTCAGCTATTATAGATGAGGGTAAAGACTCTATGCCCACTCACTTGTCCTACTTTTCTGGCCAGGAGGAATCACTGCTGTCAGCCTACGTGAGCCCTTCCAGAACTTTCTTTTATACACTTACACACAAATATAGGTCCTTTTAAAATTCTATTGTTTTAAGTGTGCTGGGTGTTTGTTTTCGTTTTTATAACAATAGAATGTCACAGGAGTCCTTGTTAACTTCCTTTCATTATCTATTTATGTTAGCATGAATAACTCTACCTATTTTTTAATTGTTCCAGAGTGTGCGATGGTACAGACACTCCACAGTTTACTTAGCCACTTCCCAACCCCCTTCTCCAATGAATCTTTAGTGACTTCTAGGCTTCTGCTATCTCAGATAATGCTACCATCAATATCCCTGGACCTGCCTCCTTGGGCAAATGTATAAGCACTCCTTCATGGCAGAGATCAAGAAACGGGGTTGCGAGATCATAGGTTACATGCTTCTATAATTTCAGCACATACTCCCAAATAAACTGTAACTCACAGGACATTCCAAAACAAGGGGTACTCACTTGGAAGCCTGGATCCACTCATCATAGAGTTCAAAGGTCATAAGAGGTTCTGGCAACTCTCGGAGGTAAGATTTCAAAGCTCCTAGGCATGAATGAAATATTGGTTGTGAACTGTTATGATGTGGCAGAGGCAAGACCCACCAGCCAGCACTGCCTATGTGGGTTCCATCTGGGGATGGGCCTCCTGACCACCATGTCAACAGCAAATGGTAGCTTCCTATGGAAATGGGTATGAGGCTCTGACAGGGGACCTGGCCCCTCTTTCTTCCCACAATTACCTCGTCTTCCCTTGGCATGCGGGGAGGCCTTCCTTCAAGGGGCCAGAGCACCCAGCCCTGAAACTGGGCACTGAGTGGACACATCTGAAGTGCTTTGGGCAGCCACTGACTTGAGTGTCCTGGACTTGTAGCCACACAGCCTCCCCTCTACCCCTTCCCTGTGAGCCTCCATGGCACACAGGAGCGCTGAGAGGTGCCCACCTGCAATTGCGTGGGGGTCTGCCGAGTACTCCTGCACATCCACCACGCAGCAGTCCAGGGCCGCTTTCAGCTTCTTCAGTTTGGAGGCAGAGGGGGCTACTCGGAAGAGTCCCTACCAACAGGACAGAGGGTCAGCGCACAGCAACTCCAAGGTACAACATCAAAGCGCAGAGACCCCGCAACTGCCTGCTTCTTTTCTCCAAAACCTCTTACATGCATTTGCCCAACACCATCTCCCAATCCCCCAGTTGCCTGCTTTCTCAATGTCTCCCTCTTGGCACATAAGCAACTTCAGAGCAGGAACTGGCTTTACCCACTGTTGTGTCCCCACAGCCTCAGGCAGGGGTGGCTCATCACACTGGCTCAGTAACTATTTACTGGATAAATGAATCTTGGGCACTTAGACATCTTGTTCTTGTACGTGTAAGATAAATCTTGGAGAAGAATTCGACTAAGACCTGGTCAGTCTGGTAAGTTGAATGTGAGGAGGTCTACAGGGGGTGTGTGTGTGTGTGTGTGTGTGTGTGTATGTGTGTTGGGAGGAACCAGGGCTATACTTTTTATTTTTGTTTATTTGTTTTTTAGACAGAGTCTGGCTCGGTTGCCTGGGCTGGAGTGCAGCGGCCCGATCTTGACTCAGTGCAACCTCTGCCTCCCGGGTTCAAGCAATTCTCGTGTTCAGTCTCCCAAGTAGCTGGGATTACAGGCACCCGCCACCATGTCCAGCTAATTTTTTGTATTTTTAGAAGAGATGGGGTTTCGCCATGTTGGCCAGGCTGGTCTTGAACTCCTGACCTCAAGTGATCCACCTGCCTCAGCCTCCCAAAGTGCTGGGATTACAGGCGTGAGCCACAGCACCCGGCCTACACTTTTAGAATCAAATAAAGTCTATGCCTTCAGGGGAAGGGCAGACTGGGTGGGGTGGTTTGTGAGGTAGCCTCCTTCCATTCCTCTGCATTCCGTTCTCAAGAGTTATTTTCAAATCACTGCCACTTCTTCCAAGTGAACCACTGCACCTTAGAGAGTGAAAGGGAGCTATGAAGCGAAAGAGAAGAGGAGAGGGCTGTGTGGAAGAGAAGATGAATGCAGGTCAGAGTTGGAAAGAAACCTCCACGTCACAGGTAAGTGACACACGGGTTAAAGACCTATCGGTTTCTGTTTCATCTTAGTTCCTTGCATTCTGTAATGCAACCCACAGGCTGATAAACAAGCAGGCAGAACAGTCCTTACTCCTTTAATCTTTTATGGCCATATAGACTTCCAATTTCCTTTAGAAAAAGTGTTCCTACTCTGGAATATCAAGCTTATGCCTTGCTAGGATCACTAACTCCCTTCTCAATATAGGGTACATCAGATACACACATGTGCAAAGCTCTTTGGGCATATATGTGAGGAAGCTACATGAACATGTTTGGATGAGTGTATCAGTAAGGCTGCTACGACAAAGACAGCCAACTGCAGAATACAGGAAAGGAGTCACTCAGATCTTCATAAAACCATGCCCTTGCCATGCAAGAAGAGCCAATAGGATTTGGTGATGGAAAATGCCAAAGAGAAGGAAACAGAGCTGTCACAGATAAGCCTTTAGATTTTTGATTGTGTAACTGAGCAAAGCATAAAAACTAGGTGGAGGAGGGGATTGTTATATTAGCTAATGAGTCCTGTTTCGGGGGTGTTAGAGGAAAGTGTGCATGGAAATGTTGAAGGATGGCAGTGAGCACGAGTGAAGCCTTTTCACAGGGGGAGTCCTCACTGAGGTTGAGGAGCACCTCTAGCAGGGCAGGGTGGGGACCATGGTGCCAAACAGAGGACCCTGATGCCCCTAGGTCAGAGGCCAGAGGGGACCATGGTGCTAAACAGAGAACCCTGATGCCCCTGTGGTCAGAGGCCAGAGGGAACCAGAGGGCCAAAGGAACTAGAAGTTTCGAGGATGGTTACATTAGGAACACCAGGCAGCACTGTGGCCAAGGAGGCTGGCAGTAAGTCATCGGATTTGGCAATTTGGGGGTTGCTGGGGATCCCGGAGGACAGTTTTAGCCCAGTGACAGGGGCGAAGCAACACCAGAGGAAGATCTGTAGGTGGTGGCAAAGATGCAGGAGCTGCAAATGTTGAGAGCTATTTTAAGAAATTGGATAGCATAAAAAACAAAACCAAAGAGATTGGGAAGACATATGAGGCTGTGGTTGTGTTGAAAAGAGATATATTGTTTTAGGCTAGGGGAAACTTGAACCTATTTGTTACTAAAAGTAAAGAGCTGACACAAAACAGGGAAAAAATGCAAGTGACAGAGCGAGGTCTGTTGAGGAATGGAGTAGCCCAGAAAGGGCAGAGACGGGAGCTGGGAGATGTCAAAGGTACTGCTCTTCAAAAACCAGTTTATGTTGATTAGATATTTGATGATTTTAATAGGTTACTGTTACTTTTTGGGGAATATTAATACTTTTTTTTTTTAGATAGAGTCTCACTCTGTTGCCCAGGCTGGAGTGCAGTGGCGTGATCTCGGCTCATTGCAACCTCCGCTTCCCCAGTTCAAGCCATTCTCCTGCCTCAGCCTCCTGAGTAGCTGGGATTACAGATGCGTGTGCCACTATGCCCAGCTAATTTTTGTATTTTTAGTAGAGACGGGGTTTCACCATGTTGGCCAGGCTGGTCTCGAATTCCTAACCTCAGGTGATCTGCCCTCCTCAGCCTCCCAAAGTGTTGGGATTAGAGGTGTGAGCCACCAAGCCCAGCCTATTATATTTTTTAACTAATTTCTTTTTTTTTTTTTTTAGAGAGCATCTCACTATGTTGCCCAGGCTGGTCTTGAACTCCTGGGCTCAAGCGATCCTCCCACCTCAGCCTCCCAAACTGCTGGGATTACAGGTGTGAACTACTGTGCTCAGCCAAAAATTATATTTCAAAACATCCGCTATCTTACAGAGATACATACTTAAGTATTATAAATGAAATGATATAATGTCTAGGTTGTACTTCAAAATATCCAAGGCAGGGGTTTGGGGGCAGGAAATGGAGGCAGAAACGTAACAAGAATGCCCATAAACTGAGTGGTAAGGCTCATTATGTTATCTTTATGTGTTTATGGTTTTCCATAATTTTTTTAAAAATTTCAGGGAAAGAAAAGGTCCAGTTCATCTTCTTCCATGAAACTCTCTCTCAGGGATGGTAGAGACCTTTTCGGTTTTAAATTGAGGCCCAGTGCGGTGGCTCACGCCTATAATCTCAGCACTTTGGGAGGCCGAGGTGGACGGATTACCTGAGGTCAGGAGTTCAAGACCAGCCTGGCCAGCATGCTGAAATTCCATTACAGGCTCTGGGAGCCTGTAATCCCAGTTACTTGGGAGGCTGAAGTAGGAGAATCGCTTGAACCTGGAAGGCAGAGGTTGCAGTGAGCCAAGATCGCACCACTGCACTCCAGCCTGGGCAACAGAGCAAGACCCTGTCTCATAAGCTAAGCTAAGCTAAGCTAAAAAATTTGATAACAAACATGCAAATGCCTGGCATATAAAATGTGTTAAAAATACACATTTATTCCCATTCCTTTTCGAATTTCCAGCATCTAGAACAGGCTGGCCTACAGGAAGCATGCCACATACACCCGCATGCTCACTGGCTTCCTTCTCATCCATAGCCCTTACTTTGTCCCATATAACTTAGTGCTCCCTTAGAGACTTACAGACTGTTCTGGATGAATTAGGCTTAACTGAGAGATGCTAGATTCATCTCCGGCAATAAGTTTATAAGTCTCCTATCTCACTATTTCATACTTTGCTCAATAAAACACGTACCGCATGCCCTAAATAAATACTGATTGGCTAATCAGATCAAAGGAAGACGGAGTAAAGATATTAAAATAGTCTATGGAAGAAACCAAAGATGAGCTCTATCTCCCAGGAAATGATTTACACAGCAATAAAACAACACTTATCAAGAACTTCTTGGGTCAGGTGCAGTGGCTCATGCCTGTAATCCCAGCACTTTGGGAGGCGGAGGTGGGCAGATCACTTGAGGTCAGGAGTTCAAGACTAGCCTGGCCAACATATTGAAACCTCGTCTCTACTAAAAATACAAAAATTAGCCAGGCATGGTGGCACATGCCTGTAAACTCAGCTACTCTGAGGCTGAGGCAGGAGAATCGCTTGAACCCAGGAGGCGGAGGTTGCAGTGAGCCAAGATCCTGCAACTGCACTCCAGCCTGGGTGACAGAGTGAGACTCCATCTCAAAAAGAAAAAAAAAAATTTCTCATAGACATTTTTTACATGTGGCTCTTAAAAAGTACTTTCTAATATATCTATCAATCATATTTTCAGGATCTCTATAAGAGTTGTGATAAAAAAGTTTAAGAGCCTTAACCTTTAAAATTACCTAAAATTAGGTAACTTATTAAGCAAGAGGAAGAGGCAGAAGAAGAGAAGGAAGATGAAGAGGAGGAGAAAGGAGAAGGAGTAGTAATAGCAGCAGGGTCGGGCGCAGTGGCTCACGCCTGTAATCCCAGCACTTTGGGAGGCCATGGCAGGTGGATCACAAGGTCAAGGGATCGAGACCATCCTGGCCAACATGGTGAAACCCCATTGCTACTAAAAAAAAAAAAAAAAAATTAGCTGGGCGTGGTGGCACACGCCTGTAGTCCCAGCTACTTGGGAGGCTGAGGCAGGAGAATCACTTGAACCCAGGAGGCAGAGGTTGCAGTGAACCAAGATCGCGCCACTGCACTCCAGCCTTGTGCCACAGCAAGACTCTGTCTCAAAAGAAAAAAAAAAAATAGCAGAATGCCCAAATTATCCAAACATGTTAAACCAGGGGAAAGAATGACTAGAATATGGCCATCCGTTCCTCATGGCCATCACAATTCTCTCTTCTTGTCAAATGAAGGCTCACGGTAAAAGGCAGGATCAATTTGTGTTCTGCAGAAGATGGGTCTGAGCCACTGTCTTAAGCCATTTGGATTCGTGGGGGCCGGAGTGGAGATGGTACAGGAGAGAGGATCCTGTAAGCTCTGTCTCGTGGAAGAGGAGACCTGCCCGGGGCGGCGTGTGGCTGTGCTCAGACCTACCTCCTCCTGCATCCCACACTCAAGCAGCATGGTCACACACGCCTCGATGGGGAAGGCGATCTCCCGGCCGCTGATGGTGAGGTGCTCCTCCAGCGGCTTCCCGAAGGAAGGCTTCTCTACCCAGGCCTCTGAGGGGAGGAGTGAGAAAGAGTCAGTCAGCTGTTCGCCAAGTTCACTCATGCTGGAATCTCGCTTTCCTTTGTTGTCCAGATTCTCCTAAGATTACCAAAGAGAGGGAGGCCCAATTGAGCCTCCATTCTGTGGTTTTAAGGATGACAGGAGGACTGGAGGAGGGGGTGGGGGATGGCCAGCCAATTGCGTCCAGGGCCACTGGGGTTAATGTTCTATGGGCACCCCTACGCACCCCCGACTCAAGGCACCAGTTTGGAAGTAAGTCCAAAAGGCTCATCTACAGGTGATGCTGTTGGGCAGAGTGTTAGGGCCAACGACATACAAGGAATTCATCTCATCCGGGAAGGCAAGCAGGCACCCCGGCCCTCCCTTCTCCAGGGAAGGCCTGCACTTACCCTGTTGTGCTTTGATCTGAGGCAATACAGCCTGCAATAGTGTCAGGGACTTCCTGTGGTATTCAGCTTGCACTTCTATTAGCTGAGAAGACACAAGGCAAGCATCACCCTTAGTGAGGGGCAAGGACACAGGCTGCCATGGCATGCAAAGCATTTTGCAGAAAGGTGCTTCCACATGCGGAAGGAGGTAGTCACCCATTCCCTCCTCCAATCTACCTAAAATAACGAGCATGCTTCCTCTTTAGCCTCCATAACAACAAAGTCACTACAAGTGGAAACTTGGGAAGCAGGAGAACCAGACAGGAATAGGGGGAGCTCTTCAGAGCTGGAACGTGGCTTAGAGAGCTTGATTTTATCACCACCCTTCTTCCTCTGGCAACCCATCCTCAGTGCAAAAGGCAACAAAGAAAGGGGTAACTGTAGCAAGTGGAAATGGAAAACACATTTAGAAATACATTTACTGAGTCAGGTGTGATGGCTCATGCCTGTAATCCCAGCTACTCAGGAGACTGAGGCTGGAGGATCACTTGAGCCCAGGAATTCAAGACCAGCTTGGGCAACATAGCAAGACCCCATCTCTTAAAATAGAAACAAATTTGTTGAAATAAATATGAAAAATAATTTACTTATGAGATATGTACGACTTAAATGTCATTAACTTGTATACATCTTTTGTTTCTGCAAAGTTAGTCTAACATATAACTGATCAGAAAACTTGTGGCTTGATCTGCAATCTTCTTCAAATACCCTGGAGGTGGGATTGCTTTGGTGAAAATGATGCAGTCCAAAGAACAAATTCCTTCAAAGTATTCTATTTTGACCATCCCATTAATTAAAAGTGGCCAACATGTTGATAAGAGCAGATGAAACTCATAAACACTAGTTACTTCATTTGTTTACTGACTCCTCCTATCCCTTCCCCAAAACTGGGCATGTATAAGGAAAACAGAGGAAATTAATCTGCTTGAAGGCTTGTTGTGGAGGGTGGACACTAATATCCCTAAGTAAAATTAAAGTAAAACTAATACGAACTTTTTTAAAAATCAGAATATTGAAATAAATGGTATCCGAATGACAATTAGGCTGTCTAGTAAAGCTTGGAATGTCAATGAGGTCATCAGTAAAACTCTAACGTCTTTGAGTTTCTAAAATTAAATATTACCTTCATGAATACAACCAATGGAATACACCTGAAAAAATTCTACCACTTTAAAATAAACTTTCCACCAGGGACGGTGGCTCACGCCTATAATCCCAGCACTTTGGGAGGCTGAGGTGAGGTAGCTCACGAGGTCAGGAGTTCCAGACCAGCCTGGCCAACATAGTGAAACCACAACTCTACTAAAAATACAAAAATTAGCTGGGCATGGCGGCATGCGCCTGTAGTCCCAGCTAGTCAGGAGGCTGAGGCAGGAGAATCATCTTAACCCAGGAGGTGGAGGTTGTGGTGAGCTGAGATCACGCCACTGCACTCCAGCCTGGGCAACAGAGCGAGACTCCATCTCAAAAAATAAAAATAAATAAATTAATTAATTAAACTTTCCAAGTTGGAAGTAATGCATATCAACTCCTTTTCCAGTAGAAGGGGCTTCTCTGCATTCTGAACCACTAATGAAATGTTGGAAAATTTCTAACAGCCCACAGTTGTTTGACCATACTTATCAAAGCATTTTAAACTTTGCAGAATTTCTTGATTTTCCTCTCCTTACCTTCCTTCTTTATCATTCCTTTCCTTCCCCGATTATAAATCAAGAGCTTTTAGGTCTTAGCCTTTTATTCCCAACTTTAAAGGCAGGTGAGCATAACTGATTTTTTTTTATTTGAACTTTTTTCTCTTTCGAAGTTTTTTGACTTGCTTTGCATTTACCCTGGTAAACAACCTGAGTCTTAATTATTTGTACCAGTTTATTCAAGTTTAGATGACTCTGATCCTGTTTCTTACTGTCTAAATCACTTTGATTGGTGAGAGGCAGGCCAACAGGCCACATCAATCATCATATACCTATCAGTCACTGCCTTTCATAAAATCTAGATTAAAAAAGAAAATGTGCAGGGGGAAGGAATTGCCTTCCTATTTTTCTCAAGCCCCTTGTTAGCACAGACCACAGTTTCTTAATGTCAGCCCTACTGACATTTTGGACTGGATAATTCATTGGTGTGGGGGCTGTCTTGTGCACTGCAGGATATTTACAAGCATCTCTGGCCTCTGCCCTCTAAATGCCAGTAGCACCTCCCTCCACAACTGTGACAATCAAAAATGTCTCCAGATATTGCCAACTGCCCACCAAGAGAAGGAACAAAATTATTCCTGGCTGAGAATCAGTGGACTGAGTTGCAATAATCCCGAGGGATGGGATTGAGTTTTATTCTAAGGTTTTTGGAGAAATCCATATCAGGAGCATGGCAGGATTTATTTCACTAGTAAAATGGTCAAAGCTCCCACCTTTTTCTATGATGTGATCAATTAAGGGACTCTTAATTCCATGCCCACATTCCCTTCTCCTACGAACAGCCTTTAAGCAATCTCACCTTTCTGGGCACTTACCGTTTGAAAGTAGTTTGCATAGTCAATTTCTTTGGCCACAAAACTGTACATATCAGCTGAGAGCTGGTCCTGTGCAAGGTAAAATATACAACCAAGGTAAAACATAAACCAATGGAGAGTGGCTAATGCATAAGTCAACACATCACGTGAGAAAGAGCCTTAAACACTGCTTAATCTCCTTTTTAATACTTGATATGATACAAACTTTCCATGGGCATTTGCATATTTGTCAACCACAACTCTGAAAAATGCGTAAGTTTGAAAAGAACACCTATGTCAGTCATTTCCCCAGAGATTTTGACATTTGGACCACAGTTAAAGTCAAAGTTGGTGTAGAGGAGTGATGTGCAAATTAGTTCCATCCATCTCTACAGCTTGTGCCCCTATTCTGAAGCAAGCTCCAAGCACACATTGTGCTATTGCTCTTTTGATAATGCCATTTCTTCTCTTTGATCATTCCACTGGTCTGCTTCCCTTCATTCTCAATACTGACTCAACACTGATTGGTTGATCACAAGCATATGGGAAAGAGATGGAAATGCACCAATTTGGAGGAAGCTTGGATAAGACAGGTGCACAGGGAAAGGATTGCTGACTCAAAACTTGGCAAAATCTGGACTCATGCAAAACTGCACACAGATCTAATGGTGTTATCAATCCTTCACTATATTCAGTTGTCCATGAGATTGGGTGACCCAATGCTGCATTGAAATCTGGAATGTTTTGTCCTCCAAGGAGAACAGCTTTCAGTTCTATGGAATCACTCATAGCCTGGCATAATAGAAGTACATTTTGAGCAGAATGTAGACTCTGTCATTAACCATATTTTTGAGCATGTCACTTATCCGAACTTGCTTGCTCAAGTCATACGATCTCTAAGGTTCCTCCCTTGTGCAGCTGCTCTAGGCTGCAGATCCTTAGAAGAGGCACTCAGTTGAGGAGAGAAGAGCCTACGTGTTCAGGTTGGGGCAAACATGGCAACAGCACAAGAAAGCTGACCTAGATGCTGAACTAATGAAAGCAGGTAACTATATGCTTCAGGAAGAGGCTCTTCCATGAAACCTCAAGCAATCTGCACCAACCCCATAACCCTCAGTCTCTCTAGCTGCTAATTAAGCCTATTCTCATTAAGAACACTGGGATTTGCAGGAGCAATATGTTTCATTTTCAGTATCTGTGACAGGCAAGCAATTGCTGAGAACATCATTCAAGAGTTCTTGTACACAAGGCAACAGAACAGACTCACAGAGTGAAAAGAGGAAGTGTGTTCTCCAGAGAGCTTGAAGTACAGATTAGACAATGTTATGCTTGGTCCAGTTTCACAGAATAAAGAAAGAGTAAAAGAAGTTAAGATTCATTGGCCGGGCGTGGTGGCTCACGCCTGTAATCCCAGCACTTTGGGAGGCCGAGGCAGGTGGATCACGAGGTCAGGAGATCGAGACCATCCTGGCTAACACGGTGAAACCCCGTCTCTACTAAAAAATACAAAAAATTAGCCAGGCATGGTGGTGGGCGCCTGTAGTCCCAGCTACTCTGGAGGCTGAAGCAGGAGAATGGCGTGAACCCAGGAAGCGGAGCTTGCGGTGAGCTGAGATCACAACACTCCACTCCAGCCTGGGCAACAGAGAGAGACTCTGTCTCAAAATAAAAAAAAAATAAAAAATAAAGAAGTTAACATTCACTGGGTCTAGATGCCAGGCACAATGTTACAAGGAATTCTCCTCTAACTCTCTTAGGTTTAGTATTGAATTTCCAATTTCAGATCCATAGGTAGCAAGAGTTCAAGGATCTTATCTGTCTGTTACCCACTGTCTCAAAGTGTTTAGCACAGTAGGGGCGCCACAACTGTTTGCTGAATGAACAGATGAAAAAAAAAATCAAGGCTCAAGGATGGTAAATTTCCCAAAGAATAATAAAATGGGCTCAAACATCACCTCAGCTCCATTTCACCTGAGGTCCCTTAAATGAATGCTTTTGTAGGCTGCCAAGGTGGGAATCAACCCTGTCTGTCTTCCCCGCAGCAGCTTTGCTCAGGAGATATCCATCACCAGCCAGGCAGCTGGAGGAGGACATTTCAAGTCAGAGAAAAACAAAGAGTTAAGTGATACAAATGGCTCAGTAGACAGAGGAAAGGAAAGAAGGCCCTGAAGGACTAAACGTTGCATCAAATACACCTTCAACATCTCGGCATCTGTGCTTCTCTAACAGATGACCCTACAAAAATCTATATGTGCCCTCAGGAAGAAGAAAGGATTTTTAAAGGCATGATTGGATTACTGTGTTGTTAAGCTAACAATATGGATTCCAAAAAAATCACACTTCAAGTAAGGAAACTATAAATCAAATTCTCATTTATCTAAATCATTAGCAAATTTTCTTTATAAAGGTAAAAAACCCTTTCATAATTAATCAACAGAATTTAATGCATTTTGAAAAATCCTGTTTTCTGATTTTACAACTAATCCACACTCAGAAAAATATAAAAGTAACCAAATTAACCTGTAATCCCACCAGGCAGCTGTTTTTTTTTTTTTTTTTTTTTAATATATAGCTAACCAAATGTCCCAGAACTGTTCATGAATTGAGCAGACTGCTCTATGGTATGAAAATGTCTTATTTATCAGATGAAATCACATTGTATTTGGATTTTCTTCATGCTGGAATGTCTTTTTTTTACTGATCTATATATTTCTGAAATAGTTCCTAAGTTTTAATCATGTGACTGTATAATGTATTTTAAGAACTAGTAATTCAAAGCTCTAGTAATTCTTCCATATTAACTTTTGAAATCTTTTTTCATTCTTTGAAAAATTTACTACAATTATATCTACTTACTACAGTATTAATCAAATTAATTCTGGGAAATTCAAAATGTTTATAATATTAACTCTTCTCATCTAGAAACAACTCTCAATTTTATAATGTCTTCTTGTCATTATATTGTCAAAGATTGTCTTCTTGTCAAATCTTGTTAGCAATATTTTACAATTCATGAGTTTGTGGTAGAATAGCTCATGATTTTATGGCAGAATTTTTTTTTTTTCTGTCACCCAGGCTGGAGTGCAGTGGCACAATCTTGGCTCACTGCAACCTCCGCCTTCCAGGTTCAAGCGATTCTCCTGCCTCAGCCTCCTGAGCTGGGACTACAGGGACATGCCACCACACCCACCTAATTTCTGTATTTTTAGAAGAGACAAGGTTTCACCATATTGGTCAGGCTAGTCTCAAACTCCTGACCTCAGGCAATCCGCCCACCTCGGCCTCCCAAAGTGCTGGGATTACAGGTGTGAGCCACCACGCCTGGCCAATGGTAGGATTTTAAATATTCTGTTGTTTAAAAAAGCCTCCAAGATATTTATAAATACTGGTCTTTTAAATAATTTTTCTTGGTGAAAATCACACCTTGATTTTTATTGTTGACTTCCAGTTTCTGGTCCAGCACGCAGGGGGCTTTGAAGTCAGTACTAACAGGTAAAAAGCTGAACAAACTGAAACTCAACAACTCTTAGATTTGGCAGTGAAGTGAGTTCACAGAGCAAACTGCTGCCCTGAAAATTGGAGACACAGGCAGGCAAACACAAGAATTATAACTCACTGAAGTAAAAAGATACTAGCAGAAACCTCTGCGGAAATCAGTACTGGGGCAGGAAAACCAGTACTGTAATTGACGAGTTGATGGAGGCCCAGCATGGACAAGTGTGAAAGTTAAATCCTCCAGGGGGACCCACTTTTACCTCTAGGAGCTCTAAGATCAGGTTCTCACAGGAAATTTCAGAGAAAAATCCTCTCCTGCTTTCAGCACCAGGAGGAAAAAAGTAGCCATTTTGAAATATACTAGAGTACTCCATTCTTAACAAGGTCTCCCCTAAAGAGAAATTATTTTACCCAAGCCTAAACTATTGGGCTTTTAAAATTGCCTAACCTACCAAGAGGAAGGGAAATACTCAACGCCAACCCCCTCTAGCAATTCTGTCCCACCTAAGAAAGGAATAATAATAATTAAAACAACAACAAAATGAGAGGCACTGGTGAAATTCACAGCCCTAAGGCACAGGCTCACCAAAAGAAAGAGACCGATCATAGCACTATGAATGCTTCCCCTTCTCCCACACCTTACCACATCACCAAAGAACTATTTACCGCTGTTTCTTTTATAATACATCATGTCCGCCTTTCAGCAAAAAATTACAAACACAGTAAAAGGCAAAAAACAGACTGAACAAGGATCAGAACCTTAATTGAAATGGCCAAAATCCAAAACACTGACAACACTAAATGCAGGCACAGATGTGGAGCAACAGGACCTCTCATATATTGCTGGTGGGAATACAGAGTATAGTCACTTTGGAAGACAGTATGACAGTTTCTTACAAAACTAAACATACTCTCACCATATGATCAGGCAATTATGCTCTTTGGCATTTGCCCAAATGAATGGAAAACGTATGTCACATAAAAGCTCGCATGTGGATGTTTACAGCATCTTTGTTCATAATTGCCCAAACTTGGCAGCCACAAAAATGTCCTTCAGTAGGCGAGTGGATAGACTGTGGTATATCCAGACAATGAAATATTATTCAGGGCTAAAAAGAAATGAGTTGTTAAGCCATGAAAAGACTTGAAGGAAACTGAAATGCATATTACTATGTGAAAGAAGCCAGTCTGGAAAGGCTACATACTGTAGGATTCCAGCTATATGACTTTCTGGAAAAGACAAAAGCATGTAAACAATAAAAAGATCAGTGGTTGTCAAGGGTCAGCAGGGAGGAATAAATAGGAGGAGCACAGAGGACTTGGGGGCAATGAAATTATTCTCTAGGATACTATAATGGTGGATACATTCACATACATTTGTCAAAGCCCCCAGAATATACAACGCTAGGAGTGAACCCCTAAGTAGACTATGAACTATGGAAGACAATGATGCACCAATACAGGTTCATCAATTGTAACAGACTCTACCACTGTGTGTGTGATGTTGACATTGGGGGAGGTTGTATGTTTGTGGGGGAATGACATATATGGGAGGCCTCTTTGTATTCCACTTAATTTTGCTGCAAAATTAGAAGTGCTCTAAAAAATAAAGTTTACTGATTTAAGAACGTTTGTTTAAAAAATCATTTCAAAGGTAAAGAAAAGTGCAAAATCTCTGTTTTTCAGAATCACAGATTTGAGATTGAGATCTTTGACGCAAGTCAATTTTATTTTTCTATGCTCTTCTGATTTGTTTGGCTTATTTTTCAGGATCCCCTATTATCTGTACATTGGTTTTCCATTATCTTCAACATCTGCCATCTTTTCTTTCATTCTTTTTGGCTCTCACCTTAACATTCTAGAAGAAATTCTCAAATTTTTCTCTACATCATTGGCTCACCTTTCTGCAGTGTCAATTCTGTTGTTTACTAAAATCGATTCCATACCTGCATTATTTTCCTACTTAAAAAATATTTCCTAATCTCATTCAGTTCCCTTTCCACTTTACTTGACAATTTTATCTCACCTTTATCTATTGGTGCCTAAAATCCATATTCCCTTGATTTTTTTTTTTTTTTTTTGAGATGGAGTCTCACTCTGTTGCCCCAGCTGGAGTGCAATGTTGCAATCTCAGCTCACTGCAACCTCCACCTCCCAGGTTCAAGTGATTCTCCTTATTTGGCTTCCCAAGTAGCTGGAATTATAGGTATGAGCCACCACACCCAGCTAATTTTTGTATTTTTAGTAGAGTATTTCACCATGTTGGTCAGGCTGGTCTTGAACTCCTAACCTCAGGTGATCCACCCGCCTCAGCTTCCCAAAGTGCTGGGATTACAGGCGTGAGCCACCGCACCCGGCCCATATGCCCTTTAATCGTATTTGAGGCACCAAGACATGTTGTCTGAAATTTATTGTTATCATAAGTAAATATTTTTTTAAAGTGTTCTCTTTTTGAGTATTTTATTATTATCTTCAACATAGAAAAGTAATCTATTCAGGATTATTTTTTGACCTTAAAATGGTAAGCATCTCTTTCCTGCCCCTCCTGCCTATTCTGATAGAATCTTCTCAGATCTAAGTTCTGTCCGATATAAATTTAGTGACTCAGAACCTGTGGGGCTGCTGCCACAGAGGATGCCTGCAGGCAACTTCAGAAATCATAATAAAAATTATTTGAATTTGTTGAAGCTAACAGACCAAAGAACATCTTTGTACATGATGTCTTCTGTCCTCCATGTTAGGTAAATGATCTGGCTGTGTCCAGCCTCCTTGTGGTACTCCTGCCTGACACGCCAAGGAAGGTCCCAGCCCAGGTTTACAATTGATAAACCTGTATTGGTGCATCATTGTCTTCCATAGTTCATAGTCTACTTAGGGGTTCACTCCTAGTGTTGTATATTCTAGGGGCTTTGACAAATGTATGTCAATGTATCCACCATTATAGTATCCTAAGAATAATTTCATTGCCCCCAAGTCCTCTGTGCTCCTCCTATTTATTCCTATCCTTCCACTGGTGTTTCAGAAAAATCCACACCAGTGGAAGCTCTGCCACCAGTTGGCTTCCCACTGGGTGTGGCCACGCTTGCTCGTAGGTTTGCTGGGCTAGATACTTTTGGCAGAAGGGATCTGAAGTAACGTAAATGCTTCCCAACCATTCCACAGCCTTCCAAATTAGAGAGTACTGATGGGTTCTTCCAGCATCTCATTTACTTCCCATGACATGGCACTAATTTTGTAGTAAGGAATTGTAGGTTCAGACTCAAGGTTGTCTTTTAGTCTAACAATATATGTGCTCTTCAGATTGTGGGGAGGACAAAATGAGCTAGACATCTGTCCTGCTGTTGTTGTCTTTCCCAGACTCAAGTTTGACTTTCAAAAAGGAAAGATTATACATTGAAGAAGAATAAAATGGAAAAGAAGAGATACAAACTAAAAGAGAGAGAGGACAAGGCTAAATGAGAAAAACAGAGACGTGGGTGAAGCAAGGATAAGAATTTATGTGATGACCAGGCACGGTGGCTCACGCCTGTAATCCCAGCACTTTGGGAGGCTGAGGCGGGTGGATCACGAGGTCAGGAGATCGACACCATCCTGGCTAACACGGTGAAACCCTGTCTCTACTAAAAATACAAAAATTAGCCGGGCATGGTGGCAGGCGCTTGTAATCCCAGCTACTCGGGAGGCTGAGGCAGGAGAATGGCATGAACCCGGGAGGCGGAGCTTGCAGTGAGCCGAGATCGTGCCACCACACTCCAGCCTGGGCGACAGAGCCAGACACCGTCTCAAAAAAAAAAAAAAAAAGAATTTATGTGATGAAATATGGGGAGATAAAAGCAGGAAAGGTGATGATGGAAAGTGTCACTTTACAGTGAAAATCCTAAGACTGCAGCCAGTCTCCTGTACGAAGCAAAATGAAACTGATACTGCTGTTGCCAAGTGGATTAGGTTTCTATTCACTGTCTTCTCTATTGTTACATCATTGCTCACAGGTCCTTCTTCACTTTCTCTCCTCTTATTGAAAAATTACCAACTACTTATACTTCCTTGGATGTATTGATTCAGGGGTCTTTTATAGAAAGCCTTGGGAAGAAAAGAGAAAGCAAGTACCACTTGTGAAGAGTTGGGCTTGTCTCATCTTGAAGTAGGGAGGAAGGCAGGGTTTGGATGGGCTCCTGAAAGAACACAGGAAGGCAGTGCTGCACCTGCAAGCCTGCCTGAGGGCTCAGTGGGTTTTGTCTTATGGAACACATCTTGACTTGGTTTTCCTGGTGGGCTAAATCTCTCTGGTTCCCAAAGATCTGGGGAGCTCTGCTTGGTCCTCAAAAAAGAGGAATCAGATTACTACTTCATTAACTTTCAGCCTACAAACTGGCACTTGGCTGGTTTGCCACAATATAGGAGATCCCAAACACTTGCCTGCTGAGGAAATATAAAACCATGAAGAGATCAGGGGAAATAACCCATTCGAGGAAACCCAGCAAGGGGAGGTAGGAAAACCAAGGTAGATATTTAAAACAGTTGGCAACCAACAAAGTAAAAATAAAAGAATAATCAGAAGAGAACTTTAACAAAACCAGCATTAAGCACTCTCAAGGAGGTCAGTTCAGCACACAAATGAGACTCCCTTGAGCACAATGTAGGGTTTCATGAACTGGATATGATCATTTCAAAGTTCATATAATAAAATGGATGTAACAGACTAGCCAAGATAACTACAAAAAAAGGAGTGGGGGCTACCTTACTGAAGATTATATTTGCTATGAAATCATTAGAATAGAAACTGTATACTATCGTCTCAGGTGCAGGCAAACAGATTAATGAAACATAGAGTCCAGAAATAAATTAGAGTAATTAGATAGTGAAATTTCACTTCAGGGGAAGGTGGCTTATTTAACAAATGATGCTGGCATAACTGACTATCTATCTGGAAAAAAAAAAAAGAAAGAAAGAAACCCCTACCTCACATCATATACAAAAATAAATTTCAGATGTATTAAAGTATATAAAATAGGTGTATAACATGAATTTAAAACATTAACATAAAATTAAAGAAGAAAAATCATTTAACTTTTGTGTAGAAGATGTCCAAAGGGCTACCCAGGATCTTTTCCCATGCAAAGGAAACACATTATTAAATTTTTAATGGCAGATGTCAACATAAAGTCAAAAGACAAATGGCAGACTGGAAAAGGTATCTGCAGCACAGCAGGCAGAAAAAAGTTTAAAACTGCTGATACATAGATAATTTTTATAAATTGATATTTTAGAAAAGCAATAGAAATACTGGGCCAATTGCCAATGCAAATAGGCAATTCACCAAATTAAGAATGTGTATAAATACATGAAGAATGTCCAATAAATACATGATACTCATCAACATTTATATTCAGGGAAATTAAGAACACAATAGTGAAGAGGTAGTTTTTCTTCCCTCACCAAATTGGCAAAAATTGAAAATAGGAGCAACATGCATTACGAGATGAAGAAAAATGTGCAATTTTATATATTGCTGGTTGAAATGTAAAATGCAATTTCCTTTTCAGAGAAGTAAACTGTCAATAGGTATGAAAATTTAAAAATGTATGCATAGACTCTGACCTAAAAATGTCACTTCTTGGAATCTATCCTATAGAAAAAAAATTACCAGGGTATAAGGATATACATATAAGTATATATTTATTGTATCATTTTTGGGAATGCCAAAAACTAAAACTAAAACACACCAGTTTGAACATCCATTAATAGGAAAATAGCTAAATAAATCATGATATGTGTGTGTGTGTGTGTGTGTGTGTGTGTGTGTGTGTGTATCCCTACTGTGGAATATCATGCAATTTATAAAAAAGACTAACGGCTGGGTGCGGTGGCTCATGCCTGTAATCCCAGCACTTTGGGAGGCTGAGGCAGGTGGATCATGAGGTCAGGAGATTGAGACCATCCTGGCTAACATGGTGAAACCCCGTCTCTACTAAAAAAATACAAAAAAATTAGCCGGGCGTGGTGGCGGGCGCCTGTAGTCCCAGCTACTTGGGAGGCTGAGGCAGGAGAATGGTGTGAACCCGGGAGGCGGAGCTTGCAGTGAGCGGAGATCCCGCCACTGCACTCCAGCCTGGGTGACAGAGCAAGACTCCGTCTCAAAAAAAATAAATAAATAAAAAAGACTAAGTTAGAACTACAGCTACTAACCTAGAGAGATGTTCAGGATGTGGTGTTAACTGAGAAAATTAAATGGTAGATTAATATAAATAATATGACTGTTTTATTAAAAACAAACATATAGGCCGGGCGTGGTAGCACACACCTGTAATCCTAGCACTTTGGGAGGCTGAGGCGGGCAGATCACCTGAGGTCAGGAGTTTGTGACCAGCCTGGCCAACACGGCGAAACCCTGTCTCTATTAAAAATATAAAAATTAGCCAGGAGTGGTGGCATGCGCCTGTAGTCCCAGCTACTCAGGAGGCTAAGGCATAAGAATTGCTTGAACCCAGGAGGCAGAGGTTGCAATGAGCCGAGATCACGCCACTGTACTCCAGCCTGGGTAACAGAACAAGACTCTGTCTCAAAACAAAACAGAACAAAACAAAACAAAAACAAACAAACATATAAATAACTAGAAAAATGCTATGACTATGTATGATTATGAAGAAAAGTCTGGAGTATGATATAACAGGTTCTATCTAGCACTGGCTTCCTTATCCTTATAACTGTTATGGCTGCTTGGCACCTAACAAAGTGCATTGTCATAATGAAGTCTTAACAAATATTGGTGGGGAGGTTTCTACCCTGTTTGGAAACAGAAAGGTTGCTGGACAGGAAGGGAGAGAATATTAGTGTTTTTCTTTATATATTTTTGTATTTTTTAACTCATTATGCTGAACATGTACTACGAATCTTTGAAGAGGAAATGAATACATTTTTGGCACAATAGCGAATATAAGCTAGACAGGAATGGATAAAGCTACTGAACTTTTATCCTGATCTATTTGGATATTCACATCCAGCATCCTTGCTTACCACCACCCTCTCTTGTCTATTGAAAAAGAAATTAAAAGAAAAAAGAATTCTTAACAGAGGAACATAGATCCATGGTAGATAGTTAAAAAATAGACGGTAGGCCAGGCACGGTGGCTCACGCCTGTAATCCCAGCACTTTGTGAGGCCGAGGCAGGTAGATCACCTGAGATCAGGAGTTCATGACCAGCCTGGCCAATATGGTAAAACCCCCGTCTCTACTAAAAATACAAAAAAAATTAGCCAAGCGTGGTTGTGTGCACCTATAATCCCAGCTACTTGGGAGGCTGAGGCAGGAGAATCACTTCAACCTGGGAGACGGAAGTTGCGGTGAGCCAAGACCGTGCCATTGCACTCCAGCATGGGCAACAAGAACGAAACTCTGCCTCAAAAAAAAAAAGAGAGAGAGAGAAAAGAATAAAAAAAGAAAACACAGTAAAAATGAAATTGGAAGGAGAGAAGAGTTATGCTTCAGGAATACCACACACGCCAGATATTTGGCATATATGCAGGAGTTCAAATGACAAATCAGCTGCACTCACAAAAAATCTGGCATATGAAGTACTAGTCTTACTTTGCTTGGTTCCATAGTACTGTAGGCTGGGAGATAATGAATTCTTTAAAAATCTTTCAATGTTTCTAATTCTAGAGAGAAATTCTCCCTGATTCTGAATGTCACCTGAATGCAAGGTCAAAGCCACTTGCACAGGGTGGCTGTAAGAGAAAAAGCCTATGGACAAGCTAAGACTAGACAGAGCCATGAAGAACAGAGATGTCCACAGGCAAACTGGTTATTCTCCTTCAAAACTGGATGTGATTAGGACAGGTTCCCAGAATAGTTACAGAAATGTGATGTTTTTGTTCCTTGGGTCTAAATAGAGTTTTGGTTTCCTTAGAAACCCAAGCTGACATATATGCAGGTAAAGAGATGTACATATACACAGAGCATCGTGAATGGTCTATTGCTACCTAAGTCCTGTGAAATATTTGCAAGAAAAGGAGATGGGAAACATCTGAATGAGTACAACGAAGGACATCATTACACGAGTACAGAGTCGCAGTTTTCAGAACGATGTCCTCTCTCTTAACAAGTGGGAAGTTTTCTTTTCTGTGACTCTTTTCATGGCTAGCATTTCAACTTCATAGATAAGTGTCTTCCAGGAGGCATAGGATGGATAAAGCAACTCAGGAAATATCAAAACGCAGCCAAAAAGGAAATAACTAAGTATCAACAGTGAGTCAAGGCTCATCTATGGTCAAATTCTCAACTGTCCTGTGTCACCTAGAATTTATTCTTTGGGACTCAGATGATTTACAAAAGCTTCACACAGAAATAAAGGTCATTCCTCTTTGCCTAGCATGCAGGACCACCAATGATAAATGAATGCTGCCTCCCTGTCTAGGTCACCATCAAAGCCCCAACTCCTTGGGTTCATCCTGGACTCCTTGGAGATGCTAGCCGGCGGGCTTGGGGACATTCAGTTCAACTAGAGCCTCACTGACAGAGTTTTAAGAGAACTCCAGTGAACAAAAAGGGAATCCCTGAGGGCTCCCCAGCCTGTCCCAGTAGAGAGGAGCAAAGAGGGCAGGTACCCTGCAAATCTCCACTCTGTTGGCAGCCTCTTCCATTTCTTCCCTGAGGGCATCAGCCTTGGCACCCGCAGGCTGTAAGCTGCTGGACAAACCTGAAGACTTGGAAGTCTGCTGCCACCTGATGGAAAATAGGAGAAAAAGAGATGTGAGACAGGTAGAGCCCTGGGGATCCCATGGGAGCACTGAGAAAACATCTGGTTACAAATATCACCCAGGGAACTACATACCCTCACTGGAAAAGGGAGGTCATGAAAAGGCACCAAGGACTAGGCAAGGAGACAGTGGGCCCATATTTCCATGCGTCAACTGCTTACTGAAGCTGAGAATCAGCTGCCCCTTCAGATAGGACGAGCATCCCCTGGTTTGTCACTATTTTCTCTATTGTCTTCCAAACACTAAAGCCAAATGGCAATCACTACTGCTGTCTTTTTAAAAAAATTAATGTTATTTTTAATGGATAAATCATAATCATATACATTTATGGGTACAATGTGATGTGTTGGGATATATGTACACATGTACACACACACACAGTATGGAATGATTAAATCAAGCTAGTTAACATATCCATCACCTCACTTACTCATGATTTTCTGTGGTGAGACATCTGAAGTTTAATCAGGGTGATTATAGTAATATACTGTATATTATATATTTCAAAATAACTATCACTGCCCTTTAAGCACAGTCTCTATCATTGGTTTAAGTCCCCTGCCTATCCTGTGGGAATTTGAGTATGGAAATCCTCACCTTCTTGGCTTGAAGCCAGTGACGTATGCTAAGTGAGAAGACATGCTGGTAAGATTAAAAACAAATCTGATAGCAAAAATCTCCACTGGTAAGCCCAAAACAATTTTTATGGCAACATTTAGATTCCTCATGAATGTTTTCTTAAAAATTTGGCCTTCTAACGAAGTCACTCAGAAAACTTTAGGAGGAAATACAAATATTTCTGGCTGCTGTGTTATCAGCAGGGAATTACCAAAAGTAGGCATAATTGGAAAGATGGTTCCAATTATGCTATAGTAGTAGCTGAATTAGGTCTCAGCAGTGGGTTCCTCTCCTGAGTCTGTAAACTCAATGGGTTATAGAGGCCAGCAAGTTAAAAAAAAATAAAATAAATCAAATGGGCCATTATCTTAAAAACTAGTCCGCACGATCCTCTATTTCCTACTTGTAATGGAGACAGGAAATATAAAACTATTTCTCAGCTCTAAGAAAAACAATCCTGTAATCAGGAGGACAAACAGCAGCCAAGGCTGGCTTTAGTCTTGGGAAGTCAGGCGGGAGCAGGGGGAGCTGGGAACTTGGTAGGAGGGATCCTGCCTTGTTTAAGAGAGGGTAGCTGTTCATGAGCTCCAGCTGATGGGGCTGAGGTGGGCAGGAAGCTGGGTCATGGGTTGCCAGATGTTTCAACTGACTAGAGAAGGAGGAAATTGTTATGTGAACTCTCCCAAGTGAAATGTGGCAACAAATAATTTCTTTTAAAAACCATGCAGGCTAACAGCATACAGACCAAACAAGAGAGCTCTGGGGGCTCTATCTGGATCTCAGACCATCAGTCTGCAGCCTCTGATGCGAGGACAGAAAGTAGAATGTCATTCTCATGTCAAGAGTCAAGAATCTAATCATTTAGTATTTTCTCTACTCCACTATTCTTTTCTCTTTTGCTATCTGCAGGAAAAACAGAAGAATGCAAGGCTCTATAATACAAGAAATGGAAACTAAAAGTCTCCTTGCTGTTAGCAAAAAGGAGCAAAAATGAGGATTCTCTGTCACTTAAAGAATGCAATCACGGGAAAATTACTTTAAAAAGGTTTTGAGACATCAAGCTGGCTTGAAGCTCCAGAGATGAACACATGTTCTCTGAAAGATTCCTGATTCCAAGATAAGAATTCAGGGCAAACTAGAAAGGAAATATTCTACTGAAAGATGTTTCAACATCTAAGTTGAAAAAAAAATAACAGATCAAGATTAGGAAGAATTCCTGGGTAATTTTTTCTTATAAAGGTTTACCCTATACAAGTGATATATTTGATTAATACTCTCCCAGTTGAATCATTTCAAATAAAGTATTAAAGTGTTGTGGAGTTTTGGAGAATAAAATACGAGATGCCATGGCTGTAATTTAGATCTCAGACAATAACTACAACACAATGGTAGATTATGGAATTAAGTTAGAACCACCATCTGACTCATGCTACCTGAAGAAAAAATAACTAACCAATATGAAAGTGTTTAAAATATATATAAAGTGACTACAAACACTAAGTAGATTTTTATGGCTTTGTAACTCAGGATTAAATTTTTTAAAAAACAGAATCATACTAAATATAGGTATATTAAAATGAAGACATTTTCCCAAGTTCCTTCTTTTCTTTTTATTCTCATCTATTTTTTCCTCCAGATTTTATCCTGTAGTCAGTATCTTGATGCTTTAAAAACATATACATTTCCCCTTTTTATAAGAAATTTTATTTACAATTTACAATGTTATATATATAATATATATGTATGTATAATATATATGCATATATAATATATATACATATATTATACATACATATATATTATATATATTATATATGTATATATATTATGTATATACATATATATTATATATACATATATATTATATATATACAATATATATTATATATAATACATATATAATTTTTTTTTCATATCAAGTCTCGCTCTGTCACCCAGGCTGGAGTGCAGTGGTGCAATCTCAGCTCACTGCAACTTCCACCTCCTGGGTTCAAGCGATTCTTCTGCCTCAGCCTCCCGAGTAGCTGGGATTACAGGCACATGCCACCATGCCCAGCTAATTTTTGTATTTTTAGTAGAGACGGGGTTTCGCCATGTTGGTCAGGTTAGTCTTGAACTCCTGACCTCAGGCCATCCACCCTCATTCGCCTCCCAAAGTGCTGGGATTATAGGCGTGAGCCACCGTGCCTGGTCTATTTTGATATTTTAAAACAGTGACAAGATGTCCAAAATATGTTCTCTTTGTGGAACATAAATAGCAAACAAAATACCAAGGTAAACTCTTGTCATGTGAACAGACGAGTTTTGTACAGATACTCATGCTGGAAAAGGTGACATGAATTTTGTACAGATAGTCATGTTGGGAAAATTTTGTACAGATAGTCATTTTGGGAAAAGTAACACGAATTATGAATTTCAAGGTTTGGTAGTCTTTTCAGACCTCTGTTCTACACATAAACTCAAGAGTTGGGCTGCTCTGTCAGAGGAGAAACAGGAACACTAGACATTGTCCAAGGAAACTTTGAGCTTTGAAAGTTGAAGAGCAGAAGGATCATTTCTTCTCACTAAAGTAGCTGATGTACCACCATCCTTCTCTGGGGAAAGAGGACTTGTGACTATGTGATCTGGGGGAGATGAAGATGGGACACAAGCTTTAATGAAGCCTTGGGAGAGATGAGAGAGAAGGGAGAGGAATAAGGGTTTAAAATTTCAGGTACCAGGAATATGTAAAGAAGGCAAATGCAGGTCAGTTCAGGACAACAGAATGTCCAGAAGAAGAATTTTAAAAGGCAGACAGGAGAGTGTCTTCATTGGGGCATTCACTGTTCCTTCTGTCTAGTCTTGCCCCTTCCTCTGCCATGGGCATCCCCCACTTTTTAAGTTCCTGCTTCCACTCTGCAGTAATGTGTGGTCAAAAAGGGGACTGCCAGGTTCTGCATGACCCAGGCAGTGAGTGGCCCAGGTGAGGGCCTCTGATCCAAGTCAAGCCTGTGCCATCCTTCCTCACACTGACCCAACTGACGAGTCATGGAAGTGGGCATATGAGCAAAGTCCAGACAAATGGAGTCCCTCTTTGGCACTTTCGGAATTGGGGCAAAAGGAAGAGGGCTCATAGTGGGGAGACATGAGCCCATGCGACATCCAGTGACCTTGAAGAAATCAGATGTGAGAAAAAGACACCTGTATGGGGAGGGGTGAGAGACGAGGAATGAGTTTTGATGGCCATCGAGACTCCACTGCCAGTTCTAACAAGACTTCACACTGCCCCGCCTCCAGAATTCCACTTCTTAACTCCATAGCCTGCACAGTTTCCACTCCAAAACCCTCCTGTCTTACTTACACTAGTTCACTTGCTTCCAAAGAAGGTAGGGCTTCCATAACAAAGTACCACAGACTGGGTGGCTTAAACAACAGAGGCTTATCTTCTCACAATTCTGGAGGCTGGACATCCAAGATCAAGACAGAGGCTGGAGACCTCTATCTGTGACTTGCAGATGGCTGCTGTTTCTGTCCTCACACAGCTTTCCTCTGAGTGCGTGTAGAGAGAGAGATCACTCTTTCTCCCTATAAGGCCACCAATCCTAGTGAAATAGGGGCCCATTCTTATGACCTCATTTAACCTTAATAAGGTTCTCCTAAAGAACCTATCTCCAGATACAGTCGCATTGGGGGTTAGCGCTTCAATATACAAATTTTGGAGAGATACCATTCAGTCCCTAGGACCCAGAGGCAGCTGGTTCGGCAGAAATGGAATGTGTATGTGTCCCAGACTCGGGAGGGTTAACCTTGAGCTACATGACCAGAAAAAAGTCAGGCTGACTTTGGAGAAAAATTAGGCTCCTTCTTTAAGCACTGCTAAACCAAACCTATCACACACAAAAAAGAAATTTGCGTATCATTCAATTCAATTCACAACCTTTAATTCAGCATAAAGCGTCCTGTAAGCATCAGTTTCTCTGAGAATATTGAGGTCTGTATCATTGGCTTTTGAAGCAGACAAGCCAGATTTACTTCAATAGTGACAAACATACACATCTTATTGGGATCTAATTAAACACGAGATAAATTAATTGGATTTGACAGTATCCATCAGAATTGTGGCAGAAATTAAAGATCCAGTCATGGGACTATTGTTCAAGATGTGCTGATAATATATACAAATCTACTTCCTGTCTTGAAAGGCGGAGGGTCTCTATGTGGAATTCACTGTTGCAGTGCTGCAGAGCATACTTCATGAAGGACAGAACAATATGAAATAAATCAGAAGTAGGATGCTGCAAGGAAGAAAAACTAACCTGTGCCATTGGCTTTATGGAGAAATGCAGGGGGTAGGGGGGGAGCATTCAGAACCCAGCTGTTCCAGAAGAGGAGCTGGTGATCCCTGCTGTTCAATAGCACAGCATTTGGTCTTGCTCTCACTGCTATATCTTGGGATGCAGACCTCATACGGGCTAAGAGTGAGGAGTTAGGGAAAATGGCAGGAAGTTGTGTTGGGTTGGCTTCTTATGGCTTTTGGCAAGGTCCTACAAGACAGGTAGACTCAGGCTAGAAATGGCCAGTCTGAGAGTAAAGCGGAAACAAAGAGTATACCTTTGCTAAAAATGCCCTTTTCATCCTGTAGCCTATAACTCATACTTATGGGGAATCTATAACTTGAGGCCTTGAGTTAGATCTCCCGCCACGGTTACCAAAGCTGACACCTGAAGGGGAAATCAACTGAGTTTTCAAGGGGACTGTACTGTCAACAATCCCCCAAAGCGGCCGGGCACAGTGGCTCACGCCTGTAAACCCAGCACTTTGGGATGCTGAGGCAGACGGATCTACCTGAGGTCAGGAGTTCGAGACCAGCCTGGCCAACATGGCGAAACCCCGTCTCTACTAAAATTACTAAAAATACAAAAATTAGCTGGGTGTGGTGGCGCCCATAATCCCAGCTACTCAGGAGGCTGAGGCAGGAGAATCGCTTGAACCTGGGAGGTGGAGGTTGCAGTGAACTGAGATTGCGCCATTGCACTCTAGCCTGGGCAACAAGAGCAAAACTCTGTCTCAAAAAAACGAAAAAACAAACAATCCCCCAAAGCAATTCCCTATCCCTAAACTCACAACTGCACAAAGTGGGCTATGAAAAATCACCGATGTGATAAAGGAGACGGATCAAGTTTATATGAAAACAATGCAAACAAGACTTTTTTAGTCTAAAACAACAAAGGTTATAAAGGGTCCAAGTTGAAGTTTATAAAAACAGAAATTTGCATGGGGGTGGGGTAGAATTTCCTTACTAGATTTTAATATACAGGAGATGATAAGCTGAAGATATAAAAACATTTGTTAAATCACAGGGGAGAGGTCCCTAATGACACCAAGTGGCATGTACGTTTGCAGAACCTACAGACTACTTGGTGTCACCACTGAAAACATAACTCTAGACTTTGTCTAGTGTTCCTGCTAGAGGAGTTCGTGACCAGCCTGGCCAACATGGCGAAACCCCGTCTATACTAAAAATACAAAAATTAGCTGAGTGTGATGGCAGGTGCCTGTAATCCCAGCTACTCGGGAGGCTGAGGCAGGAGAACGGACCATCAATGTGACCAGGAATAATTCTCCTTCTCATAAGAAGACAAAACAAAAATATGTATGGTAATGACATGGTTTGATACTAGCATTCAGCCTGCTAACAAGAGGCTCTGTGGTGGAAATGTGGGTTTTCTTTGTAGATGCAAAGAAAAGACTTCAGAGCTAAGCCCCAGGTTTCAGAGAAGGATGTCACTCTGCCCAGGAGCATGGTGTCCACCTCATGAAAACAATGGGGCAATCTGCATTTCTTCAGCCATCTTACATGACTCCCAAAATAGGGTACTTGAACACTCATATTATGGGATGCAATTTTACGTGGCACAAGGTCATAGAGGTAATAGCAAATCAGTACTTCCCACTCATTCTGCTGTCTATTCCTCCAAGCACGCTAAAGAGGTTAGTCTCATATTTGCATCAGAATAATTTTAAAACCACCTAACGCCTCGCCTCCCCTTCTTCTTTTTTAACAAAGGAAGATGAGCTTCAGGATGACATTCTTCCACAGTCAACAGGCTCTAAAATTTAGTAACATTGGCTTTGCTTTCATCTGTTCACTTTTATGCTTACCTGGTATTTGTAGCAAAGGATACTGCTTTCCAATTTATGGTAGCATGAAAGGATTTCTTTTCAAAATATATTTATTTTGAAAAAGTAATCAACTCTCTTAAAAGATGTATCGACACAGATGGCAAAAATCATTCAGGTGGACTGAGGGTTTGGGGACAAGTAAGTTAACCAAAGAAACCCTTGTTTCTTTGCTGATTTTAACCTGTTTTATGTCTGGTCTTGGGGGACTGCTCTGTACCTTTTATTCTTCCTGATGCAGAATTCCAGTGCAACAATTACTTACAGTATCAGCTTCTTTTTATAAAGCACTTGGGAAGTGATATTAGTACTCAAAACAGCCACCCACGAATGTTACTCCTTGCGTCCAGGTGAAGAAAATGATATTCTGGGAGATTAAGTGACTTGACCAAGGTCACATATCTAGAAAATAGTTGAAATCTGAACCTTGAAATCTGACCTTCTGAACTCTGTATGCTACATCTCTTTGCCCAAATATATTCTGTTTCTTTATTTCAAGAAAATGAAAACAAGCTGTGAAGATGATTAAAATTGGCCTACTCTGGAGTCTGAAACTAGCCTGCGCAACACAGTGAGACCCTGTCTCTACTAAAAATAAAAAAATTAGCCAGGTGTAGTGGCACATGCCTGTAGTCCCAGCTACTTGGGAGACCTGAGGCAGAAGGATTGCTTGAGCCCAAGAGTTCAAGAGTGCAGTGAGCTATGATCACATCCCTGCACTCCAGCCTGAGTTACAGAGTGAGATCCTGTCTCAAAATTTTTAAAAATAATAAAAATTTCCCAGCACTTTGGGAGGCTGAGGTGGGCAGATCACTTGAAGTCAGGAGTTCGTGAACAGCCTGGCCAACGTGGCGGAACCCTGTGTATACTAAAAATACAAAAATTAGCTGAGCGTGGTGGCAGGTGCCTGTAATCCCAGCCACTCAGGAGGCTGAGGCAGGAGAACCACTTGAACCTGGGAGGCGGAGGTTGCAGTGAGCAGAGACCGCGCCACTGCACTCCAGCCTGGGTGACAAGAGCAAATCTTCATCTCAAAAATAAATAAATAAATAATACATTAAATAAAAAAATAAAGTTGGTCTACGAAAAACCTAAGGTAGAACCAAATAGTTCTTTCCATATTAATACTCACGCACCTGCCTTTTTCAACTTATATACACATATCCCACTGTAAAAAATAAAAGGACATATGTGCACAATTCCTGCTCTGACAGCCACAGGCAATGCTGTCTCAGGGCCTTTGGCACCCGCCTGCTACTACAGGAATTTTCTGGTGGACTCTGGAAGATGGGTGTGGAAGAACAGCCCTACAGGTACTTGACTGCTCTCTGAAAGGACTCAAGTTAAGAGAAAGGCTACAGAAAGCAGACACCTACACCATCAGCTTCAGGAAAAGGTGAGTGAGTCTCCAAAATGCGAAATTTCCTGTAATGGACAGGACATAGCAACCATCCTACCTCCTGGCTCTCACCTCCTACTTCTCTTCCCTTTGCTCCTTCCGCCCCAGCCATGCCGACCTTCCTTCTGTGCCTTGAAGAGGCCTTTGCATTTGCTGTGCCCTCTGCCATAGATGCTTTGCACCAGATCTCTGTAAGGCTGCCACCTTCTCATCATCTAAGTCTAAGACCAAAATGACCCACCTCAAAAAAGCTTTTTCTCTTTTATCCTTAATGCTGTTGCTCCCTTTCTCCATCATCGCCTTCCAAAACTACCCTGTGTTACTTTTTTTTTTTTTTTTTTTGAGATGGAGTCTTGCTCTGTCGCCCAGGCTGGAATGCAGTGGCATGATCTCGGCTCACTGCAAGCTCCGCCTCCCCGGTTCACACCATTCTCCTGCCTCAGCCTCCCAAGTAGCTGGGACTACAGGCACCCGCCACCATGCCCGGCTAATTTTTTTGTATTTTTAGTAGAGACAGGGTTTCACCATGTTAGCCAGGATGGTCTCGATCTCTTGACCTTGTGATCCGCCCGCCTTGGCCTCCCAAAGTGCTGGGTTACAGGTGTGAGCCACTGCACCCGGCCACATTTTTTATATGACATATCTTTCTAGAACTGTCTTGTTTCTTCACTTGCCTAGTGTCTACCTCCAAAACTCAACTGCAGCCTTCATGAGAACAGGGACCCAGTGTCTCGAGTTCACTGTGACTACCTCCAGTGCCTGGTACACGTTAGGTGTCCAGAAAAACTTGGTGAATGAAAACACAATTGCCTACTTAAAACCCACCCGCCCAAAATATGATCACTGTCCCTTCAAAGAAGCAAAAAAGAAAGTAAAGAGATTCTACCTGGTTCGTGAGGAATCCATGTCCAGCACCAACTTGGCTAAGTGTTTCCTCTGCTTTTGAATATTTGGGATTTCCACCTGTGGTTACACAACATAAAAGATACAATTAAACTGAAGCTCAAGATAAATTCTTTAGGAACCATTCCTGGCCAGGCGCGGTGGCTCATGCCTCTAATCCCAGCACTTTGGGAGGCCAAGGCAGGTGGATCACCTGAGGTCAGGAGTTCGAGACCAGCCTGGCCAATATGGCGAAACTCCGACTCTACTAAAAATACAAAAATTAACCAGATGTGGTGGCATGCGCCTGTAATTCCAGTTACTCGGGAGTCTGAGGCAGAAGAATCACTTGAACCCAGGAGGCAAAGGTTGCAGTGAGCCGAGATCACACCACTCCACTCCAGCCTGTGTGACAGAGCGAGACTCCGTCTCAAAAAAAAAAAAAAAAGAAGAACTATTCTTAAAGAACTATTGGAAGTCACCCAACAAGTTTACTAGCGGTCTCGCAATCCTTATTTTCAGATGAAATCCTTTTTTCCCTTTTGTGTTACTGAGGTCTAACTAATAGGAATTGTATATATTTCAGGTGTACGGTTTAATGGTTTCATATGCACACATTGTGAAATCATTACTACACTCAGGCTAATTAACATATCCATCACATCCCATAGTTTCTATTTTCTTTTTTTGATGGTGAGTACGCTGAAGATCTATCCTCTTAGCAAATTTCAAGTCTACAATACAGTATCATTAACCATCGTCACACAGTGCTACACATCAGGTCTCCAGAATTTACTCATCTTGCTTAAGGGAGACTTTGTACCCTTTGACCAACATCAGATGAAATTATTGATGCCCTTTCCTGAGCTAAACTCTGCTCCATCTTTGCTGGACACCAGCCAGGCTCTCCATCAAGCCAGACCATCTCACAGGTCCTGTGCTTCTCTGCTCATGCAGGCCTGGCCACTTTCCTGCCCTCACCTTGCCCCCAACTCCCGCCCTGCCAAAAAAAAACCAGGGCTCAACCACATCCCTCTTTACTTCCAGAAGGGCCAAAAGTGGGGAGAAATGAAGGGAGCCACGCAGTCATGTCTGACACAGACCTGAGGCAAAATGGACAGCTGAAGGAGGAAGAGCGTGGAGAGGCTATGGCTGCATCTAGGATACAGATTCTATATTTATAAAAAGAAAGGAAGCAAATGTTTATATTTATAGAAATAAAGTAAGACTTTTCCAGTCAATAATGAATAAACATTGCCATCATGGCTTTTCTCGGCTACGAGTTCTTCCATTTTGGTTGTATGTAGATGCTCTTTTTATATTTTTTCATTCTAAAAATGGCTTCACTGAACATCCCAGTGCAGGATTTTGGTTCCGGGCCCAGCAAAAGTAGGGCAGGATGTGAGAATGCAAAACGAAAATTGGCCGAAAATTGAACTAAAATCATCTCGGGCTGCGGTTTTTATATAAGGAAAAAATTCGAGGAGAATCCAATGTTCTCTGAAGTGCTTTCTATTCACTCTCCCGAGCAGGGATGAGTAATGTTCTGCGTGTAACAACTTCCAGTAGGAAGGAGAAGTGTAACTGTCCCCAGGCAACCTGAGTCACCACCCAGCTCCGAAGCTAAGCTGGAGGGCCACTGGGTATCTTGCTTGAGCCAAGTGACTGTCAGCACCCACAACGGACTTGCTCCTTGGTTTGCTTTAGGCTTTGGCCAGACCCGGGACCCTCCTTTTGAGGCACAGAGGGGACCTCGTGAATGCTCCAAGCGAGGAGATGACTTGAGAAGCTGAGAGCTGGTCAATCCCAAAGAACTTCATCCACGATTTTCTCCTTGAATAGTTTCAGGTCCATAAGTAATTACCGGCCCATACCTCTGTCCCAGAGAGAGTGTCAGGGGATGTGGAGGTGCTCGTTGTGGTTCAGAGAGGAAGCCAGACAGGGTCTAGGGCAAGGCAGTTTAATACAGTAGCCTCTAACCGCACGTAGCTATGAAATTCTAAATTTAAATTAACGAAAATTAAAGAAACTAAAAAATTGAGTTCCTGAATCGCACTGGTGCTCAAAAACCACTTAAGGGCAGTGGCTATCAAACGGCACAGATTGAGAATATTTCCATCATTGTAGGGAGTCTGCGAGGGTTAATTTTAGGTGTCAACTTGGCTGGACTGATGGATGCCTCAAAGGCTAGTGACGTATTTTTCCGGGTGTAGCTGAGAGGGTGTTTCCAAAAGAGACCAATGTGTGAGTCAGCAGGCTGGGAGAAAGACCCACCCACAATGGAGCGGTACCATCCAATTAGCTGAAACACACAGGTGGAAGAAGGAGGATTCTCTCTCTGCTCTCTCTCTCCCTCCCTCCCGTAGTGAGATGCCTTTTCCCCTCATCAGACTCCAGGTTCTTTGACATTTAATGGGGGTCTCTCTGGCTTTCCACCTCATATTCGGGGCTGCACGATCAGCTTCTGAGGTTCCTGGACTGAGTTTCGGGTTCTGAGGTTTCTGGACTGAGCCATGCTACTGGCTTCTCTGGTTCTCCAGCTTACAGATGGCTTATCATGGGACCTCTCCCCCTCTGTGATTATGTGAGCCAACTTCCCCTAATAGGGGAGAATCCCAACTTCCCCTAATAGGGGAGAAACCCCTCTCATATATCCTGTTGGTTCTCTCTCTCTGGAGAACCCTGACTAATACAGAGTTCTAGGGGATAGTGCTGGTTAGATTTTATATAGATGGAGTGTCCCTTATCTGAAATGCTTGGGACCAGAAATATTTGGGATTGGGAGTTTTTGGGATTTTGGAATATTTGCATCATATTTACCGGTTGAGCATCTCAAATCCGAATATGTGAAATCCAAAATGCTCTAATGAGCATTTCCTTTAAGAATCATGTTGGTGCTCAAAATATTTCAGATTTCGGATTGTTTCAGGTTTGAGATGCTCAATCTATTAACAGATGACGAATTAAAAACAACTGAGAGGGATTCAGGGTTCAAAGCTCCCCAAGCATTTCCTATCTCCCGTGAGAAGCTTTCACTTGGCTGAAGCTAGCAAAGTTTTCACATAGGCATTAAGGTTGCTTTTTAATAAAATAGTTTAATTGAGTGTCCTTTAAAGTCCAAAGACAAGGGACCCATATAAACATACACTGCAGCTGGGCACGATGGCTCACGCCTATAATCCCAGCACTTTGGGAGGCCAAGGCGGGTGGATCGCCTGAGGTCAGGAGTTCGAGACCAGCCTGGCCAACATGGTGAAACCCCGTCTCTACTAAAAATATAATAATTAAATGGGCATGGTGGTGGGTGCCTATAATCCCAGCTACTTGGGAGGCTTGAGACAGGAGAATCACTTGAACCTGGGAGGCGGAGGTTGCAGTGAACCATGATCGTACCACTGCACTCCAGCCTGGGTGACAGAGCAAGACTCCATCTCAAAAAAAAAACATAAAACTGCAGGAGGCCTGGGCCCCCAGAATCCTAGTAAGGAGTGGCTGCTGTTCACAGCACTGAAGACTTGAGATGGGTGGAAGGTGGGGATGAAGGCAGTCGAGGCTGTGGGTGGGGAAGCGGGTAAGCTGCCAGCTTTCCACCTTACTTCTAGGAATGCCTGCAGGGAAGAGAATGGGTAGGAGAAGGGGTAGCAAATGCTAAAAGGACATATTTGGGAATCTTGACCATGTGGTTAGGTAAGAATCCCTGATGAAAAACAATGTTGGGGAGAAGGTTAAGGGAAAGAAGTAGAATGCTGGAAACAGAATGATTGAGGGGCTCCTGTTCGGTACCTCCTTGCTCTTTCAGGCCTGGCCTCACTCCTGCTGCTTACCTCCGCCAGCAAAAACAGGGGCTCAATCACGTCTCTCTCTACTTGCAACTCAAAATGTATCAGCTCCTGAGCCAGCTTGTCCTCCGTCTCTCCACAGAGTTTCAGCATCTTCCTGTAATCCAAGGGGGAAAGAAATAGTGAATACTCTTGAAGACAACATTTCACTGGCGTTACCCTCCCCTCACCTCCTGGCTCACTTGTAAACTTTCACAAGTCAGTGTTAATAAGCTGGCTGATCTCCATGGCTTCCCCTGGGCCAACCTGTTCCAGCTCTCTGCATTTCTGAAATAATCAATTCTTCCAAAAGGTGCCACTCATTGTGTGCCTGGGGCACAAGGGGAAATGTGGGGAAACATGAGAGAGAAAACAGACACACATGCCTATAAACACATGCTTCTATCTCTGAGGAGAACATTGGATAGCTAAAATCTGCCCGCTAAAAAAACATCATCTTCAAATACAAAGCAAAAGCTCAATTTCAATAGGTCCTGATAGAAAGAAAGCCCTGACTCCTAAGCCACGAAAATGTAATTAGTACATGGATATATAGACAATTATCCAATGAAAAAAAATCCAAAAGTTGATTAATAATGAGCAAACGACAGAAGACCTGAATGAGTAGAAAGTCATGCCATCTTCCCAGATGACACAATATACT